>NC_000001.11:45311410-45614441 GCF_000001405.40 Homo sapiens
GGTGCAGAGGCTCACGCCTATAATCCCAGCACTTTGGGAGGCCAAGGCGGGCGAATCACCTGAGGTCAGGAGCTCAAGACCGGCCGGACCAACATGGAGAAACCCCATCTCAAAATACAAAATTTAGCTGGGCATGGTGGCGTGCACCTGTAATCCCAGCTACTTGGAAGGCTGAGGCAGGAGAATCGCTTGAACCCAGGAGGCAGAGGTTGAAATCAAATGAGATCATGCCATTGCACTCCAGCCTGGGAGACAGAGTGAGACTCCATCTAAAAAAACAAAAAAAGAATCCGTTTTCATTTGTAACAGGACACAATTGGAGAAACTGGTTATTTAACCAAGGCTTTGACTGGAATAGTGTGCTTTCCTTTGAGAAATCAAACCTGACTTACGGAGCCAATAAAGCCCTTGGGAAAACTGGCATCATATTTTGTGTATACAGTCCCTATGCAGGGTTTCTGATGTGTGGTAAGTAAATAACGTCACATTCTGACAGGCCCAGAAGCCCCAGGTTTATCTTGGAACCTCAAGAGGAGAGGAAATTCACCCAACTCACAGATATTTCATGGCACAAATCCATGGCTGGGCTCGACTTTTAAAAAGTCTTTTCTGAGATTCCTCTTATGTAATGAAGTTCCATCAAAGCCAATTTAAAAGCCTATGTATGGTGGACACGGTGGGTCACACCTGTAATCCCAGCACTTTGGGAGGCTGAGGTGGGTGGATCACCTGAGGTCAGGAGTTCAAGACCAGCCTGGCCAACATGGTAAAACCCCATCTCTACTAAAAATACAAAAAATTAGCTGGGCGTGTTGGTGGCGTTCTGTAATCCCAGCTACTCAGGAGGCTGAGGGAGGAGAATTGCTTGAACCTGGGAGGCTGAAGTTGCAGTGAGCCGAGATAATGCCATTATACTCCAGCCTTGGCAACAGGAGCAAAACTCCATCTCAAAAAATAAAATTAAATAAATAAATAAAAGTTTATGTAAAAAAAATTATTCTTGCTGCACTTTATACAAATGATTATGACAAGTATAATAAAGCAAGCCAGTCCTACGATGATTTGTCTTTAGTAAAAATGGGAACCTGGAGAGAGAAAAATTATGTTTTGGAGCTACAGTACACCTGCTGTTAGATTCTAGTCTTGCCTAATGTTTTTTCAATTTTTATTTTCTTTTTGCTTTTTTTTGAGATGGAGTTTTGCTCTTGTTGACCATGATGGGGTATAATGGTGTGATCTCAGCTCACTGCAACCTCTGCCTCCTGGGTTCAAGTGATTCTCCTGCCTCAGCCTCCTGAGTAGCTGGGATTATAGGTATGTGCCACCACACCCAGCTAATCTTGTATTTTTAGTAGAGATGGGGTTTCTCCATGTTGGTCAGGCTGGTCTCCAACTCCTGACCTCAGGTGATCCGCCTGCCTTAGCCTCCCAAAGTGCTGGGATTACAGGTGTGAGCCAGTGTGCCCAGCCCAATTTTCATTATTTTCTACAGTCTGGACCGAATTCTAATATTTTCTTGGCTACAAGTCTTCAAAATGATGTTTTTATTTTTTTCTCCTTTTTTTCCCCCATTTTTCCTAATTTGGAGTCACTGAAAACTAAGCTGTGCTTTCTTAAAGCCCTATGAACTGAAGCCAGACAACTTAAATTTCAGACTGTTCATGATATGCTTGGAGTTTCTGGTTTGTCCTGAACATCCCTCCTTCTTAAACAACTAGTCATTTTCTCATATGAAATTTCTCTTTCTCATATGAAATTACTTCTCCCTAAGCTGCCTGGCAAAAAAAAAACAACCTATTTATTTAGGGTTTTTATTTTAATTAATTAATTAATTTATTTATTTTTGAGATGGAGTCCCACTCTGTTGCCCAGGCTGGAGTGCAATGGTGCCATCTTGGTTCACTGCAGCCTCCTCCTCCTGGGTTCAAGTGATTCTCCTGCCTCAGCCTCCGAAGTAGCTGGGATTACAGGTGCGCGCCACCATGCCTGGCTAATTTTTGTATTTTTAGTAGAGATGGGGTTTCACCTTGTTGGTCAGGCTGGTCTTGAACTCCTGACTTCAGGTAATCCACCCACCTCGGCCTCCCTAAGTGCTAGGATTACAGGCATGAGCCACTGCACCTGGCCACCTGGCCTTATTTTTTTTTTGAGACGCAGTCTCGCTCTTTTCGCCCAGGCCCCAGTGCAGTGGCGCTATCTCAGCTCACTGCAAGCTCCGCCTCCCAGGTTCACGTCATTCTCCTGCCTCAGCCTCCCGAGTAGCTGGGACTACAGGCGCCCACCACCACGCCCTGCTAATTTTTTGTATTTTTAGTAGAGACGGGGTTTCACCGTGTTCGCCAGGATGGTCTCGATCTCCTGACCTCGTGATCTGCCCGCCTCGGCCTCCCAAAGTTTTGGGATTACAGGCGTGAGCCACCAGGCCCGGCCTATTTATTTATTTATTTATTTTGAGACAATGTCTCACTCAGCCACCCAGGCTGGAGTGCAGTGGCATGATCTTGGCTCACTGCAACCACCATCTCCTGGATTCAAGCGATTCTCCCATCTCAGCCTCCCGAGTGGCGGTGATTACAGGCACCCACCATCATGTCCAGCTAATTTTTGTATTTTAGTAGAGACAGGGTTTCACCATGTTGGCCAGGCTGGTCTTGAACTCCTGACCTCAGGTGATCCACCCGCCTCGGCCTCCCAAAGTGCTGGGATTACAGATGTGAGCCACTGTGCCTGGCCAAACCTCTTTGTTTTTATAACTTCCTATCTTGTTTCATACATAAATAATCTTTGAAGTAGACAAAAATGATTCACCTTTTTTAAAGGTGAATTCACTTTTTTTTAGCAAGAATGTTTTCCTACAATATATATTTTATTTGAAAATACCCAAATAATGAAATATCTATTATTTAATATAACTATGGATTCTAAATTATGACGTTTGTCTGCAAGTATTTATTGCATTTCATTTACCTACTTTAATTGTTTACCTAGACTATTTATGAAAATTGTGATAGTCATCATTTAAAGTCATGAAACTGCCATTCCAAAATTACAGCTGAGATAGTGAAAAAGATCTGCCCTGAGTCCATCTTGCTTCTCACCTTCAAGCTGTCTTTGTTCATTCCTGGGCGTAGGCTGAACTAACTTTGGGAGGAACGTAGTTTATAGGTTAGCTTTGAAACAAAAATGGTAAAAGTCCTTTCCCAAAGCAAACTTCCTTACTAAATTCAAGATTTAGCTGTTTTCATTAAACAAATATCAATGGTTTATTTACTAAAGATTATAAAAGCAAAGATCATTCTGTCTTGGGCTGGGTTCATAGTTTTGTAACCCTTATGCCAAATATTGATGCCGTATAGTATTTGGCAGGGACAAGTATGAATTAGTTTTAAATGTTTTCTTTGAGTTTTGGTTCTCTCTCCTCAAGGAATCTCTTGGCTCTTTTCGTTTTGGGATTTACAACTCAATCCAGAGCGTCCATGACTACCACTACCTGCAACTATTAACTCCAGCTTATTTATTTTATTTTATTTTATTTTTGAGATGGAGTCTTGCTCTGTCACCCAGGCTGGAGTAGAGTGGTGTGATCTCAGCTCACTGCAATCTCTGCCTCCCGGGTTCAAGCGATTCTCCTGCCTTGGCCTCCCGAAGTACTGGGATTACAGGGGCACCCACCCCAGTTTATTTATTATTTTACTTAAGTCACGTGAACTTGGAAAAGCTTTTGTCTACTCGTTTTTCTTTGGTATCTGATTTAAGTGCTTTCTTTTTAGCCAATTAATTAGAGCTCTTTTATGTATTTTTAGTAGTGAACCATTGTATACACAACACATAAATACATACACATATTACGCATCCCGATAGATGTACATCTTATAGATTCTTAGACTTTCAGATTCTTGATAAGTTGTTTCATAACCCTAGGCAATTGTCAGCTAAATAGCCTCAAATTTGCAGATTAAAGGAAACAAGTCGAGTGAAAATCAAATAACAATTTATATCATAAGTTACAGAGATAAAAAGTCTGGTTTGATAGGGGAAATTAAAGATGGATGCTGGCCAGGTGAGGTGGCTCATGCCTTTAATCCCAGCACTTTGGGAGGCCAGCTCACCTGAGGTTGGGAGTTTGAGACCAGCCTGACCAACATGGAGAAACCCTGTCTTTACTAAAAATACAAAATTAGTCGGGCGTGGTGTCACATGCCTATAATCCCAGCTACTCAGGAGGCTGAGGCAGGAGAATCACTTGAACCTGGGAGGCAAAGGTTGTGGTGAGCTGAAATCATGCCATGGCACTCCAGCCTGGGCAATAGGAGCAAAACTCCATCTCAAAAAAATAAATAAATAAATAAAAGATGGATGCCAAATCAAACATAAAATTACAAAAATCACCAGGTGCAGTGGTTCACACCTGTAGTCCCAGCACTTTGAGAGGCTAAGGCGGGCGGATCACTTGAGGTCAGGAGTTTGAGACCAGCCTGGCCAACATAGTGAAACCCCATCTCTACTAAAAATACAAAAATTAGCTAGGCATGGTGGTGCACGCCTGTAATCCTAGCTACTCGGTGTCAGGTCTCTGAGCCCAAGCCTGCGTGTATACATCCAGATGGCCTGAGGCAACGAAGAACCACAAAAGAAGTGAAAATGGTCGGTTCCTGCCTTAACTGATGACATTACCTTGTGAAATTCCTTCTCCTGGACAATGAATCTCAGAAGCTCCCCCACCGAGCACCTTGTGACCCCTGCCCCTGCCCACCAGAGAACAACCCGCTTTGGCTGTAATTTTCCACTACCTACCCAAATCCTATAAAACTGCCCCACCCCTAACTCTCTTTGCTGACTTCTTTTTTAGGCTCAGTCCTCCTGCACCCGGGTGATTAAGAAGCTTTATTGCTCATACAAAGCCTGTTCGGTGATCTCTTCACACAGACGCATGTGACATTTGGTGCCGAAGACCTGGGACAGGAGGAATCCTTTGGGAGACCAGTCCCCTGTCCTCGCCCTCACTCCATGAGGAAATTCCCCTATAACCTCAGGTCCTCAGACCAACCAGCCCAAGGAACATCTCACCAATTTCAAATCAGGTAAGCAGTCTTTTCACTCTCTTCTCCAGCCTCTCTCATTACCCTCCAATCTCCCTGTCCTTCCAATTCCAGTTCTTTTTCCTCTCCAGTAGAGACAAAGGGGACACATTTTATCCACGGACCCAAAACTCCGGCGCCAGTCACGGACTCAGGAAAGTCTTCCCTTGGTGTTTAATCACTGCAGGGACGCCTGCCTGATTATTCATCCACATTTCAGAGGTGTCTGATCACTGTGGGGACACCTGCCTTGATCCTTCATCTTGGTGGCAAGTACCACCTCCCCTGAGTGGCAAGTACCACCTCCCCTGGGTGGCAAGGACCACCTCACTGCCGTGTCTCTACCCTCTCTTTTCTCTGGGCTTGCCTCCTTCACTATGGGCAATCTTCCACCCTCCTTTCCCCCTTCATCTCCCTTAGCCTGTGTTCTTAAAAACCTAAAACCCCTTCGACTAACACCTGACTTAAAACCTAAACGTCTTATTTTCTTCTGCAATACTGCTTGACCCCAATACAAACTCAACAATGGTTCCAAATGGCCAGAAAATGGCACTTTTGATTTCTCCATCTTGCAAGACTTGGATGATTTTTGTCAAAAAATGGACAAATGGTCTGAGGTGCCTGACGTCCAGACATTCTTCTACATATTGGTCCCACCCTAGTCTCTGCTCCTAATGTGACTTGCCCCAAATCTTCCTTCTTTCTCTCCTGTCTTTTCCTTCAGTCTCCACCCCAAGCTCTGAGTCCTTTGAATCCTCCTTTTCTACGAACACATCTGACCTCTCCCTTCCTCCCCAGGCTGCTCTTTGCCAGGCCGAGCCAGGTCCCAATTCTTCCCAGCCTCCACTCCCCCACTCTATAATCCTTCTAGCACCTCCCATCCTCACATCCAGTCCGCTTATCCGTGACTAACCCTCCCCCACCTGCCCAACAATTTCCTCTTAGAGAGGTGGCTGGAGCTGTAGGTATAGTCAAGGTTAATGCTCCTTTTTCTTTAGCCAACCTCTCCCAAATCAATTAGCATTTAGGCTTTTTTTCATCAAATATAAAAACCCAGCCCAGTTCATGGCCCATTTGGCAACAACCCTTAGACGCTTTACTGCCCTAGACCCCAAGGGGCCAGAAGGCCGTCTTATTCTCAATATACATTTTATTACCCAATCCACTCCCAACATTTAAAAAAAGCTCCAAAAATTAGATTACAGCCCTCAAAACCCACAACAAGACTTAATTAACCTTGCCTTCAAGGTGTACAATAATAGAGAAGACACAGCCAAGAGGCACCGTATTTCTGAGTTGCAATTACTTGCCTCTGCTGTGAGAGAAACCCCAGCCACATCTCCAGCGCACAAGAACTTCAAAACGCATAAACCACAGCAGCCAGATGTTCCTCCAGGACTTTCTTCCCCAGGATCTTGCTTCAAGTGCTGGAAATCTGGCCACTGAGCCTTGGAATGCCCACTACCTGGGATTCCTCCTAAGCCGTGCCCTGTCTGTGTGAACCCCCACTGGAAGTCAGACTGTCCAGCTCACATCGCTGCCACTCCTAAAGCTCCTGGAGATCAAACCCAACATTCCTTGGCTGACTCCTTCCCAGATCTCCTCGGCTTAGTGGCTGAAGATTGACACTGCCCGAGCGCCTCAGAAACCTCCAGGACCATCACAGACCCTTTGGGTAACTCTTACAGTGGTGGGTAAGTCCGTCCCCTTCTTAATCAATACAGAGGCTACCCACTCCACATTACCTTCTTTTCAAGGGCCTGTTTCCCTTGCCTCCATAACTGTTGTGGGTATTGATGGCCAGGCTTCTAAAACTCTTAAAACTCCCCAACTCTGGTGCTAACTTGGACAACATTCTTTTATGCACTTCTTTTTAGTTATCCCACCTGCCCAACTCCCTTATTAGGTCGAGACATTTTAACTAAATTAGCTGCTTCCCTGACTATTCCTGGGCTACAGCCACATCTCATTGCCTCTCTTTTCCCCAGTTC
Source organism: Homo sapiens (assembly GCF_000001405.40). Lineage (NCBI taxonomy): Eukaryota > Metazoa > Chordata > Mammalia > Primates > Hominidae > Homo > Homo sapiens. Next base: position 45,318,480 of record NC_000001.11, read on the forward strand.
AAAGCCTCACCCCTTACTATCCCATTAAAACCTAATCACCCTTACCCCACTCAATGCCAGTATCCCATCCCACAACAGGATTTGAGGTGACTAAAGCCTGTTATCACTCACCTGTTACAGCATGGCCTTTTAAAGCCTACAAACTCTCCTTACAACTCTCCTATCCTACCTGTACAAAAACCGGACAAGTCTTACAGGTTGGTTCAGGATCTTCACCTTATTAATCAAATCGTCCTTCCCATCCATCCTATAGTGCCAAACTCATATACTCTCCTATCCTCAATACCTCCCTCCACAACCCATTATTCTGTTCTGGATCTCCAAGATGCTTTCTTTACTATTCCTTTGCACCCTTCATCCCAGCCTCTCTTTGCTTTCACTTGGACTGACCCTGACACCCATCAGCCTCAGCAACTTACCTGGGCTGTACTGCCACAAGGCTTCAGGGACAGCCCCCATTACTTCAGTCAAGCCCTTTCTCATGATTTACTTTCTTTCCATCCATCTGGTTCTCACCTTATTCAATACTTTGATGACCTTCTACTTTATAGCTCCCCCTACAAATCTTCCCAACAGGACACCCTCCTGCTCCTCCAACATCTATTCTCAAAAGGATATCGCATATCCCCTCTAAAGCCCAAATTTCTTCCTCATCCATTGCCTATCTCAGCATAATTCTCATAAAAACACATGTGCTCTCCCTGCTGATCGTGTCCAGCTAATCTTCCAAACCCCAACCCCTTCTACAAAGCAAAAACTCCTTTCCTTCCTAGGCATGGTTACGTACTTTCACCTTTGGATACCTGGTTTTGCTATCCTGACTAAACCATTATATAAACTCACAAAAGCAAACCTAGCTGACCCCATCCTAAATCCTTTCCCCCACTCCTCTTTCCATTCCTTAAAAACAGCCCTAGAAGCTGCTCCCACACTAGCTTTCCCTAACTCATCCCAACCCTTTTTCATTACACGTAGCCGAAGTGCAGGGCTGTGCGGTCAGAATTCTTACACAAGGGCCAGGACCCCACCCTGTAGCCTTTCTGTTCAAACAACTTGACCTTACTGTTTTAGGCTGGCCCCCACATTATTTCTGATACCACACCTGACCCCCGTGACTGTGTCTGTCTAATCCACTTGGCATTCACTCCATTTCCCCATATTTCCTTCTTTCCTGTTCCTCACTCTGATCACACTTGGTTTATTGATGGCAGTTCCACCAGGCCTAATTGCCACTCACCAGGAAAGGCAGGCTATGCTATAGTATCTTCCACATCTATCATTGAGGCTACCGCTCTGCCCCACTCCACTACCTCTCAACAAGCCGAACTCATTTCCTTAACTCGAGCCCTCATTCTTGCAAAAGGACTGCATGCTAATATTTATACTGACTTTAAATATGCCTTCCATACTGCACCACCATGCTGTTACATGGGCTGAAAGAGATTTCCTCTTCTCAAGGCCGCTTTATTTCCAAAGGAAGCTGGAGTCATTCACTGAAAAGGCCATCAAAGGGCCTCAGACCCCATTGCTCAAGGCAACAATTATGCTGATAAGACAGCTAAAGAAGCAGCCTGTATTCCTACTTCTGTCCCTCATGGCCAGTTTTTCTCCTCATCAGTCACTCCTACTTACTCTCCCACTGAAGTTTCCACATATCAATCCCTCCCTACTCAAGGCAAATGGTTCTTAGACCAAGGAAAATACCTCCTTCCAGCCTCACAGGCTCATTCCATTCTATCGTCCTTTTTAACCTCTTCCATGTGGGTTACAAGCCACGAGCTCGCCTCTTAGAACCTCTCATTTCCTTTAAGACATTTGCCCTGCATTTCACTCCATCCTTGGCTACCTTCCCCTTGTTCTTCGGACTCTCCTCCTAGCTGTCCTCTTGCTTGCTTATACCTGGCCCCATGAATAGCAGTGAAAGGTTATTCATAGACACTATGCGCTTTCTCATACACCATAAAAATCGAACCTCCCCCTCTACCCAGTTGCATCATCAATCCCCATTGCAACCTCTACCTCCCAGGTACAAGTGATTCTCCTGTCTCAGTCCAAGTAGCTCAGATTACAGGCATGCACCACCATGCCTGGCTGATTTTTTTGTATTAAGTAGAGATGGGGTTTACACCATGTTAGTCAGGCTGGTCACGAGTTCCTGACCTCAGGTGATCCACCCGCCTCGGCCTCCCAAAGTACTGGGATTACAGGTGTGAGCCACCACACCTGGCCAGACTACCTGTCTTTTAACTAGCTCTCTGAGCTCTGGGCAGGGCCCACACTGAATCCTGGGTTTCCAAACCGGGAGAATTATTCTGAGGCTAGACTATCTGATGTTTTTACAGTGCACTTAAAAAAAATTTTTTTTTAAAACAAAGATATTTCTAAGTGTCTAAACTACACCCTTCTTTAAAAACCCAGAGTACCCTGTGTTGCAATAATTATTATAGTCAATATATCCGGTAACACAATACAAAAGCAAGCAGCTTAAAGGCTGAGATGAACTTGTCTGTTTACACTTTTGGGGTTCTATAAGGAATAACAAGTTTCTCCCCAAAAGGGAGTCTGGCAACTTCTCCGTTTTCTTAAAGGAACCCCAGGTGATTGTAAACTATTTTAGGTCCCTCATGCAGCAGAGGGTACAAGAGAAAGGAGAGACAGGAGAAGTGAATGAAGAAAACAGAATTCAGTCAACTAAGAAGAAAAAACTTTTCCTCAAAAATAAAGGACAACGTCCTAGGACAGAAAAAATAAATGACGGCCTTTGAATACAAACACACATATGCACACGTACACACACACATCTTGGATGTTAGCTTTTAATTAAGCTGACTTTAACCATTGAGCTCCTTTAAAAAAATGTTTTTAAATTTCATTACCATTTTTGAGCTGGGACAAATTGCCGCTGTTTCAGAAGCACAGCCATTGCTCTTTCAGTTTCGCCTGACTAGCAAAAAGGTGGCCTCGTTATGTAAATAAAGCCCCTAAAGGGGCTAAAGTAGTCAAAATCCAAAATCTGTCCTCTTTTCTCCCTTTTGCTGGCTGTTTTTCTCCCTCACCACACCGCCTTTCTTTTTTTTTTTTAATTCAACCATTTGAGAGGCTTTGTTCCACAAAATTTGGAACTTTCCTTTGGATTTGATCAAGTCAGATCTTTCACGCGCGTATGTGTGAAGACATCACCAAACAGGCTTTGTATAAGCAATAAAGCTTTTTAATCACCTGGGTGCAGGTGGGCTGAGCCTGAAAAGAGAGTCAGCGAAGAGAGATAGGGGTGGGGCCATTTTATAGGATTTGGGTTGGTAGTGGAAAATTACAGTCAAAGGGGGTTGTTCTCTGGCTGGCAGGGGTGGGGGTCACAAGGTGCTCAGTGGGGGAGCTTTTGAGCCGGGATGAGCCAGGAGAAGGAATTTCACAAGGTAATGTCATCAGTTAAGGCAGGAACCAGCCATTTTCACTTATTTTGTGATTCTTCAGTTACTTCAGGCCATCTGGATGAATACGTGCAGGCTTGGGCTCAGAGGCCTGACATTCCTGTCTTCTTATAGTAATAAGAAAAATAAAACAAAATAGTGTTGAAGTGTTGGGGTGGTGAAAATTTTGGGAGGTGGTATGGAGAGATAATGGGCGATGTTTTTCAGGGCTGTTTCGAGCGGGATTGGGGTGGCATGGGAACCTAGAGTCGGAGAGATTAAGCTGAAGGAAGATTTTGTGGTAAGGGGTGATATTGTGGGGTTGTTAGAAGGAGCATTTGTCGTATAGAATGATTGGTGATGGCCTGGATACGGTTTGGATGAATTGAGAAACTAAGCAGAAGATCCTGCTACAGTTAACTACTACAGTTAACCAGCCCAACCTATTCCTTTAATTCGGCCCATCCCTTCATTTCCCATAAGGGATACTTTTAGTTAATTTAGTATCTATAGAAACAATGCTAATGACTGGTTTGCTGTTAATAAATATGTGGGTAAATCTCTGTTCGGGGCTCTCAGCTCTGAAGACTGTGAGACCCCTGATTTCCCACTTCACACCTCTATATTTCTGTGTGTGTGTCTTTAATTCCTCTAGCGCCGCTGGGTTAGGGTCTCCCCGACCGAGCTGGTCTCGGCAAGAAAGAACTAAAAAGCTAAGGGAATACCAAAACAACCAAATGGATTCTTGGTTTGGGAACAAAATCGTAGCATGAGTCATCCCCATTCCTGGGCCATCTCCTAATAATATGCCCAGGACTAATGTTCTTACCCTGCCTAATAAACTTTTTTCAAGGATTTTTAACTGACAGGATCATGGCCATTTCACAGACAACTACCCCAAAACATCTACAGATGGCATTACTCCTATAGTCAATCCGAAACCAGAAAACTCTCCATCCCCGTCAAAAGGAAGTAGCCAGAAAGAACATGCCGCCCCTCTTTTTTTTTTTTTTTTTTTTGGGGGGGACAGAGTCTAACTCTGTCACCCAGGCTAGAGTGCAGTAGCATGATCTCTGCTCACTACAACCTGCGCCTACTGGGTTCAAGTGATTCTCATGTCTCAGCCTTCCAAGTAGCTGGGATTACAGGCATGCGCCCACCACACCTGGCTAATTTCTGTATTTTAGTAGAGACGGGGTTTCCACTGTGCTGGCCAGGCTGGTCTCAAACTCCTGACCTCAGATGATCCACCCACCTCAACCTCCCAAAGTGCTGGGATTACAGGCATGAACCACCGTACCCGGCCCTTTTTTTTTTTTTTCTTTTTTTGAGATGGAGCTTCGCTCTTGTTGCCCAGGCTAGAGTGCAATGGTGCGATCTCGGCTCACTGCAACCTCCGCCTCCTGGGTTCAAGCAATTCTCCTGCCTCAGCCTCTCAGCTTGCTGGCATTACAGGCGTGCACCACCATGCCTGGCTAATTTTTCTTTTTCTGAGACGGAGTCTCGCCCTGTCGCCCAGGCTGGTGTGCAGTGGCTCAGTCTCGGCTCACTGCAAGCTCCGCCTCCTGGGTTCACGCCATTCTCCTGCCTCAGCCTCCCGAGTAGCTGGGACTACAGGTGCCCGCCACCACGCCCAGCTAATTTTTTGTATTTTTAGTAGAGACGGGGTTTCACCGTGTTAGCCAGGATGGTCTCGATCTCCTGACCTCGTGATCCACCCGCCTCGGCCTCCCAAAGTGCTGGGATTACAGGCGTGAGCCACCGCGCCTGGCCTAATTTTGTATTTTTTTTAGCAGAGATGGGGTTTCACCGTGTTGGTCAGGCTGGTCTTGAATACTTGACCTCAAGCTATCCACTCGCCTTGGCCTCCCAAAGTGCTGGGATTACAGGTGTGAGCCACTGCACCTGGCTGCCCCCGTCCTTTTTATCACTATAGAGTCTGGACTGACGGAGCAGGAGCACTGCCATCTTGGACAAGCACTGCCATTTTAAGTTTTGCCTTGATCAAAAACTGCCTAAATCCAAAGGGCATCAGCCTAATGGCTAAGGTCAGCATGACCATAAACCACAAATGACATCTCTGACCAGAAACGTTCCAAGCCCCTCCCCAGCCAGAGACATGCCAGCCCCAAGATAACCTCCCCTTCGGCTGGAGAGGTGTCAGCCTCAAGATAACCTCCCCTCCAACCAGAGACATTCCAACTCCACCATAAACTTCTCCCTGACACAGAAACATTCCAAGCTCTCTCCAATAAATACTGTTAGTCTGGGCCAGACGCGGTGGCTCACGCCTGTAATCCCAGCACTTTGGGAGGTGGAGGCAGGCGGATCATGAGGTCAAAAGATTGAGACCATCCTGGCCAATATGGTGAAACCCGTCTCTACTAAAAAAAATACAAAAATTAGCTGGGTATGGTGGTGCGTGCCTGTAAGTCCCAGCTACTTGGGAGGCTAGCAGGAGAATCGATTGAACCCGGGAGGCGGAGGTTGCAGTGAGCTGAGATCTCGCCACTGCACTCCAGCCTGGTGACAGAGTGAGAATCCATCTCTAAATAAATAAATAAATAAATAAATAAATAGTCTGTAAGAGAGAGCACTCCTGACTGAAATCAGCCAGAAGCCCCTCTCAGGTTTGATTTTTGAGCTGCTTTTTGTGTTTCTTTCCTCTTTCTTTAACTCTTACTGTGACTTTGAACGGAATGGGAGGCAGATTGGCCCTAAGCAGTTCCCAGCTTGACTTTTCCTTTTAGCTTAGTGATTTGGGGCCCCCAAGATTTACTTTCCTTTCTTACTACCCAGGATTCCTTGGGGTGAGCTGCTCATTGAGTAGGCTGCCTAGCCTTTGGCCCATGCCAGTGAAGCCCCTGTCCCCATCTCTCTAGTAGGCCACACAACACCTTCTGGGAGGTACCACTGGCATTGTATCATGAGATAAAATAAAACAATAACTAAATAGCCAGGCATGGTGGTGTGCACCTGTAGTCCCAAGCTACTTGGGAGACTGAGGTGGAAGGATTGCTTAAGCCCAGGAGTTGGAGCCTGCAGTGAGCTGTGATCATGCCACTACACTCCAGCCTAGGTGACAGAGTAAGACCTCATCTCTAAAAAAACTTTTTTCTTTTCTTTTTTTTTTTTTTTGAGACAGAGTTTCTCTCTTGTTGCCCAGGCTACAGTGCAATGGCATGATCTTGGCTCACTGCAACCTCCGCCTCCTGGGTTCAAGTGATTCTCCTGCCTCAGCCTCCCGAGTAGCTGGGATTACATCTAATTTTTTGTATTTTTAGTAGAGATGGGGTTTCACCATGTTGGCCAGGGTGGTCTTGAACTCCTGACCTCAGGTGATCCGCCTGCCTCAGCCTCCCAAAGTGCTGAGATTACAGGTGTGAGCCACTGTGCCCAGCTCTGAAAAACTTTTTAAAATAAATAAATATTAGAATATGTGGGAAAATAAAATTAATTAAAAAAAAAAACAGTAACTACAATAGCAACAGCTACTATTTACTGAACACTTACTCCACCTCACTTAATCACAACTCTTTGAAGTAGGTACTATTATTTCCATTTTTACAGATGGGCAAATTAAGGCTCAGAGGCGTTAAGCAACTTGCCCATACAGACAGTAAGTGTTGCTGGTGATTCAAACCCAGGTCCGTCTGGCTTTTGGAACTCATGTCCTCACATTCACTGGTCTGCAGAGTAGCACCAAGTACCTTTTACCACCCTGACCAGCTCCTGGGTACTGCCCTCCTGCCTGCAGGCCTGAACACCATGACATCCAGCTAGCCCCTGTCCCCTATGACATCCTTCTCCCTCTTGCCAATGAAACCCAGTAGATCAGGCTGCCTGACAAAAAAATTTCTTGTGATGCCTTGGACTGTGGCATTCATCCTAAATGCCTCCCTAACAGCATGGCCCATTGCTCCTCTAAGAGTCTGGCTCACACTCTTACTGAGTTTTTGCTTATGCCCTTTGCCCTTCTTGGATGCCCTTCCCTAACCCTTCAAGGGCCACTCAGTTGAAGTTCCAGAAGACTACAAATTCCTCAATCCAGTCATCTCACACAATTCTGGGTTTCAGAGCCAGAAGTGCCCCCACCACAGAAATCTCTGGCTCAATGCCAAGTCAGGAAGCTGCAAAGAGCAAGGAGGGCCTGTGTTCCAGTCCTCAAAGGATGGGGAAGGGGAATGACAGCCAGGCAGCTGTTCCTTTCAGATCCCGAACCGTCAGATTTTTCCTCCAAATCTTGCTTGGGACAAGGGGTTAAATGATGTTGACAGAAGGGTGATTGAAGAAAGAGACAGGACTGGTTGAGAGATTGCCCAACACTTTGGGAGGCTGAGGTGGAAAGATGGCTTGAGCCCAGGGGTTTAAAACCAGCTTGGGCAATATAGCAAGACCCCATTTCTAAAAAAAAAAATTATTTTTAATTAGCTGGGTGTGGTGGCGTCCGCCTGTGGTCCCAGCTATTTGTGCACTGAGGCAAGGAAAATCGCCTGAACCCAGGAGGTGGAGGCTGCAGTGAGCTGTGATTGTGCCACTCCAGCCTGGGTGACAGAGTGAGACCCTGTCTCAAAACATATAAACGTGTGTGTGTGTGTGTGTGTGTGTGTGTGTGTATTCCAGGGAACATTAAGACTTAGAGGCAAACTCCAGAACTTAAAGAAAAAACATGAAAGTGCTAAAAAATTCCGTGCTTGTGGAGAGAGAATTCCAACTCTTTCCCTGAACCCGGGCTGAGTCCCTTCGCTGTGAGGTTGGGGGGATGAGTGGGAGCCCAGTGCCTGGCGCCGAGTGAAGGCAGCCATTGTGAGTTCCTGGGCTGGGGAAGGGAGGCTCAGTGCCCAAGGATGTGACCAGGCGTGAGGCCCGGGGAAAGAGCAGCGCGGCGACCCCGCAGTATCCGAGGCGACAGGGTGTGGGGGAGGGGGTGGGGAGTCAAAGGCGGAGTCACGGGCTCCGCCCTCTTTCTCCTGCTTGGCGCGAGCACAGGCACCGCGTGGTTCTCACAACCAGCAGCTCGGCTCACTGAGACCCGGTGGTCCAGACGCTGCTCCTGGCTGGGGTGGCGCTGCAGGGAGAACCGCGAGCTCTCAGGGGTCGGCGGGTGACTTCTTTCCGGAAGAAAGCGAGGAACGCGCTCTGCGGGGTGAGCCGGACTCCCCAACTCCGGACGATCAGCCCAGGACTGAGAGCCCCGAAGTCCCCAACCACAAGTAAGCGGCCCCAGAAGGACAAGTCTAGGTCGCCGTCCAGAGCGCCATGGCCGCGCCCGCCCTTCGTTTGTGCCACATCGCCTTCCACGTGCCCGCCGGGCAGCCCCTAGCCCGGAACCTGCAGCGCCTCTTCGGCTTCCAGCCCCTGGCTTCGCGGGAGGTGGACGGCTGGCGGCAGCTAGCCCTGCGCAGCGGCGACGCGGTCTTTTTGGTGAACGAGGGCGCAGGGTCTGGAGAGCCGCTGTACGGCCTGGATCCGCGTCACGCCGTGCCCAGCGCCACAAACCTGTGCTTCGACGTGGCGGACGCCGGCGCTGCAACCCGGGAGCTGGCAGCGCTGGGCTGCAGCGTGCCTGTCCCTCCCGTTCGCGTGCGGGACGCGCAGGGTGCCGCCACTTACGCCGTGGTCAGCTCGCCTGCCGGCATCCTCAGCCTGACCTTGCTGGAGCGCGCTGGCTACCGCGGACCCTTCCTACCCGGCTTCAGGCCCGTGTCCTCTGCGCCTGGCCCCGGGTGGGTCAGCCGCGTGGACCACCTGACCTTGGCCTGCACCCCCGGCAGCTCCCCCACACTTTTGCGCTGGTTCCACGACTGCCTGGGCTTTTGCCACTTGCCGCTGAGCCCAGGTGAGGATCCCGAGCTGGGCCTCGAAATGACAGCAGGGTTTGGGCTTGGGGGACTGAGGCTTACAGCCCTGCAGGCCCAGCCGGGCAGCATTGTCCCCACTCTTGTTCTGGCTGAGTCCCTTCCGGGGGCGACGACACGACAGGACCAGGTGGAGCAGTTCCTGGCCCGGCACAAGGGGCCAGGCCTGCAGCACGTGGGGCTGTATACGCCTAACATTGTGGAGGCCACTGAGGGGGTGGCAACTGCTGGAGGCCAGTTCCTGGCTCCCCCTGGGGCATACTACCAGCAGCCAGGAAAGGAGAGGCAGATCCGAGCTGCAGGGCACGAGCCTCATCTGCTTGCTCGACAGGGGATCCTGCTAGATGGTGATAAAGGCAAGTTTCTGCTTCAGGTCTTCACCAAGTCCCTTTTTACTGAGGACACTTTCTTCCTGGAGCTGATTCAGAGGCAGGGGGCCACTGGCTTTGGTCAGGGCAACATCAGAGCTCTGTGGCAGTCCGTACAGGAGCAATCTGCCAGGAGCCAGGAAGCCTAAGGATGCCCAGGGCTGGGTGCAGCCAGCTGTCCTGCAGCTCTGGGGAGACCAGCACAGAACTGAGGAACATCTGCAGGAGGCCCAACTAGTGAAAGGCTTTGCCTCCGGGGGGCAGGTGTGACTTCCATTTCATCAGTGCCTGCCAGAAGCTGTGTCTCTCATTGGGCTCCAAAGAGGTGGGATTTTTTAAAACTAAAACATTTCTTATATACAGTCTATAATAAATATGTAAGATACAAAGAACAATAAAAGAATTACACACTAGGAAATAGAACATAACCAATACTTTCGAGTCCTCCCTGTGTCCCGCTGTGATTCTATTTCCTCCCACCCACTCCTCAAATCCTGTCATTATTAGCCCTTTGCTTTTCTGTATTGTTTCACTCCGTATGTAACATAACCCTAAATAAATTATTTCGTATTTGAGGTAGGAATTTAAAACAGAACAAATCTTCTCCTGTGCTTCCTCTCCCCCTAGGGAGCGACCACTCAGGTGGGGAGGGGCTGGGTGAGAGTTGAGCCCAACTACCTACTCCAGAGTGATGCCACCACTCCAATTAGAGCTGACCTGAGACGTAAACAGAGGGTGTTGTGTGTCAGCCACTGGCAGGTTCTCCCTGTAGCTGCCTTGCCTTTCTCCTGGGGGTTGGAGGGCAGATCAGTCTGGACAGAACACCCCCACTCCAACCCCATCTGCCCGGGGCTGGCTGGGAGTTCAGCCAGAGAAAGTCAGAACCAAGCAGAACGTCACCACTTTTCTGGGTCCCTCCCTCAGATATAAGGGGTGAGGGGGCTAGGGAGAGGGTGGAAGGCTGTCCAAAATAGCTACAAAAGGGCGGGCGTGGTGGCTCATGCCTGTAATCCAAGCACTTTAGGAGGCTGAAGTGGGAGAATCACTTGAGGCCAGAATCACCTGAGTTCGAAACCAGTCTGAGCAACATAGCGAGACCCCCATCTCAAAAAAATACAACATAAAATAACTACAAAAATAAGCACTTTACTAACAACAGGATTCTCAGGGAATGGGGGCTTTCAGAGGTGTCACTGGGCTGCACTGTTGAGGCTGTGTGCATCAGTGGAGATGTGAGACCGAAAGAAATTATCCAGGACTTGCTGGCCCATGCGGGGCTTTTTCCGACTGCACGGAGAGGACACCTGGGACCTTTTGGAACCCTGTGAAAAAATGGAAGGAGGGAGGCCTTGTAGTTGGGGGAGGGGGAGCAGAGAATCCTCTCCTTGTCCTCTCTCCCTTTCCCCGACTCTACTGATCTAGCTAGGCTTAGCCTGGAATGCTGTAGAGCTTTCATCCTGCCTCAAGTATCTGCCCCATCAATCAACCCTCCAAAAGGCTGCCTGAGGGAATCGAATTGTCCTAAAAATGCAAATCTGACTCCTCTCTCCTCCACCTAAAATGAGTCAGCAGCCTAGGGCTCACACCCTGACTGACCCAGCAGGCCCTGCTGACCTTTCCAGCTAAACCAACTGCTCACAGCTCCTTGAGCACTGCAGCCTGCACTGGGCTCCACCTTTGCTCACACTACTCTTGGGACTGGAAAGAACATCGCTACGGTTGATTCCCCTCCCAAACCTGAAGAAAAGGATTCATTTCTAGGACGAAGATTACCAGCTGCTTCCTCCAAACAGCCTTTCCTGATCCGTCTCCCAATTAGAACTGATAGCTCCCATGGATGGGTGTGGTGGCTCACGCCTGTAATCCCAGCACTTTGGGAGGCCAAGATGGGCAGATCACTTGAGGTCAGGAGTTCGAGACCAGCCTAGTCAACATGGTGAAACCCTGTCTCTACTAAAAATACAAAAATTAGTTGGGTGTGGTAGCAGGCACCTGTAATCCCAGCTACTTGGGAGACTGAGGCAGGAGAATCGCTTTAATCCAGTTGTGGGAGATTGCAGTGAGCCGAGATCGGGCCACTGCACTCTAGCTTGGGTGACAGTGAGACTGTCTCAAAAAAAAAAAAAAAAAAAAAAAAGAACTGATGGCTCCACAATTCATATCCCACAAAACTCAGTACAGGCATTTCACACACCTGTGACACTGGAGAGTCCTCATCATTTTTTTCCTTTCCCTCTACCCTGCACCCCACAATGGAAGGTCTCCAGGTCAAGAACTATTCCTCCCTCCAGTGAAGCCTGGAGTGGAGAATGTTCACCCAGACATTCGTTAGTTAACTGACTAAAAACCTATGGACTCAGGCCTGGGGAGACACGGTTGGGAGAGGCCTAGGAGACTTACCATACAGGTCCCTGGCTGTTGGCCCTGATACACACGGAAAACCTAGACAAGAAGACAGGGAGGTGAGGGCTGGCACTTTTTGCAAAAGAGATAAACCGGTGTTCTGCCCTTAACTTCATGTCCCAGTACTTTTGTTTAAAATATGCTTTTTTGGCCAGGCATGGTGGCTCACGCCTATAATCCCAGCATTTTGGGAGGCCAAGTCGGGTGGATCACTTGAGGCCAGGAGTTTGAGACCAGCCTGGCCAACATGGTGAAACCCCATCTCTAAAAATACAAAAAATCATGGCTGGGTGTGGTAGCTCACACCTGTAATCCCAGCATTCTGGGAGGCTGAGGCGGGCGGATCACTTGAGGTCAAGAGTTGGAGACCAGCCTGGCCAGCATGGTGAAACCTCATCTCTACTAAAAATACAAAAATTAGCCAGGCATGGTGGCGGGCGCCTGTAATCCGAGCTACTCAGGAAGCTGAGGCAGGAGAATCACTTGAACCCGGGAGATGGAGGTTGCAGTCAACCGAGATAGCGCCATTGCACTCCAGCCTGGGCAACAGAGCGATTCTCCGTCTCAAAAAAAAATGCTTTTTTTCCTGTTTACACAGTAATATATTCATGTAGAACATGTAGGAAACACAAGGAAGTACAACAAAGACAACAAAGGTAGTGCCTTTTTCATGGCGGTGGAAACAGCTGCGGTGTGAAATTCCTCCTGCGTCAGCCAGCGAGCACCTGGTGGTACGGTGGTCACTGGGGTCTGCCCTTCCAAGGCCAGCCCATATACTTGATATGTCAGCTTGATGTGAGAGAAGGTGTGGACAACCTGGAGGAAGGGTCAAGGGGTTCAAATAGGCCTGTGGATATAGCCTCAAAAGCCAACATCCTTGGCTATTCCGCTGCTCACTTACCTCCCCAAGGTGCCGGAGGTGCGTGGCTGGGAGGGGCCCAGCCCAACGCTGTAGTTCCTGCAGCAGGGCCTTGCGCTGAAGCTGCTCTGAGGGCTCCCAGGTCACGGACGGGAACTCCCACAGTCCTGCCAGCAGACCTGAGAGGGAGGGCAGCCAGGCAGGGGTCAGGCCTCAGCTGCCGATTCCCTCCATTCTCTCTTGTTACTCATGCCACTGCCCTCCACGCCCAGTATCCAGGTACCTGAGTTGGGCCTCTGCACCAGCAGAATTTGGGCCCCAAGGGCCCCAGGCTGTTCCAGAACACAGGTGGCAGAGCTCTCCTCCCTGGGGGGCTTGCGGCTGGCCTTTCTGGGGAAGTTGACCACTCCCAGGGTCTGGTCCCAGGGCTCCGAGGGAGGCAGGCACAGGTGGCACTGTCCAGTGTTGGGAGCTGGGAACGGAGATCCCCGAACCCTACTCAAGCCAAGAGGGCTTTAGGGGCCAACCTAGAGAGTGGGCTTTGGCCGGGTTCTGCAGAATCTTACTCAGGTTAGAGGAAGAACTGGAATGGGGCTTCTGACTGGGCCAGGAAGGGTTGGGGTGGGGGCTAGGTTTGGTGCTCACCACACTCCTCCACGTCAGGACTGCCCGACAGGCTCCCTGAGGCTAAGAGCTGTTCCTGCTCCACCTGAGAGGCACAGGGTTGAGTGTCATAGGGCAGAGTCACTCCTTAGGACTTCTCACTGCCCCTTCCCCAGTAGGCTTACTCTCTGGCGTGCCCGGCACAGGCTCTCCACAGGGCACTGGCTGCACAGTGGGCGCTGTGGGGTACACACTGTGGCCCCTAGCTCCATGGCTGCTTGGTTGAAATCTCCTGGCCGGGCTGGGTCCACCAGCTGCTGGGCTAGACCCCTAAAAGAAGGGAACACTGCTGTGAAGCAGAGCTCCTTTGCAGACACCCCTGAAGCACCCTTGTTACCCCAACATCCTACCAGAGCTGCTGGGAAACAAGGGTGCTGCTGGGATCAGCACCAATGGCTCGGACACGGCACAGCACCCGTGCTACGTTGCCATCCACCACACCGGTTGCCTGGCACAGAGGGGCCAAAGAGTTAGCCTGGGCTGGGAGGAAGGAGGCTGGGCACGCACAAAGTGGGGGTGGGCTGTGAGATCACCTGGCCAAAGGCGATAGAGGCAATGGCCCCAGCTGTGTAGCGCCCCACGCCAGGCAGGAGCTGCTGCAGGGTCTCTGCTGTACGTGGCATGTGGCCCCCTAGCTCCTCTACCACCTGATTGGAGTGCAAGACTCAAGATTATAAGACACCCAAGACTCCTGGGTTCCTACCCTCCTGCCATCCCCTTACCTTCCGAGCTCCCTCCTGCAGCCGCCGGCCACGAGAATAGTAGCCCAGGCCAGCCCAGAGTTGATTCACCTCCTGTGGGTAGGATCAGAGGTCAAAGAGATCACCCGTCAGTCCCTCTATTGTTCCTATTTCCCCTACCCTAGGGTGGCTCTCACCTCCAGGGAAGCACTGGCCAGGTCCTGCAGTGTAGGCCACTTCTATAGCCACAGGCAGGCAGAAAGAGACAAGGTCAAGGGTGAAGGTGGTAGAGGAAGCCTTCTCTACACCCACCCCAAAGTAGAGGCTCTCATCTGGGGTCTGACCCATGACCCTTCCCTTCCTCCCCTGGAGTCACCTGCATCCATCCGGTATAGTAGTTGATCACAGTGGCAACCTGGGTCTGCTGCAGCATGACCTCTGAGACCCACACTGGGGGAAAGGGGTTGGCATGAGGACACTGCTGACCTGCCCCTACCTGGCCCACAGCCCCCAGACCCAAGGGCCTCGAGGCAAAGTGGCCCTGCTCTCAGGAGATGTACTGACCAGCATATGCCCGCCTGTCCAGGTCCATCTCATCTTCTGCCTGTCAATGCAACCCCAGATGAGGAGTTAGGGTGGAGGGGGCTGGGTGCCTGCCTCCCACCCACTGTCCCTGCTCCTCGCCTGCCTACCCGTCTTCTCCATGGTAGGTCCCGTTTCTCTTGGTCGTACCAGCTTAGCAGGCTCCCTCGGAAGGCTGTGACTTCAGCTACGTCTCTGAATAGATGGTATGAGGAGACAGAGGCCTGCAATACCACCTCTTCCGGCTGCCTGGCCAGGCCTGCTGGGGCCCCAGGACACTCAGCAATCATCCCTGCACAGGCTGTGCATCAGGGTCTTGGGACACAGCAGCCTGTGGCAGTATGCTCCCACTTAGGGCTTCCCCCAACTAACCCCCTTAAGCTTTGGAGCTGGAGTCAGACCAGAGTTATGTAATTGTGTGTAGCTGTGGCTAAGTTTCTGGCCTTAATTTTCTCAGGGTGGTACTACTGGCTTGTCTCTGAGCCATAATGAAAACCTAATAGTTTTAGCCAGCTAGAATGTATACTGGTGCAGGACCTTCCTATTCACAAAACACTTTCAGGCTCATAAACTCATTTGGTCCCATGAAAGCCACATGAGGGAGGAAATGCTGAACTACTGCTCCATTTTACTGGTAAGAAAGCAGCCATTCAGAGCAATTGTCCCAATGTCACACAGCAATACAGTCAGAATTACACCCTCAGTGAGTCTCTTTTGTTTTGAGACAAGAGTCTGGCTCTGTTGCCCAGACTGAAATGCAGTTGCATTATCTTGACTCAGTGCAACTTCTGCCTTCCAGGCTCAAGCGATCCTGTCACCTCAGCTTCCCGAGTAGCTGGGACTACAGACGCTCACCACCACGCGAGCATAGAGAGGGGATTTCGCCATGTTACCCAAGCTGGTCTCAAACTCCTGGGCTCAAGGGATCCACCTGCCTCGGCCTCCCAAAGTGCTGGGATTACAGGTGTGAGCCACCGCACCTGGCCCTTAGTAAGTCTCTTAATGTCTTGATACGTATCACAATCCCTTCCCAGCCTGAATCTGCCTTTCATGGCCAATGAGCCTTGGGCCACAACCTAGTTCCTTACCATCACAGGCAGAAGGCTTGGCCTGACTGTTGTTCTTAGCATGCTTCTGCCTCCCTTCCTGGCTGGCTGCCTGCTTCCTGTGACCACTTCCCACGGCTGCTCGTGGCTTCCTCATGATGGCCTGAAACAAAAAGACCCAGCCAAAGCAGTCAGTCACAATGAGGCCAAATTTTGAGGCCTTCCAAGGGTGATAGCTATCTCCCTCTCATCCACCATTCACATGGGGTCCAGCTTCTCTCAAGCACTCTCAAGATGCTCACGGGTTTACTCTTGGCTGGCTGCAGCACTGAGATACAACTAGTATAGCTGAGCAAGTGGCCTCAAGGGGGCCGGCGTTACAGCCCTGGAGACATGCAAAGACTGTGAGGCCAGGGCTGGGATGGGTCAAGGATGAAAGCCTCCTGTTTGGGAGCATTTGTGTATCTCTGATGCTTACTGTGACTGTGTGTGTGGATAGGGGTTGTTTAGGTGTGTCTGGGAGAATGGGGGTAGGCGGTTTCTCTGCCTCTTAGAGATGTAGCATGGTTACACTGAAACAGCCTGTAGTAGTCATTAAGTCCAAAACCTTCATTTTATCCTAGAAGAAACCAAGGATCAGAGGGACAAAAGATCTGTCTGAGAACAGATGGCAAATCAGTGGGAGAACAGAGATTAGCTATTTTTATTCCTAATCTAGTAAACCATAGGTGGCTGACCATCAACAATGAGAAAATGTGCCTGGTTGATTTTCACTGCTCCCTAACTGTTATAATGGCCGCCTTTTCTCTAACAGCTAAAATTAGTTGATATTTTGTGAGTGCCTACTCTATGTCAGACCCCATGAAGAGCTTTACCGGATCTCTCAATCTCCTGGTGACTCTATGAGGTATGTACTAGTATCACCTCCACCTTAGTTATAAGGAAATTGAGGTTTATGGAGATTAAGCGACTTGTTCTTTCAAATCCACGACCAGCATTCTTATACTGTGATAAAATGCAGTCCCTGCTAAGCCTCTGTATCAAACTCTCCCCCCAAACCTTTGACTTTACCACCTCATTTTCATCAAAAGAGCTTGCCTCCTCCTTCAGAAAAAAAAAAACCAACTTCAAATCTACCTCCATTTGCACTGTCTTACCCTCCTCCTCTTCAGGGTCCTGCTCCTCCAATCCCGTCTAACTGTTGGAACTCAGAAACTAATACCCCAGGCCAGGCACGGTGGCTCATGCCTGTAATCCCAACACTGCGGGAGGCTAAGGCAGGCAGATCACTTGAGGCCAGGAGTTCGAGACCAGCCTGGCCAACATGGCGAAACCCCATCTCTACTAAAAATCCAAAAAAATTAGCCAGACGTGCTCGCTTGAACCCAGGAGGCAGAGCTTGCAGTGAGCTGAGATCATGCCACTGCACAGCCTGGGCAACAAAGACAGAGCAAGACTCTGTCTCAAAAAAAAAGAAAAGAAAAGAAACCAATACCCCAAAATATGGCCCTCTGACATGCTGAACTCAAGAAGCCGCAAGGTCTCTCTGATCCTTCCACCCCAGACTCTCCCAAAGCCAGGATAAAGTTGTTCTCTGGAACTCTTTATCTGCCTAAAGTCCAAACTCACTAAAAAGAATACTTGTTTTTTCTTCCCCTCCCAATAAGACTAACATGTAACCACACCTGAACAAACCCTTTCACAGGTATTGTGTACCTCAGGATCACTCAAATTCCAAAGAGAACTATTAACAAGTCAACCTCTGTCCCCATTCCATTCTCTCTAGTAATCCTTTATTGCCCTTCAACAGAATCTCCTTCTGGCCAAAGTTCGGTTTATTTAAAAACAAATAGAGCTGGACATGCTGGCTCAGGCCTGTAATCCCAGCACTTTGGGAGGCCAAGGCAGGAGGATTACTTGAGCCCAGGAGTTCGAGATTAGGCTTGCAACATAGCAAGACCCCGTCTCTACAAAAACAGAAAAACAGAATTTCTCTTCTACCCCTTGTCAGGCCTCTGAGCCCAAGCTAAGCCATCATATCCTCAGTAACCTGCACTTATACATCCAGATGGCCTGAAGCAACTGAAGATCTACAAAAGAAGTGAAAATAGCCTTAACTGATCACATTCCACCACTGTGATTTGTTTCTGCCCCACGCTAACTGATCAATGTACTTGGTAATCTCCCCCCCACCCTTAAGAAGGTTCTTTATAATCTCCCCACCCTTGAGAATGTACTTTGTGAGATCCACCCCCTGCCCCCAAAACATTGCTCTTAACTCCAATGCCTATCCCAAAACCTATAAGAACTAATGATAATTCCACCACCCTTTGCTGACTCCTTTTTTTCAGACTCAGCCTGTCTGCACCCAGGTGAAATAAACAGCCTTGTTGCTCAGACAAAGCCTGTTTGGTGGTCTCTTCACATGGACACACGTGAGACACCCCTCCCATAATCTGTTTTGCCAGATGGTATATAAACTCACGAACTCTGTAGGGAGATGGGTAATCACTTTATGGTTCTCCCAATGTGCATGTTAATAAATTTGTATGCCTTTTCTCCAGTTAACCTGCCTTTTGTGAGCTGATTTTTCAGCAGATCTTCAGAGGGCAAAGGGAAAGATTTTCCCCTTGGCTCGTAACACAATCAAATCCCACCCTCCTTCCCTTCATAGCCAAACTTCCTTCACCAAACCTGCTTACTTCCACATTCATTCTACAATCTATTCTCCAAAGAGCAAAGGAATCTTTTCCAGATCACGTCACTTCCTTCCTTATAACCTTCAATGGTTTCCCATTCTTTTTTTTTTTTTTGGGATGGGGTCTCACTCTGTCACCCAGGCTGGAGTGCAGTGGTGTGATCTTGGCTCACTGCAACCTCTGCTTCCTCGGCTCAAGCAATCCTCCCACCCCAATACCCCACCCCAACTCCAAGCAGCTGGGACCACAGGCGCACACCACCACCACATCCAGCTAATTTTTGTATTTTTGTTAGAGACAGGGTTTCACCATGTTGCCCAGGCTAGTCTCCACCTCCAGAGCTCAAGCAATCAACCCGCCTCGGCCTCCCAAAGTGCTGGGATACAGGCATGAGCCACGGCGCCTGGTGACACCCCATTATATTCTTTTATTTTCTTTCTTTTCTCTTTTTTTCTCCCTCCCTCTTTCCTTCCTTCCTTTTTTCCTTTTTCTTTCTTTTTTAAATACTGTAGGCCTTTACTATGGGTCATTAAATTCTTGAGCAAGCTGGTTGTGGTGGCTCAACACTGTAATCCTGCTACTCTGGAGGCTGAAGTGAAGAACAGCTTGAGCCCAGAAGGTCGAGGCTGCAGTGAGCTATGATTGTGCCACTGCACTCCACCCTGGGCTCAGCAAGACCTTGTCTCTTAAAGAAAAAAAAAGATTGAGCAAATATTTATAGAGCCCCCTAATATGTGCCAAGCAGTTTTAGGCACTTGGCATACTTCAGTAAATAAAACATCAAAAGTTCCTGCCCTCAGGGAGCTTATATTCTAATGGGGACAGAAAAGGAATAATGAACATAAGTAAATTCCATAAGATGTTAGGTGATAAATATTAGCATAAAAAGCAAAAATTAGACCAAGAGGGGAAAAAAAAGAGTGCCAAGGTGGGGTTTAATGTTGCAATTTTAAAGACTGTGGTCAAGGTAGACCCAAAGCATTCTAAGTGAGTGCAAAGGCCCCAAGGAGGGTGCCTGGTATGTCTGTGGTACAGTAAGTAGGTCAATGTGGTTAGAATGGAATGAGATGGGACTGAGTGGTAGAAGAGGTCAGAGAAGTAAACCAGATGAGGTGGGGAGAGGAGGGTCACAAAGTACCTTATAGGCCATTGGAGGGATTTGGCTGCCACACCCTTGCTCTTAGAAGGCAGTCCTCTTACTACAGCCTTGCAGGTCCAGTGATCCGGGCACCATCCGCCTCATCCCCTCACTATGCTCTAGCCAAGGTTGACTGAATTTAGTTGCTTAAACACCTCAAGTGTGTCTGCCCACCTTGGGGCCTCACACAATCCATTTCCTCTGTTTGGACTCTTTTATGCTTTTACCTAACACCTTATCATTTTTCAAGTCTTGACTGAAATGTCCAAATCAGGTCCCCTCATCTTATCCTATCACATATTTCTGCCTTGTAGCTCTTACCTAATGTAATTTTACATTACTTTGATTCTTTCCATCAGTGTGTACTTCCTGAATTTGACTGTAAAAAACGACTTGAGTGCAAGGACTGATTCTCTTGTTGATTGGTGTGTGTCCAAAGTCAGTGCCAGGTAAACTGTACACAATAGATACCTGTTAAATGAATTAATGGGATGGGGGATAGTCAAAAGAGTTTCCCTTTTTTAGGATAGGAGAAATCCAAAGAGTTTTTTTATTTTTGTTTTTTTTTTGTTTGTTTGTTTTGTTTTTAGAGACAGTGTGTCCCTCACTTTGCTGCTCTGCCACTCAGGCTGGAGTGCAATAAGAACATGGCTCACTGCAGCCTCGACCTCCTGGGCTCAAGCCATCCTCTCACCTCAGCCTCCTGTAGCTGGGACTACAGGTGCGCACCACCATGCCCAACTAATTTTTAATTTTCTTTTTGTAGAGACAAGGTTTCACTATGTTGCCCAGGCTAGTCTTGAACTCCTAGGGTCAAGCGATCCTCCCACCTTGGCCTCCTAAGATGATTACAGGCCATAAGCCACTGCGCCCGGCCCAAGCAGTTCTGAATAATGATGAAATGGGCTCAGTTGAGAGAAGCTGAAGATTAACTATAAACAATGAGTAACAAAGGAGCACTGGAAGGCAGAGGTGGATGGGAATCGTAGTGTTTACGGAGGGACTAGTCTCCAATAGGAATTTTTTTTTTTTTTTTTTTTTTGAGACGGAGTTTCGCTCTTGTTGCCTAGGCTGAAGTGCAAAATGGCGTGATCTCGGCTCACCGCAACCTCTGCCTCCCAGGTTCAAGCGATTCTCCTGCCTCAGCCTCCCAAGTAGTGGGATTACAGGCGCCCGCACCATACCCAGCTAATTTTTTTTGTACTTTTAGTAGAGACGGGGTTTCACCATGTTGGCCAGGCTGGTTTTGAACTCCGGACCTCAGGTAATCCGCCCGCCTCGGCCTCCCAAAGTGCTGGGATTACAGGCGTGAGCCACCGCGCCCGGCCTAGGAACCTCTTTCAAATTCAATCACCCTCTAGGTCGACTATACCGCCTAGCTGCTTCACAATTTGTCCCTTCCTCGCCATCCATACTGCCAGCCTTAATTCAAGTTCACATTATCACTTGATTGGATTATTACAAAAGCTTCCCTACCAATCGGTCGCTCTTACACCCTGGGCAGCCTCCTCCGATGGCCCACTCCCCGCCTCTTTCACTTTCTGGAGATCACTGAGCTCTCCATCCTCTCTGGGAATTTACCGATGCCCAGAACGCCCTTCTTTCCCCCACACGACCCTCTCCTAGTCTAACTCCTGGGCGTGCTTTAAGCTCAGCTCAGGCAGCGTCACCTTCTCTGGAAAGCCCAAACCCAGCCACCCCACTACCCGCTACCCGCGGCCCACGCTGATGAAGACAGCAGAACACGGAGGCCCCGCGTTCCCGCCGCGAGAGCAGGAGAGAAAGATTACCTCCCGCGAGCTCTAGCGCGCCCGGCTTTCCGGCGCACTCCAGGGGGCGTGGCTCGGGTCCACCCGGGCTGCGAGCCGGCAGCACAGGCCAATAGGCAATTAGCGCGCGCCAGGCTGCCTTCCCCGCGCCGGACCCGGGACGTCTGAACGGAAGTTCGACCCATCGGCGACCCGACGGCGAGACCCCGCCCCATCCCCGACTGCCTGAACCGCGCCAGGAGACGGACCGCAAGTCCAGCGTACCCACAGACGACTCAGGCGGGAGACGAGCGGTGTCATGGCCGCCGACAGTGACGATGGCGCAGTTTCAGCTCCCGCAGCTTCCGACGGTGAGCGGCTTCCCAGAGGTAGCCTTCAAAGCCTCTGCGCTCTGGGAGAGGGGAAGGCCTCGGGCTCATAGTTCTAGAGGCTCCTCAAGCTTCAGAGGACTGCTCCTTCCGCCTGAACTAGCCACGAGGAGACTACAAGTTCCGTTGTACACCGCGGCTCCGGCTGCAAAAGCCTGGAGCGTTGGGAGCATGGGGCTGATGGAGGCATGGCGGGAGATGTAGTCTGGAGCTCATAACGGTTAGTAGTAATAGTTGTGATTCAGTTCAGTGGAGTGGATTGAGCGTTGTGATCCAAAGGAAGGTAGGACGTATTGGGAGCTCTGGTGTGGGGCACTGCCAGGCTCTGGGGCTTACTGGGAGCTGTTGCTTGTGGCGCTGGGGCACCATGAGAACAGTAGTATGGATCCCTGTGGGATATTAAGGGAGCTGAGATCCTCAAGCCCTACAAAATGTTTCCTGCAGGACATGGGAAAAAAGAATCAAAGGTCGTCTAGTCCAACTTTCTCCTCTACAGATTGTGAAAGCGAGGTGGGAAGTAATTTACCCAGGCTCATACAAGCCAGTAGAAGACTCAGGCTTCCTCTCCCCAAATTCAGGGCATTCTCCACTCCAAGGCCTGTGTGTAGAACACGTGGGTTACAAAGGCTTGTGGGAAAAGCTACCAATGGAAACTACCCCCCTTACCACCATCACCGTGGCCTAGCTTGGTGTCTGTTCCCCTGGGCTCTTTCCTTAAGCATGAACATCCATCACCCTCCTAACCCCCAGGTGGTGTCAGCAAAAGCACAACATCTGGGGAGGAGCTAGTAGTCCAGGTTCCCGTAGTGGATGTGCAAAGCAACAACTTCAAGGAGATGTGGCCATCCCTCCTGCTAGCCATAAAGACAGCTAATTTCGTGGCTGTGGACACGGTGAGAGTTGGGAAACAAGGAGGGCAGGTGGTTGTGAAGGGGCTGGTGCTAGAGGCCTGTCACAACTCTCCCTTTACCTACCCACAGGAGCTGAGTGGGCTTGGGGACAGGAAGAGTTTGCTGAACCAGTAAGTATAAGCCCTTTTCTCTTTAGTGCCAGCCCTCAACTGTGGAGTGGGGGGGTCACAGACCTGGGTGGTTTGGGTCCTTCATAAGGCTAACTCCTAGCCACAGCAACCCCCATACCCAACCCCAAGGTGCATTGAGGAACGTTACAAGGCCGTGTGTCATGCTGCCAGGACCCGTTCTATCCTTTCCCTGGGCCTCGCCTGCTTCAAGCGGCAGCCAGACAAGGTATGAGCTGATCTCACCCCAATCCTAGGTGTGGCTGTGGGGTGGAGGGTAGAGAGATTCTAGGGAACATCAGATAGGAAGCATTTCTCTCCCAAATCTTTTTTTTTGACTTGATAGTTTTTTTTTTTTTATTTGAATAGGTTTATGGGGAACAGGTGGTGTTTGGTTAAATGAGTAAGTTCTTTAGTGGCAATTTCTGAGATTTTGGTGCACCTATCACCCAGTGTACACTGTGCCCAATGCGTAGTCTTTTATCCCTCACCTGCCTCCATCCTTTCCCCCCTGAGTCCCCAGAGTCCATTGTATCATTCTTAAGCTTTTGCATCCTCCTAGCTTGGCTCTCTGAAATCTTGATATAGCAGACTTCTCTTTCTCCCAGGGTGAACATTCCTATCTGGCTCAAGTGTTCAATCTCACTCTGCTGTGCATGGAGGAGTATGTCATAGAACCAAAGTCTGTGCAGTTCCTGATACAGCATGGCTTCAACTTCAACCAGCAGTATGCCCAAGGCATCCCCTACCATAAGGGCAATGACAAGGTAGGCCTCTAGCCTCCCTAGCCTTGAGTCTGCCCTTTCTGTGACTTTATTTCTTCCTACCCTAGGCTGGATGTCTGGGGAGAATCTGCTTCTTAGGGAGTATGGGGAATCACTAGTGACAGGGCTTGGGAAACAAGACTGGTATGAGGAGGGTGGGCAGCATTGGGTAAGGTAGAGAGAGAGCGTTCCAAGTGGGGAAGTCTGGGATAAGTGCCCAGCAGAAGAGGCTCCCTGGGGGACTCTGTCCTCCTCATTGACCCCTTTACTTTCATCTAGGGTGATGAGAGCCAGAGCCAGTCAGTACGGACCCTATTCCTGGAGCTAATCCGAGCCCGCCGGCCCCTGGTGCTACACAATGGCCTTATAGACTTGGTGTTCCTGTACCAGAACTTCTATGCACACCTCCCTGAGAGTCTGGGAACCTTCACCGCTGACCTGTGTGAGATGTTCCCAGCAGGCATTTATGACACCAAATATGCTGCTGAGTTTCATGCCCGTTTCGTGGCCTCCTACTTAGAATATGCCTTCCGGAAATGGTGAGGAAATGGTTGAGGGAAAGGGGTGGGGCCTGATACGAGTTTATTTCATTCACTTAAGATATTTATTGAGCTCCTACCATGTGCCCAGGCAGTGTTTTAGGTGCTGAGGATTCAGCAGTGAACAAAACAGACCACAAAACCCTGCTCTTATGGAGCTTATATGCTAGTGGACCATTACCCTCTTGCGCTGTTGCAGTGAACGGGAAAATGGGAAGCAGCGGGCAGCTGGCAGCCCACACCTTACCCTGGAGTTCTGCAACTATCCTTCCAGCATGAGGGACCATATTGATTACCGCTGCTGCCTGCCCCCAGCAACCCACCGTCCTCATCCCACCAGCATCTGTGACAACTTCTCGGTGAGAGCACCCACCTGTTTCTTGGGAGGGAAGGTTCTGATGCCTGGAGCCTCTTTCTAAGCCTCTTTCCC
This sequence comes from Homo sapiens, assembly GCF_000001405.40. Lineage (NCBI taxonomy): Eukaryota > Metazoa > Chordata > Mammalia > Primates > Hominidae > Homo > Homo sapiens. The sequence goes on from NC_000001.11 coordinate 45,343,074, forward strand.
ACCCCTAGGCTTATGGCTGGTGCCCCCTGGGACCACAGTGTCCTCAGTCTCACGATATTGACCTTATCATTGACACTGATGAGGCTGCGGCAGAGGACAAGCGGCGACGGCGACGACGTAGGGAAAAACGGAAGAGGGCTTTATTGAACCTACCGGGGACACAGACCTCTGGGGAAGCTAAGGATGGTCCTCCCAAGAAGCAGGTCTGTGGGGATAGCATCAAGCCTGAAGAAACCGAGCAGGAGGTGGCTGCCGATGAAACTAGGAACCTGCCTCACTCCAAGCAAGGCAACAAAAATGACTTAGAGATGGGGATTAAGGCAGCAAGGCCTGAAATAGCTGATAGAGCTACCTCAGAAGTGCCAGGGAGCCAAGCCAGTCCTAACCCAGTGCCTGGGGATGGATTGCACCGGGCTGGTTTTGATGCCTTTATGACAGGTTATGTGATGGCCTATGTGGAAGTGAGCCAGGGACCGCAGCCCTGCAGCTCTGGACCCTGGCTCCCTGAATGCCACAATAAGGTATATTTGAGTGGCAAAGCTGTACCCCTCACAGTGGCCAAGAGCCAGTTCTCTCGTTCCTCCAAAGCCCACAATCAGAAGATGAAGCTCACTTGGGGCAGTAGCTGATGCAACTTCCACCTTGCTCTCAGGTGGAACAGAGGTATTTTGGGTCTCTCTAGCCTGAAATGTCATCCTCAACTGCTACTGAGTTTAGGGGAGGGGGAATGTCTTGACAGACATCACTGCATTGCCCTGGACCGCCTCCTTTATCCCAGTGTTTGAGGTACAAGTAAGAAGGCTGACCAGCACCTGTAACACTGACTTTATTTTTAAGTCTGAAAATGTCTTGGGAAAGTTTTACAAAAAAAAAAATCAACAGAAGCAAGTTATGAAAATATTTGACCAGCTTCATCTTTGGTTATTTCTTATTGCAGCTCTGTAAGGACAGACTGTTCCCAAAGCTCCAGCCATGGCAGGAAGGGAAGCAAATCAGTCCCTGTATAAACCATTTAACCAATTGAATGTATCACATGTTGATAAATACATAGAAGCAGGCCCTAGGGCCTACAAAACCAGCCCCACTCCCAACCACAAGGTTGAAAGTCTTATGGGGCAGAACATTAAGACTCCTTTATAAATATGAAAATAGATTAATCAACAGGAAAAGGTCTTTGAATAGGTTAGCTAAGAGCCATGACCACCACGCTGCCTTGCTGTCCCCTTGCATAGAAATGTAGTGACGTGGTCTGACCATGCAGTAAGTGCAAACAGCAATTACTCAAATGTCTTAGAATACTGGCAAGAAGCACCCCAATATTCAGGTCTGGGAAACAGCCATGACCATTACGGCCTCTTGATCAGCTCCATGTTCCACTCAGTAGCTTATATGCCCCAAGAAAAGGCAAGAGACAGACCTGGGGTGGGGAAAGAACCGGGGTAATAGCTGCCTGCCAGCTCAGCCTAGAACTAGACATCCTCTGGTCCTATCTGGGGAAGTACACTGGAGAGGGTCTGGTGGGAGGCAGACCTCCTTGCTGGATTTCAGAGGCTTGGTATCAGCTGTTGGCCCTAACTAGGAAGGCCTCTCACTGCTGCCTCCCGTCATACACAGCCAATGGGCACTGGGAGCCCAGAAGTTGAGCCTGGCTTGGCCTAGCCTGCCTGCTCTGTAGGCTCCAGGGAAGAATCAAGGCTGTGCACCTAGGGGGCCATATGGTTTCAGCTGAAGGTCCATCCCCAAGGTGAGGCAGGGACTAAACCCCCTCACCCATCCTGCTTTCCCTGGGTTTGCAGGCCTATGCCTGAGGTGGAGAAGGTGGCTGGAGTTGAGCCTGCTGGCCTTTCTTCTACCTCCATCTCCTCAGAAGCACCCGCAGGGCATGGACTGGTCCCCTGGGGCCTGGACCCAAAACCATTTTCTTCCTGGAGAATGGAGCAGTCCATAGCCTCATGGGCTTGAGCAGCTGGTAGGGCAGATGCCCGGAATGGTGGGATCTCTTTAACTCTGTACTTGAGACTACTTAGGCGTGGTGGGGGCCCATCAGATAGCGATTCTTCCCGGCCCACAAATGGACAAGCCTCTTGATGCAAGAACTCAGGCGAACCAGGCAAGGAACGCCACCGGCGAATAGGTGGGGCCAGGGGCTCCTGCCAGTCAGCCAGGGGCATAGTTCCGGGCCCTGGTGCATCCAGGTCAAATACCAGAGAGATGACAGACTTGCTGGGCAGGTCAAAAAACTTGATCTTGCCCCCCATGAGGTCCTGGCGAGCACTAAAAGGGTTGACTTTGGGGGTGCGGGCAGCACCATCTCGTGGCCGGTAGTATGGGTCCAAGACACTCACTGTACGTGGGGGCTTACGGGAAAAGATATCTGACTGGCTTCGAGACAGCCAGATGGTACGTCTTGGGCATGGTGACTTGTGGGGGATCTTGTCATCCAGTGAGCTTAGTCGCTTCACCCCAGGTGCTTTCTCCAAGAGTCCTGAAGAATAATCAAGTCTGGGTTACTCTCACTAGTCATAACAAATACAAGCAGCATTTTACCACAGAATGTTTTCACTCATGAAAGCAAAGCTGATACCATGGCCCTGTTTTACCAATGAAGAAACAGACTCAGAGAGGGGAAGCAGTATGCCAAGCCACAGCTCTTAAAAAGGCCAGTACTTTCTGCATCATCTCCTTCCCCTCCCATTTGTTTCTGGACCTGGGATCCTGGCAATCACAACCCTAAGAGGAGAAGGCCCCACATCCGAATTTCCTCCCTTAGGGTTAGGTTGGGCTCCCTGGTCTAATCTCTTACCCCTGGCTGTGGGCTGCAGCTTCCTATCCCTCTCCTGCTCTTCTTCCTGTAGGCGGCTCAGAATTTCCTCCAGGGTCTTCCCAATCTCCACAAAAGATGGGCGCAGTTTGGGATCCATCTGTAGGTATCCACAACAGCCATGAGCTCTGCCCTCCATCTCCCACCCCAAAGATGGCATTTGAGTCTATTTCTGGCATCTTTGAAGATTCAGATGTGCAGCTGAGAGACCTTTTCTAAAGGCCCCAGACAATGAAGGTGATCCCTACAGTTCAGGTCAGGGAAAACACTACTGTCTACTACCCTCCCTGTCTTAGTGTTTGTCTTATCACCTTGTCACAGAACCTTCCAAAAGTATGCTCATATTAGTTTATTCTGTTCTTGAGTTCTGCTCCTAATGTGTTTCTGGGAGGTATCTGAACAAAGCCCACCTACCCCTTGATCCTAACAGGTAAGGTCCAGCCCCAGAGCTACATACATGAAGGCCAAGAAGAGCCTTTCTCATATGCCTCAGGACCAGTTGGATCCACAGTCCAACAATAAAACCGGACCAGAGTTCCATCAACACCTAACGCAAGGAGTGATGGGTCTACCCTACAGGTTGAGGACCAGATAATACAAAACAACTTCTTTCTTTCCTTTGTCCAGAGCTCTGAATAGGTTAGCTGCCAGAGGGAGGAGGAGGAGGTGTGGTTGCTGTCACTACAGTGAAAATGAGGTCCCTCATGAAGCTAATTAGCAGCCTCTCTGTACAGTCCTAACCAGGTGAAAAGGGTTCAGCCAGCCCCTGATGAAAGGCAGAGGGAGAAAGACACTCACGTTACAGCAGTTGAAAGTAAGTTGCAGAAAATCTGGGGGACAGTCTCCCACCATGTGCTGGAAAGCATCATAGTCCAGCCCGAAATTCTGTGGATGGGTATGGAAAGCATAGGTAGACAGTTCATTAATCCCCCCACCCATCCTAGCCTGCTCAGTAGAAGTGGTTGGGAGCTGCCCCTGACAACCAGCAACAGAGAGTTCCAGCAAGTCCATCCCAGGGACAGAACAGTTCCATTGCTTCAAACTAGCCCCATCAGTGGCAATGATCCCCATGCTTGCAGCTCACCTCTGTGCGGGGAAGATAGTCCGGATCGGCCTGGATGCGGGCGATGATCTCGCAGAGGATGATACCATAAGAGAACACATCTGCCTGGTGGGTAGTCGGACTTTGGTTTCCCTCTTAATGGGTTGAGGGGTAGGGTATCTGCCCCTGCCCCTGCCTCCCCTGCACCCCACCATCTAACAGCCCAGGCCTGGGCCATATTGCCCATACTTCATCCCAGTCAGTCACTGGGCAGCTGCCAGGTACCACCACTGCTCTTGGTAGGAACATCTTGGACACTCTGCTAAGAGTGGATTCTAGGGAGAATCAGCCGAGCGCGATGGCTCATGCCTGTAATCCCAGCACTTCAAGAGGCCGAGGTGGGCAGATCACTTCAGGTCAGGAGTCTGAGACCAGCCTGGCCAATATGGTGAAACCCTGTCTCTACTAAAAATAAAAAAATTAGCTGGGCGTGGTGGTGCATGCCTGTAATTCCAGCTACTTGGGAAGCTGAGGCAGGAGAATAGCTTGAACTCGGGAGGCAGTAAGCCGAGATCGTGCCACTGCATTCCAGCCTGAGCAACATAGTGAGACCATCTCAAAAAAAAGAAAAAGAAAAAAGGAGAATCAGGCCTTGAGATCCTCCAAACTTACCTTTTCATTATAGGGCTCATCTCGGAGAACCTCAGGTGCCATCCAGAATGGGGAACCCACCACGGCCAGCTTCTCACTCCCCATGCTGTGGGGTGAGATTATACAGAAAATGAGCTTGCCAATGGCTGGTGCAATGGAATCTTTTGACCATTCCTCCACCTCAAGGATGGGTACAGACGAGGACTAAACAAATTTAGGGAGCTGAGGTTGAGCTGTGACCAAGTCCTGGCCTCTGGGGAGGAGGCTAGAATTTTCCCTTAGCTTCAGCCCCCTGTCCCTTGGACCCCAGCATCCAGTAGGGCTACACACCTGACATCGGGGATCTTCTCAGCCAGGCCAAAGTCAGCTACCACTGCAGAGTAACCATTCTCATCCCTCTTTATCAGGCAGTTCTAGGGTTCCCAGGAAGGAAGAGAAAATAATGTGGCTCAGAAGCGGGGATCAGCCATAGAGTTACCACCCATTCCCCCCTTCCTATCACAGGGCACCTTGTCCTCTGCTCCTTGGTGAACCGCACTCAAGCTGACCCCACTGGTCAGGTCAGGGGCTCTAAGACAGCCAGGTGAGATGAGTTAGTCCTGGGTCTTGGGTGGCTGTCCTAGGATACACTTCACATTCCAAACACAATTACTCATCTTTGCTTTCTAAGTGCTAGGCATAATTTTAAGTGCTAGAAATAGCTAGATGAAAACAACCAAAACCCTTGTCCTCTTGGAGCTTGCAATATAGGGGAGAACAACAGACTATCAGGCCCCTGGCCTCCCTTCCTCCTTCCTCAGAAACACAGACCCAAAGCCCAGGCCTGACCTTGCCAACTTGATATAAGCACAAGACAAGTGTCTAAGCCTTCACTAACCTTCACTGTCCACAAGATCACAACCAACCTCTTCTCTGGCATTAAAAGTCTATGATCTGGCTTTATCCAACTGGCCTAGCCGCTGTCCCCCTGTTCCTGGTGCCCCTATGCACATATCCTCATCCAAACTTGTCACAGACAAGCTTGACTTACCAAACCTGAACAGGTCCTTCAAGCCTTTGCCTTTGCTTACATTGTTCCCTTTCATTTGAAATATTCTCCCAATTATCCTTTTCACCTAAGAAAATTTTGTATTTTAAGGCAAGCTACCTTTTTAGCCATGACCTCATCTTTCTCCCTCTCATCTCAACTCTTAGCTCCTCCTCTATGCCACTCCTCTTACAGTCTAGCAGAAAAGCTATGAACCCCTCAGGAGCAAGTTCTGGTTTGCCTTCCTTCCTCACAGCTTTCAATTCATGAGACAGGCTGAGAACATGCTCACTGAAAAAATGCTGTCTTCAGGTCAACCCAAGTGACCTGTAAATAAACAAAAAGCGGCAACCAGCTCTCCCCAAATAGCTGCTTTCAAAATAGCCCTACACTGCTCTGGCTCAAGAGGCACCTCACCCCACCCGCTTCCTTCAGAATAGCAGAGAGCAGGGATCCTTGGCTCACAGAAACACTTCTGGAGCCAGCAAGGCCCCATCTGACCCAAACCAGCCCTCCCTCTTCCTTGCCAGCCTTGGTATCTAGTTGCTAAGACATGCCAAGTCACCTCCTGCTTACTCCTGTCAGGTACAAATCAATCCCTTACTCTGGCCTTGACATGATTACACTATTTCCCTTCCCCAAGCTGGAAGGAGCCGTGATTTCATCACTTCTACCCTGGATCACAGGTAGACATGCCTCATCTCTGGCTTCCAGGAAGGACAGTTCTTGTGCTTGTCCTGGCTTTGGCTCTCTAATCAGTCCTGCTGGCTCAGCACTCGCAGCTCCCTGACTTTGACTGTCTGTGAGAAGATGGGCCCTAGGCCAGCCTGCCTATTAGCCAAAGCCCCAGCTATAGGGCACCAGCCTGTGAGGCAGTGGCAGCTCAGATATGTCACCTATGTCTCTTCCCTCCTAGAAGACTTTTGAGTGAGGTAGCCCTGCCTACACTAAGCAGTAAGAGAGGACCAGTCAGATTTCCCTGAGGCAAGAGGTGACCTTTTCAGTTTCAGAAAACAGCCCAGGCACTGTTGCTGCCTGGTTCCCATTCTTCATTTCCTCACACCTATTATATCACACTGCAACAGTGACTTACATGTTTGCCTCTTCACTGGCAAGGAATGATTTCATTTGCCTCTGTATCTGTAACCTAGCACAGGTACCCAGAAGGAGCTTGGCAAAAGTGTGTTAAATGAAAGTTTAGTCTGATGACTGAAGCAACTGGGCTTCTTTTAAAAGCATGTGTCAAGCTGGGTGTGATGGCTCATGCCTGTAATTCCAGCACTTTGGAAGGCCAAGGCACGTGGATCACCTGAGGTCAGGAGTTCGAGACCAGCTTGGCCAACATGGTGAAACCCTGTCTCTACTAAAAATACAAAAATTAGCCAGGTGCAGTGGCAGGCACCTGTAATCCCAGCTACTCAGGAGGCTGAGGCAGGAGAATCACTTGAATCCGGGAGGCAGAGGTTGCAGTGAGCCAAGATCACACCACTGCACTCCAGCCTGGGTGACAGTGAGACTCTGTCTCAAAAATTAAAATTAAAAAAAGCGTGTGTCAAACGTATACAATAATCATACATTCCACTCTCCATAGTGAGGACTGAGCTGACAAGAGACTCAAAAGGGTGGCCATGGATGCATTTCCTGGAAACCTACACAAATTCTTCAGAACTGGGCCAGATCAGACACCTGAAAGTGCCTGAGGTGTCCTGGAACAGCTGCACAGTCAGTATTAACACTGAATAAAGCCACCTGAGTGAAGAAATGCCAAGTCTATTAACTCATGTTCACTCTAAAGCTGTTTCTGCAACAAAAACAACAAAACACTTTCTATGTGGCTTCACCTCTTTCCCCTCACCCGCAACAAACTGACTCCCTAAACCCAGTTAGGATCAGGCAGGAAAAGACTAAGATTCTACTGAAAGACTGAACAGTTAAGAGGTTCTTTTCATAGCACAGGGAGATCAGTGACCGAACTGCCGGACTCCTAAATGCCTCAGGGACTGTTATATTTCAAGTCTCTTAGAGGATTATCTGTTTTGGTGTGATGTGTCCCATCCCTTGCCCTCAATCCTACCATGTGATCTCATACCTTTACCATAGCTCTTGTGTAATGGCCTGCTGACTTAAATATCTCCACAACTAGAGTAGAGCCCATGGAAGGTAGAGATTGGATTCCCCAATATTGTGCCCTCTAATAGCACAGCATAAATAGTTCCCAGAAGCTGCTGATGGTTTTAATTATAAAAATTAACTTTAGGGTACACTAACAGTCATTCTCTACATCCCTCCAGCATTCAACGTTGTTCCTAATTCATGTTCTCTTCACTCTGAAAATTGGCATTTTCTATTCCTCATTGTGTGGCATAGCCTAAGACCATAACTGAATAGGCTTTTCATTCCAGTGAAATCACCTAAGTGGCTTCTATGCAGTCAACAATAACAACAGAAAAGAACTAAGAACTAAAGGTGCAATTCATAATTCATACTCATTCCCAACAGTAATCACAGAAGATCAGTTGGGCAGTAATGGTATTAAGCAGAAGCAAACTACTTTCTCAGCTGCCCCCAAGAGCCAAGGCTCGGGTATGTGTGTACTGGTTACTTCTAGAGCTACTGATAAAAGCCTGTGTGTGGCTATTGGCACTTCTTCATAGTGCTCACAAACTGAATATTTTTAAAGCCACACTGCCTCCCACTTCCTTCCAAGTAAGTTCTTGGCCTTGCCACTGCAAAAGTCTGTTTCAGGCTGTTTCTTAGAAGTAATTACAAAATTAGACTGAATGGCTATATCTGACAGACATTTTACTCTTAGAGCATTATTGCAGTAGCTGCGGACATGAGTCCTATAAAGGTAATACTACTTTCAGGAGGCACGTTGATAGGAAACTAGGGATCTTTTTGCTTCTAACCACAGGCTTAGGATCATTTGGAAAAAGGCATCTTCTTCTCTCTGTCCTGGTTTACCCACTTGGAACATGTTACCTCTACTTTAAATCCCTCTTGTTAGCTCTGGTCTGAGCAGTGTGGACTGATCGCTCCTGCAAAGTCAAGGACAGCATCTGTTTTACAGACTGGGAGCACGGAGGTTCCAAGGTCACTGAAGTCGTTCAGAGATGGGGACAAAACTGGGCCTGGAACCCAGAATCTCAGCTCTGGAGCAGGCGTTTTGGCCTCTTTGCTATCAAGCCCTTCGCCCTTCCCTGAAATAGGCCCAGGAAGACTTTATACTCTCATAGGCTCTGTGCTAGGTGGTAAGAAAACAAAAGTAAATAAGAGAAGCACTTGAGAAACTCATGCTGGTGGGAGATACAGACACAACAGAACAATCAAGTGATATGGAGTGTATAATATTAAAATATAAGAAAGCCTGATACTGTCCTTAAAGAAATAAGACACAGACCCAAGATGGACTATGAAGAGATAATTTGGAAACCTCCGAGCCCTCTACTGTCCCTTTAGCTTTATTTCTCAGAGATGATAAAAGGGCAATGAACACAGACGGTATCTCAAATTGGACAGTCTGGTTCATAAGACTCACTTGTTTGTCTTCAACTTGAGATCCCCTATAGTGTACTTCCCAGCCTTCCTCTAGAGTTTGCAAACGTCCTTTGTTCTCACCACCTGGAATTATCCTCAAAACCTCCTTAAAGTCCGGACCCAAGAAAGTACAGCCCAGAAATATAGGGAGTTATTTCTCCTATGTTCCTAGTTTCTTGTCTCAAGTCAGTTGACACTGGGAATACCCATTCCCCATAAGGAAAAGCAAAGGGTAGTGGTCTTATCCTATAGTCCAAAAAGGTTATTTTTATAATACAGCACAACAAGCCCAGACAGAACCACACTTGGACACTAGCACAATGGGACAAAGTGCTTTTGGGGCACAGAAGGGAATATGATGAACTCTTAGGGAGTGGGGGCTTTCCTCGAGGAAGCCTAGCTACCCTGGCCTAGAGTGATCTTTCCTGCTCAGAAAACTTGTCGTCTATGTAGCTAAACAATTATAAAATGCTGTGCACTACTTTTTAGTTATTTGCCAACAAAACTGTACATACCTCTAGGTCAGAAGTTCCTCTTTTCTAATATTCCTTCATCCTTGGAGCCAGGTATAGGAGACACTTGTGTGTGTGTGTGTGTGGGGGGAGTATCTGTGTAACTGATACATATTTTGTCACAAACTCCTTCTATCTTAGAAAAAATGGCGCTTTCTGAGTAGGAAGCAAAGATTTGATATCTGAGTTGATTCAGTCCCATCCATTTGCCTGGAACAAATGCAATTTTCTTTTTTTTTTTCTTTTTTTTTTCCAAGACGGAGTCTCGCTCAGTCGCCAGGCTAGAGTGCAGTGGCACGATCTCGGCTCACCACAGCCACCATCTCCTGGGTTCAAGCGATTCTCCCATCTCAGCCTCCCGAGTAGCTGGGATTACAGGCACCTGCCATCATGCCCGGCTAATTTTTGTATTTTAGTAGAGGAAGGGTTTCACCATGTTGGTCAGGCTGGTCTTGAACTCCTGACCTCAGGTGATCTGCCCGCCTCGGCCTCCCAAAGTGCTGGGATTACAGGTGTGAGCCACCATGCCCGGCCTGCACTTTTCTTAGTCTTGGTTTTCCAAAACATTCTGGGGGAGAAGAAATGGCTAATAAAGAGATAAGATATCACCTTCCAGGTCCCAACTGCCTAACTGTCCAGTTCTTACAGACAGTAATGTAGATAAAGGGCTCCTTACAACTAGGCCTCTGCTGGTTCCCAGTTTCTACTTGCCAGTCTTGTGCTCCTTCAGGAACAGTGCAGCTGACTACAAATGACTCTGCCACACACCAAAACCATTCTATGTGAGGCATCCAGGTACTTACTGCTTTAGGCTTTATTGACTCAGTACTGCTGCTTTTGTTCCCTTTCAAGCTTTTTCTTAAGATGGGCTCCCTTCCCCTCCCCTTCATCTGGGGCAGAAGGAGTAGGAGTATGTGCATGCATATGTGAATATGTGTACATGTAGGTATTGAGGGTGGGGAATGAAGTGACAGCTATTCTTAGGCAGGTACAAAACTCTTATACACCTCCCTAGCAGACTTTAATTCAGTTCTTGGGCAGCAGTCATATTAGATATGTTAGATTGCCTTATAGTTCCCCCATTAATAATCAAACGGTACTATTTATATAAGCCTTGTCATGATGGTATCTTAGGCCATTTGGCTATGAGGTGTCTGTTTTGTGGCATGGCCAACTTCCTCTGAAAGCGACTCTTTTCTAACCTGGTCACACAGCAATTTGGACAGCAAGAGAGTGCTACAGAGATCAGCTGATGCCAAAGAGGAACTGGCAGGGCAGCAGAAACTCAATCACACAGGCAGAAAATGGGTCAGTACATATGGCCCTAAAAACCTGCATTCAAGTGACTAAAAATCACTGAACTCCTGCTCTTAGCTAAGAACTACATCCTGGGGCCACAGGAAAGAAAACTGATAGGCCCCTATACTGCCTTGACTGCTGTCATTCCTATAAGGCAAGAATTTCTTAACCCTTCTCATGTCATTTGCTCCTGTAACACATATTCAGGAGATTGAAGTTAAACATGAAGGCTCTCAAGATGTATGAGTTGGCTGGGCACAGTGCATGCCTGTAATCCCAGCACCTTAGGAGGCTGAGGTGGGTGACTGCTTGAGCTCACAAGTTTGAGACCAGTCTGGGTAACATGGCAAGACCCCATCTCTGTTAAAAATACAAAAGAAAGGCTGGGTATGGTGGCTCATGCCTGTAATCCCAACACTTTGGGAGGCCAAGGCACGTGGATCACCTGAGGTCAGGAGTTTGAGACCAGCCTGCCAACATGGTGAAACCCCATCTCTACTAAAAATACAAAAAATTAGCGAGGGGTGATGGCAGGCGTCTGTAATCCCAGCTACTCAGGAGGCTGAGGCAGGATAATTGCTTGAACCCAGGAGGTGGAGGTTGCAGTGAGCCAAGATCACTCCATTGAACTCCAGCCTGGGCAATAAGAGTGGAAAAAAACAAAACAAGACCAAAATACAGCCAGGCATGGTGGTGTACGCCTGTGGTCCCAGCTATTCGGGAGGCTGAGGTAGGAGGATTGCTTGAGCCGATGGAGTGGAGGCTGCAGTGAGCCGAGACCATGCCACTGTACTCCAGCCTGAGTGACAAGGTGAGACCGTCTCAAAAAAAAAAAAAAAAAAAAAAAAAAAAAATATATATATATATATATATATATATATATATATGTTGGCTCACTCAGCACTGAAAGGAACCTGCTATAAGAAAATATAGGCTTATGGTGGGGCACAGTGACTCACGCCTGTAATCCCAGCACTTTGGGAGGCCAAGGCGGGTGGATTGTTTGCAGCCAGGAGTTCAAGACCAGCCTGGCCAATATGGCAAAATTCTGCCTCTACTAAAAATTAGCTGAGTGTGGTAATATACACTTCTAGTCCCAGCTACTCAGGAGACTGAGGCACGAGAGTCGTTGAACCCAGGAGGCAGAAGCACTCCAGCCTGGGCAACAGAGTGAGACACTGCCTCAAAAACAGAAGGAAAAGATGTAGGCTTTCTAAGGACTAACTATAAAATATAATGAATTATGTCCTCTGTGATTAAATGTTAAATCTAACACAGCTTTCTTGGCAAAAGAGAAGGGTGGTATCTCTCAATGAGTTGTGAGAGTAAAGCCTTCATACCTTAGATGTGAGGTCCCGATGAAAAATGCCTTTGAAGTGAAGGTAGCTGAGGCCCACTGCTATGTCATAGGCCAGTTTTACCCTCACAGTCCAAGGCAAATGCAGGTTACTGTCTAGCAACTGTTCCAGGTTCCCGGAGTTGATATACTGCAAAACAGAAGGAAAACCCAGCTACCATTTATCAGAAATATTTAGGCTAGTGGTGAAACCATTAGAGAGTAAACACCTGGAAGAGAGAGACTGTATTTTTTTTTTAAGTTACTGAGGGCTTATTCTGCCTCCAAGCACTATGGTAGGTGCTGCACACAATGACACTTTCCTTTAAGGAGATCACAATCTATTAAGGGACATAGTCAAACAATATCATATAATAAATATTAAAATATAGTTATGTGCAGGTAGGACAACACCATGCAGCAACAAGGATAAAGCTAAACTGTGGAGGCATGTCAGAGGAAATGCAGAGAGGAAATAAGGAGTCAGAAAGGATGACCTGGAGTAGCAGGAAAGTAGCACGAAAGACACAGAGGGAGCAGCATATGCAAAGTTACAGGTTAAGTGCATGATGCATTCAGGAACTTAATTTACTTCGATATGGCCAGAGTGCATTTATAGATGAGTCAGGAAGTGAGGCTGACATGTTTTGCTAAGATATGTGAACTTTATCCTGTCTATAGGAAACAAAAGAAGCATTTTAAGCAGGAGAGCCACATGGTTATATTTGCTTTTTAAAGAAAATATTATTTTAGCCATGGTATGATAGATGGATTAGAGTGAAAAATACAGAGAAAGGGAAATAGGAGATTACTGCAATAATCCTGGTGAGAGCAGGGCATCTGAATCATGGCAATAGTGGAGGCATTGGAACAAGGCAAGATTCAAAATGTATTTAGATGGCAGAATTAAAAAAAAAAAACTTGATAATTGCCTGGATTAGAGAATGAGAGCAATAGGCTATTGGTCCCTGGATGTCATTTTTAAATACCCAGAGAGCAAGGAGAGGAGTAGGTTTTTAGAAGAAGAGGCAATGTTAAAAGAGAGTGAGTTCAGGCCAGGTGTGGTGACTCATGCCTGTAATCCTAGAACTTTGAGAGGTAGAGGATCGCTTGAGCTCAGGAGTTCAGACCGGCCTGAACAGCATAGTGAGAGACTTAGTCTCTACAAAAATAAACAGAATTAGCTGGACGTGATGGTGCACACATGTAGTCCTAGCTACATGGGAAGATCGCCTGAGCCTGGGAGGTTGAGGCTGCAGTGAGCTAAGATCATGCCAATGCACTCCAGCCTGGGTGATAGACAGAGCGAGACCCTGTCTTAAAAAAAAAAAAAAAAAAGATAGTGAGTTCAGCTGGGAGAAGTTAAATTATTAAAGGTACAGGTGCTTATTGGACAACCAAGGTGGAAATGATCTAAATAGAGTCAGTTTGAAGCTTAAGAACAAAGTCTAAGTGAAAGACAATATTTAGGAGGCAAAAACATTGAGCTGAAGCAGTCATGCATTCCAAGGTCATGCATGCCCAGGGTTTAACATGTAAGATGGGAAATCAACAGAATCCCAAGGAACAGGCAAGAATGTCAATAGGAGAACATTCTAAATGTTCAGAAGGACGGCCGGGCGCAATGGCTCATGCCTGTAATCCTAGCACTTTGGGAGGCCGAGGCGGGTGGATCACCTGACATCAGGAGTTCAAGACCAGCCTGGCCAAGATGGTGAAACTCTGTCTCTGTTAAAAATACAAAAAAATTAGCTGAGCATGGTAGCAGGCGTCTGTAATCCCAGCTACTCAAGAGGCTAAGGCAGGAGAATCACTTGAACCCGGGAGGCAGAGGTAGTAGTGAGCTGAGATCGTGCCATTGCACTCCAGCCTGGGCAACAAGAGCTAAACTCCATCTCATAAATAAATAAATAAATAAATAAATAAATAAATAAATAAATAAATGTATGTATGTATGTATGTATGTTCAGAAGGACAATGACATTCTACATGTCAGAAGGAAAGCATTCTACAAAGGAAATGACTGACAGTATCAAAAGCCATGAATGAGGAAGACGAGCTTGAAAGGTATCCACTGAATTTGCAACCAGGAAATCATTGGCAACCTTGGACAGAGCAGTTTCAGTAAAGTGGTTAAGACGAGTAAGACTGAAGTGAACAGAGGAAAGAGTAGCAGATAAGGTTATGGAGAAACTATTTGAAGATAGTCTTGCTGTTCATCATTCCTAAATACCCATGAAGGGCAGCTTTGCTTTTTTAGTAAAAAAAAAAAAAAAGAAAAAAAAGTGAATAAGGCTGGGCACGGTAGGAGGCCAAGGTGGGAGGATCACTTGAGGTCAGGAGTTTGAGACCAGCCTGGGGAAAGTGGCAAAATCCCGTCCCTACAAAAAATACAAAAATTGGCCAGGCACGGTAGCTCCCAGGGGTGGGATCATAGTAGCTAACACCTGTAATCCCAGCACTTTGGGAGGCCAAGGCAGGTGGATTACCTGAGGTCGGGAGTTCGAGACCAGCCTGACCAACATGGAGAAACCCTGTCTCTACTAAAAATACAAAATTAGCCAGGCATGGTGGCGCATGCGTGTAATCCCAGTACTCGAGAGGATGAGGCAGGAGAATCGCTTGAACACGGGAGATGGAGGTTGCAGTAAGCCGAGATTGCACCATTGTACTCCAGCCTGGGCAAGTGACGGAGTGAAACTCCGTCTAAAAAAAAAAAAAAAAAAAAAAAAAGCCTGGGCACAATGGCTCACACCTGTAATCCCAGCACTTTGGGAGGCCAAGGTGGGCAGATCACGAGGTCAGGAGATCGAGACCGTCCTAGCTAACATGCTGAATCCCCGTCTCTACTAAAAATACAAAAAATTAGCCGGGCGTGGTTGCAGGCGCCTGTAGTCCCAGCTACTCGGGAAGTTGAGGCAGGAGAATGGCATGAACCCAGGAGGCGGAGCTTGCAGTGAGCCGAGACTGTACCACTGCACTCCAGCCTGGGCAACAGAGCGAGACTCCATCTCAAAAAAAAAAAAAAATTAGCTGGGTGTGGTGGTGTGTGCCTATAGTCACAGCTACTCACAGGTTGAGGTTGGGATGATCACTTGAACCTCAGGAGGTCAAGGCTGTAGTGAGCCATGATTGTGCCACTAGATTCCAGCCTAGGCAACAGAGAGAGACCCAGTCTCAAAAAAAAGTGAGTAAGTATATGTATTTATAAATAATAATAGCAGCTGTTATTTATATAGTATCTAAATTGTTTCAGGCACTGTTCTGAGAGTTTTGCATATATTATCTCATTTAATCTGCACAATAACCCTATAAGGTAGGTACACTGGTACTTTTTTTCCTTTTTTTTTTCATGTCAGACAACGTGCAGACATTAATAAGGTTTGAGGGTAGTACACCTCACACATGCACATGAAAATCCAATCATCGTGCTATGGACTACAAAATGACTACATACTATTACTCATTTTAGAGAAGGCATTTAGAAATTAAGCAACTTGCTTAAAGTTATCCAGTTATTAAGTGGCAGAGACTGGCAGACTCTGCAGTCTGGCTCCAGAGTCCATACTCTTTACCACTACGTTGCACTGGAGACTTAGAGACCACAGCATCTGAGTAAGAGAGCCTCATGCAGCACAGGAGCTCAAAAATGAATTTACTCAAACCTTATATGATGTATTATCTCCCTCCTCCTCCCAAGGGAGAAAAAGAGGGAAATTCCTCTAAGCCTAAAATTTATATCTTAATACATATTTTTGGGTACCATTGCATTTACAAAGGACTAGGGAACTTAATGGGATAAGAGGAGAAATATCTGAATTCTAGCCCAATTCAGCCTCCTAATAGCCATTTAACTTGGACAAATCAACTAATAAGGCTATCCATCTTTCACTTTTCTCAACTATAAGTAGGTATGATAATCCCTGATTCACCTAATTTGCAGTGTTGTTATGAGAATCTAATAAAATATGTGAAAGTTGGCCAGGCGCCGTGGCTCACGCCTGTAATCTCAGCACTTTGGGAGGCCAAGGCGGGCAGATCACCTAAGGTCAGGAGTTCAAGACTAGCCTGGCCAACATAGTGAAACCCCATCTCTACTAAAAATACAAAAATTAGCCGGGCATGGTGGTGGGTGCCTGTAATCCCAGCTACTCGGGAGGCTGAGGCAGGAGAATCACTTGAACCCGGGAGGCGGAGGCTGCAGTGAAGTGAGATTGAGCCACTGCACTCCAGCCTAGGCAACAGAGTGAGACCCTGTCTTGAAAAAAAAATATGTAAAAGTTGGCCAGGCGAGATGGCTCACACCTGTATTCCTAGCACTTTGGGAGGCCAAGGCAGGTGGATCCCCTGAGGCTAGGAGTTCGAGACCAGTCTGGCCAACATGGTGAAACCCCATCTCTACTAAAGATACAAAAATAAGCAGGGCATGGTGGCAGACGACTGTGATCCCAGCTACTTGGGAGGCTGAGGCACGAGAATCACTTGAACCTTGGAGGCAGAGGTTGCGGTGGGCAGAGATCATATCACTGCACTCCAGCCTGGGCAACAGGGTGAGACTCTGTCTCAAAAAAATAATAATAAAATAAAATATGTGAAAGCGCTTCGAAAAAAATTTAAATGTCATATATTTTCTGATGTGGTAATAATATAAGCACCAAAAAGAACCAGTTGGGGGCAGCACCATGCAGCACTTCAGATCCTTGGAAGCGTCGGACCAGTTTTGGCAAGACAGAAAGAATGACTAAAAATAAATCTTCCAACTTCTCAAAAGGGAAACTTGTTGATCTGCTTCATCCTGCTTGATAATCCATCTTTGAAAATCTTAAAATAAGGCATAATGACGGCATAAGCACAGCGCCTTGCTCTCTTCATTCTAGTTGAATCTGCCCAAGATTCACATTTGAGGTGCCCATTTGCTGAAAAGAAACTGAGCTTGTGAACTTCAGGGTTATAAGTGGGCAGTGAAGCTGACATCTAATCATGCAGGCAGATTTCTTTAGCTCTGAAAGTCAAAAGGTAGGCAGTGGTTCACTTCTTTAGCATGATGACAGTGTGATATGTCGGGCCTGTCTTCAGGAGCCACTCAGGTTTCCCAACTGAGTGCCAGGCAGAAGACACTATAATGAAAAGACTGTATGTGCACTCTCTATAGGCCAGGTGACACCAGGACTCTTGGTTCTGGGAAACACTTGTTTACTCTGTTCAGCAGTGTCTCTGAAGGCCCTGGAAATCCATATGCAAAGCCAGAGGGTGGAGAGCACAGGAAAAGGTGACAAAAGATGAGGAATCACACTTGGCTAATAGATTCTGGCTTCTCCAGGCAAACTGGAAAAAGCGCAAACCAAGGACCAGAGAGGGAAAACAAATGGAATTTGCTTTTACAACCCATTTCTCTTGCCTGCCTTTGGTGAATACATTAGTTGGGCTGATAAGCCTGTAGGCCCTCAGAAACCGCTTCTCAATGTTTCAAGACCTCTGCATGCATAAGAAAAGGAAATTTGAGATTTGTCAACAAGGAAGATTTCTTTCTTTTTTTTGAGACGGAGTCTCACTCTGTCCCTCAGGCTGGAGTGCAGTGGCGCCATCTCGGCTCACTGCAACCTCCACCTCCCAGGTTCAAGTGATTCTCCAGCCTCAGCTTCCCGTGTAGCTGGGATTACAGGCTGTGTCACCACACCCAGCTAATTTTTGTATTTTTTAGTAGAGACAGGGTTTTCCCATGTTGGCCAGGCTTGTCTCGAACTCCTGACCTCAGGTGATCCACCCGCCTCAGCCTCCCAAAGTGCTAGGATTACAGGCGTGAGCTACCGCACCCAGCCAGAAGATTGCTACACGGTCTCTGTGCCCATTAGCTGGAATGTTCACTTCTCCATAAGCAACTCCCAGTGCAGACTCAGCTGGTGTGGCCTCTAAACAAATCCCTCTGCAGGAAGCAGAGACAAGAGCAACTGCATTAGCATGTTCAGCTTTCCCGGATGGGGATAACAGCTGCTTTGCTTTCATTTTCAGCTAGACTACTCCCTCGGTCAGCCCTATAAAATGACCCAAGGCATTGGTAATACATTTAATTAATACAGAAGTTTTAATATTTTTAATTGTTGTTATTTTAACCTTTCAAGTTAGAAAACTATAATACAGTCAATAAAATGTGTTATAGATACTTCAATACCTCTCAGTGGCTGTTACCTTTTTCTATACCAACTTTACCTATACCAAAACTTGCCTCACTTCCTCACGGTCTAATAAAATAACAGAGTTTCTTCCATTTCATTTGTGTTTGATACTTGGTTTCATTAAATATATACAGCCTTTTCCTAGAAGGCACTCAATAACTTTCTAAAGTGTATTGGTAATTCAACTATATTATGTAAATAAACCTTTATTACTAAAATGCAAGAAATCATATGCCAACATCTTTTTTAAAATCACCAAAGGCACAGAGAAGTGGACACTCAGTTCTCCACTCAGGAATATCAATTCAGGTTATTTCTACAAACATTTATTGAGCACTCCTCCCCCTACTGCCACTTCCATATGAGAGTAAGAACTTGTCTCTTGGCCAGGCACAGTGGCTCTCGCCTGTAATCCCAGCACTTTGAGAAGCTGATGTGGGAGGATCGCTTGAGGCCAGGAGCTCAAGACCAGCCTGGGCAACATAGCAAGACCCCCACTCAAAAAAAAGATGGTAAATTATATGTTATATGTATTTTACCACGATAGAGAATGTGTGTACAAGTGTCCCCATAGTTCTTTAGTCCCTTCCACTATGTAAGGACACAACAAAAAGACAGGCATTTATGAACCATGAAGTAGGCCCTCACCAAACACTGAATCTGCCTGTGCCTAGATCTTAGATTGCCCAGCCTCCAGAAGTGTGAGAAATAAATTTTTGTTGTTTATAAGCTACCCAGTCTATGATATATTCTTATAGCAGCATAAATGGACTAAGACAACTGCCTAGGCTAAAGAGTATAGGTTCTTCCCACATATCCCTATAGGGTCTGGTAGGTACCAATTCAGGCACAGACAAGCACATAAACATATCCATACAGAGAATATTCTGGACTGGCTCTAGGGAATATGTACCTCTCTCTGAGGTAAATGCACCCAGGACTCCAGTTCCCAATTCTTGCTGATTCTAGTCAGCTACAGTAGTTTCAACCAATTATAACTATTCAGAACAATAAGACAAAATGGTAGTTTTAAAAAAATTTGAATTACCAGTGTACTGATACCTGCAACCAAATAAGCTTATCTCTGAACAGTGGTTCAAAGGCATTCAGAGAAGGTCTGGAGAAAATATCAACTCTAAGAATTATTATTCCTTTTTGAAAAATCTACCCAACTGGCCAGGAGTTAGGGCATTTACCCAAAGAAGATAACTGTGCTGTCATCTAACTAGCAGAGATAATTTGCTACCATCTAATTAGCAACATGGTACTGAGAAAGATTCATCCATCCTTCTGTTCACCTACCCAAACACTGAAAACCTACAATGTGAAACACAAAGATAAATGGGGCCAGTCTCTGCCCACAGAGACTAGTCTAGCCTAGATGGTCTAGTAGGGATGCCATACAATCAACTAACACTTTTTTTTTTTCACACAGGAGAATAACATGATCAGATATGCTACATAGAAATATTCTAACAGTAGTATAAAAATTGTATGAAAAGGTCAGGAACTGAGGCTGGGAGAAGAGTTAGGATAACCAAGGCCTGAATAAGACAATGGCAGCAAGAATGGAAAGGAGGTTATTATCTCAGAGACATTAGAGGTAGAATCAGCAAGATTTGGTGTTTGTTCAAAGGCAAGGAGTAATTAAAGAGATAAGGTCTAAATACAAAGTCAGTCCAGTTTGGTGTTTAGCTCATAGTACACAACTCATTCTCCCATTTAACAGTATCTTTTTAAAATTTATTTTCATTTTTTACAACAGGTAGAACCCACTATCAATAACTTATCATTCTCACGCCTCCCTTAGGTTATTCCATTAGCTTTCTAACCTGTTTTCTTGCCCCCTTTTGCATCTTGAAAAGATTTAGCCCTCATTCCAATCCATTTTCCACAATATAGCCAAGACAATCTTTCTGAAATGCCAACCTGAAGCCACTCTCCTGTTAAAATTATTCAGTGATGTGCTATTACTTGTAGGATAAAACCCACAATCCTTAGAAAGGCACACAAAGCCTTTCACTCCTGCTTATAAAAGTCTGACTCCTGCTCACCTGCACATTTGTACACATTGCTGGTCCCTTTACCTCTAATATCCTTCCCCTTTCCCCACCTAGGCCTGGCTAATATTCACTCATTGTTGAGGATTTAATTCCATTTCATGGTAACCCATAGGCAGGGTTGGGGATAAGAAAGACAGTCTATGCAAAAGGAACACAAAGATAACAAAGCACAGAGATTAGTAATTATTCTTTTTTTTTTTTCTGTATAAGTAGGGGAGAAAGTATGAAGCTAAAAAGTTAAGATGGGCAGTATAATATAGTGGTGACTGCAGTTAGGCTGGCTAGGATTGAATCTCATCTCAGACTATAATAGTTGTAGAGCCCTGAGTTGGTTACTCAGTTTGTTTAATACACATCTATAAAATGGGAATAATAATAGTGCCTAACCCACAGAGTTGTTGTGAAGATTCAGTAAGTTGATACATGTAAAATGCTAAGAATAATGTCAAGGAAAGTGCTCAATATGTCAGTTATGACTATTTCTATTATTATTATTATATTTGTTATTAGTGCAGAAGTTCTGGAATACCAAGATGAAGCATCTACAGTTAATTCAGCAGACCACAGGGGCCACTGAAGGTTTATAGGTAAAGGTATAATATGATCTAATGGGGGTTGAATTACATCCCCCCAAAAGATGCATGCAAGTCCTAAACCCTGGTAAGGTAACTATAAATGTGACCTTATTTGGAAATAGGGTCTTTGCCAATGTAATCAAGTTAAGATGAGGTCACATTGGAGTAGGGCAGGCCCTTAATCCAATACGACTGGAATCCTTATAAAAAGAGTGGCAAGAGATATAGGCACACAGGGAAAATGTCATGTTAAGATAGAGGCAGAAATTGGACTGAGACATCTACAAGCCAAAGAACACCAAAAACCTACCAGAAGCTAGGAAAAGGCAAGAAGGATCTTCCCGTAGAGCCTTCAGAGAGAACAAGGCCCTACCAACACTTTGATTTTGGACTTCCAGCCTTCAGAACTCTGAGATAATAAGTTTCTGCTATGTCACCCACATTGTAGTGCTTTGCTATGGCAGCTCTAAGAAACTAATACATGACCCAAACTGCATTTTAGAAAGATCATTCTGGTAGCAGGATAGAGAAGGAATTAGAGGCAGTTTTGGAGGGTACTGCAACAGCCAGATGAGAGGTGACCAAACATCTAACTAACAGTGCTATTTATGGGCAAGAAAAAGTTGGCTATAGTCAGAATATAAAGCTTTTTAGCAACTGAGTGATAGATATGAGAAATAAGGAAAAAGAGTCAAAGACATCTCAGAGATTCCAAATTGAAAGGTTCAGACAGCAATGGAAAAAGATTTCAGAATCTTAAATGACTCAATGTGCCATCAGTAAGTCAGAAACCTGTCAGAAACCAGTATCAATGTCAAACAGCCAAATTAGTGGCTTGTTGGCACTCTACTCTTTGGAGGGGCTCTTTGCAGAAAAGGGTTTGGGCCCCGACCTAGTTTTCACTGTAGCCCAACAATACTTTTGTGCTGGCCACCGTATGTTTGTTGGTAGGCTCCAAACACAAAGGCTAGCCGACATCCCATCCTGCTGGCTTGGGTTAAGGAAGAAAAGAAAGCTTTGTTACTGCTCTGGGTAATTCCAGAACAGACATCCCAAGAGTGCCCTGTGGGAGGCTTGTGCTCCAAAGAAGCCTCCTGTTCTCAGCTCGAGGATCCACAGCCACTACAAGCGTACATCCGTATATCTGCCAAGGACTGAATTTGCCTACCGCTCCAGGAGGTTCACCAGGGCCTGCCTGACTGAAACAGTCAGTAGTAATGAGCTGACTCAAAAAGAAAAAGGGAACACTAGTTCTAGCCACAGAGTAAAACGTTGTTAATAACCCAAAATATATTTCAGAATATTTAAGTGTTTAACTCTTGGCCTTCATATATGCTTGCTGAATACCCTTCTTCATAGCTTTGCTAATTCTTATTCATCCTCCTTGTTTATTTATTTTCATTTTTTTTATTATTATTATTTTGAGATAAAGTTTCCCTCGTTGCCCAGGCTGGAGCACAATGGCATGATCTCAGCTCGTTGCAACCTCCTCCTCTTGCGTTCAAGTGATTCTCCTGCCTCTGCCTCCTGAGTAGCTGGGATTACAGGCGTGCACCACCACGCCCGGCTTTTTTTTTTTTTTTTTTTGAGACAGAGTCTCACTCTGTTGCCCAGGCTGCAGTGCAGTGGCGTAATCTCAGCTCACTGCAACCTCTGCCTCCCGGGTTCAAGCAATTCTGCCTCAGCCTCCTGAGTAGCTGGGATTACAGGCGTGTGCCACCACACCTGGCTAATTTTTGTATTTTTAGTAGAGATGGGGTTTCACCATGTTGGTCAGGCTGGTTTTGAACTCCTGACCTTGTGATCCACCTACCTTGGCCTCCCAAAGTGCTGGGATTACAGGCATGAGCCACTGCACCCAGCCTAATTTTGTATTTTTAGTAGAGACGGGGTTTCACCATGTTGGCCAGGCTGGTCTCAAACTCCTGACCTCAGGTGATCCGCCTGCCTCGACCTCCCAAAGTGCTGGGATTACAAGCATGAACCACCACACTGGCCCTTATTTATTTATTTGTCACCCAGGCTGGAGTGCAGTGGCGTGATCCCAGCTCACTGCAACCTCCACCTCCAGGGTTTAAGCAATTCTCCTGCATCAGCCTCCTGAGTAACTGGGATTACAGGCATGGACCACCAGACCTGGCTAATTTTTGGTATTTTTAGCAGAGACGGAGTTTCAACATGTTGGCCAGCTGGTCTCAAACTCCTGACCTCAAGTGATCTGACCGCTTAAGCCTCCCAAAGTGTTGGGATTACAGGTGTGAGCCACCACGGCCAGCCACTTATTCATCCTTCTGAACTCATGGAAAGCATTCCTTGATACTCCATCCCATTCTTAGTGCTAGGCTGGGCACAGTAGCTCACACCTGTAATCCCAGTACTTTGGGAGGCTGAGGCAGGAGTATTGCTTGAGCCCAGGAGTTCGAGCCCATTCTTGGTGCCACTTTAGCATCCTGCACATGTTTCTACTATTGTTCATCACACTGTACTATAACATTTATGGCAGGAACTAGGTCCTGCTCAATTTTGTAAGCCCCTTTGTAAAACTCAGTGAAATTGTTGAACAAACAAATACATAATTAAGTGCATTTAAATAAATGGAGGTGGGTTTTAAGTTCCCTCTTTTATTGGAAGCCCCACCCCTCAATTTAATCATTAAAATGTAATTTAAGATATAAAAGAGAAATGTGCTTTTAGAGGAACTTTCCAATAAATATCATGCAAAAACAAATATTTAATAATGCTGGCTGGGCGCAGAGGCTCATGCCTGTAATCCCAGCACTTTTGGAGGCCAAGGTGGGCAGATTGCTTGAGCTCACGAGTTCGAGACCAGCCTGGGTAACATGGCAAAACCTTGTCTCTGCAAAAAATACAAAAATTAGCTGGGCATAGTGGTGCATGCCTGTAGTCTCAGCTACTCAGGAGGCTGAGGTGGGAGGATGGCTTGAGCTGAGGAGGCAGAGGCTGCAGTGAGCCAACATTGCAACACTGCACCCCAGCCTGGGCATTAGAGCCAGACCTAGTCTCAAAAAATAAATAAAATAAAATAAAATAAAATAAAATGTTTAATAATGCCTACTCAGACAAAGAAAGGCTCAGGCAAAAGACTGAGTCTGATCTTCTACATTGAGGAGACCATGTTGATTAGTGTTATATTCAAAAAAACCAATTCCCAAGTAATGCATACACAGCTGAAAGAAGGAAGTATTCCAGCTGCACCCTCCAAGTTTTCTACATCTCAGTAAACGGCATCGCCACCCACCTAGAAACTGGGCATCATTTGGTTCCTCGTTCTCCTTTTTTTTTTTTTTTGAGATGGAGTCTCTGTTGACTCCGGGTTCAAGCAATTCTCTTGCCTCAGTCTCCCAAGTAGCTGGGATTACAGGCATGTGCCACCATGCCTGGCTAATTGTTGTATTTTTAGTAGAGATAGGGTTTCACCATGTTTGTCAGGTTGCTATCCAAATCCTGACCTCAGGTGATCCACCTGCCTCGGCCTCCCAAAGTGTAGGGATTACAGGCGTGAGCCACTGCATCTGGTCACAAAGCATTTTTTTTTTTTTTTTTTGAGATGGAGTTTCTCTCTTGTTGCCCAGGCTGCAGTGCAATGGAGTGATCTTGGCTCACTGCAACCTCTGCCTCCCAGGTTCAAGCAATTCTCCTGCCTCAGCCTCCCGAGTAGCTGGGATTACAGGTGCCTCCCACCACGCCCAGCTAATTTTTTGTATTTTTAGTAGAGACGGGGTTTCACCATGTTGGCCAGGCTGGTCTCGAACTCCTGACCTCAGGTGATCTACCCACCTCAGCCTCTCAAAGTGCTGGGATTACAGGCGTAAGCCACCATGCCTGGCAAAGCACTTTCATAGTTACCTCATTTGACCATTGAAATTTTTTTTTTTTTTTTTGAGATGGAGTTTCACTCTTGTTGCCCAGGCTGGAGTGCAATGGCGCGATCTTGGCTCACTGCAACCTCCGCCTCCTGGGTTCAAATGATTCTCCTGCCTCAGCCTCCCGAGTAGCTGGGATTACAGGCGCCTGCCACCACACCCGGCTAATTTTTTGTATATTTAATAGAGATGGGTTTCACCATGTTGGCCAGGCTGGTCTTGAACTCCTGACTTCAGGTGATCCACCCATCTTGGCCTCCCGAAGTGCTGGGATTACAGGTGTGAGCCACCACACCCGGCCTGACCATTGTAATATCTTGAAACATTCTTGTCATCTTTTTGTTTTTGTTTTTTTGTGTGTGTTTTTTGTTTTTTTTGGTTTTCTTTTGTTTTGTTTTTCAGACGGAGTCCCGCTCCATTGCCCAGGCTGGGCTGCAGTGGCGCAATCTCAGCTCACTGCAACCTCCGCCTCTGGGTTCAAGCAATTCTCCTGTCTCAGCCTCCCGAGTACCTGGGACTACAGGCGCCTGCCACCACGCCCGGCTAATTTTTGTATTTTTTAGTAGAGACGAGGTTTCACCTTATTGGTCAGGCTGGTCTCGAACTCCTGACCTCAGGTGATCCACCTGCCTCGGCCTCCCAAAGTGCTGAGATTACAGGCATGAGCCACCGCACCCGGCTGGTTGGTTGTTTGTTTTTTGAGACGGAGTTTTGCTCTTGTTGCCCAGGTGTGAGCCACTGCACCTGGCTGGTTTTTGTTTGTTTGTTTTTTGAGATGGAGTTTTGTTCTTGTTGCCCAGGCTGGAGTGCAATGGCGCCATCTTGGCTCACTGCAACCTCCACCTCCTGGGTTCAAGCAATTCTCCTGCCTCAGCCTCCCAAGAAGCTGGAATTACAGGTGTGCGCCACCATGCCTGGCTAATTTTTGTGTGTGTGTTTTTAGTGGAGATGGGGTTTCACCATGTTGGTCAGGCTGGTCTTGAACTCCTGACCTTAAGTGATCCACCTGCCTCGGCCTCCCAAAGTGCTGGGATTATGGGTATGAGCCACCAGGCTGGCCCAGAGAACTTAAATAACTTGCCTATGATTATTCAACTAGTAAATAGTACAGCTTGGATTTGTATCCAAGCCTTGTGACCTAAAAGCCTGGGTTTCTTCTACCCTAGGAGTGTACATTTATGTAGGGAAGCTAAAGCAAAAAAAGCTTTAATAAATGAAAGAATGGGGCTGAGTGCAGTGGCTCACGCCTGTAATCTCAGCACTTTGGGAGGCCAAGGCAGGTGGATCACGAGGTCAAGAGTTCAAGACCAGCCTGGCCAACATTGTGAAACCCCGTCTCTACTAAAAATACAACAAAATTAGCTGGGCATGGTGGTGGGCACCTGTAATCCCAGGAGGCTGAGGCAGGAGAATCACTTGAAACCAGAAGGTGGAGGTTGCAGTTAGCCGAGATTGCACCACTGCACTCCAGCCTGGGCAACAAAAGTGAAACTCCATCTCTAAATAAATAAATAAATAAAAGGAAAGAAAAGAAAGAATGTGTAATAACAAAGGTACAAAAATTCTATATAGGAGAAGATGAATGGAGGGAAACATTATGATCAAATGAGTGGTGGCAGTGGAGGCGGGCAGAGAGGATGCGGCCGAGAAAAAGAATCAGGAAAGGTTTTATGGGGAAATAAGCGGACTCTGAGGCCAGGTCTTGAAGGTAAGATAATTTTTCTTTTTTTTTTTTTGAGATGGAGTCTTGCTCTATCACCCAGGCTGGAGTGCAGCGGTACAATCTCAGCTCACTGCAACCTCCACCTCCTGGGTTCAAGCAATTCTCCTGCCTCAACCTCCCCAGTAGCTGGGATTAAAGGTGCGCACCATCACACCCAGCTAATTTTTGTATTTTTAGTAGAGATGGGGGTTTCACCATGTTGGCCAGGCTGGTCTCGAACTCCTGACCTCATGATCCACCCACCTTGACCTCCCAAAGTGCTGGGATTACAGGCGTCAGCCACCGCGTCCAGCCAGGGAAGATGATTTCTATAGGACAGAGGGAAAGAGCATATTCTAGGTTGAAGAAACCATATGGATAAAGAGGCAGGAAAACACAGACCATGTTCAGTAAACAATAAGAAATCCAGTTTGCCTGAATTATAGAGTACTTGTTAAAGAAGAGGAGAACTAGGAGAAAAGTAGTATTATAGTAGGGCATAAAGGACTAGGATATCAGGCTGAGTTTATCCTGAATTCCATTTTTAAACTCTAGCTGTGAATCAAAATAATTTGTAGAACTTTATTTATTTATTTTTAAATACAGATATCTGCATCTCACCTAAGACTTTAATCAATGAGGAAATCACTGAAGGTTTCTGAGCCAGGAAATGCCATTGATTGTTAATTTATTTATTCAATCAACAAATATGATAAGCAGCTACCATTTGTCAGGCACTGTGCTAGGAACCAGTGGATGTCAATGTAAATAAAACAATCGTTGCCCTCAAGGAATTTATAATCTACACATACAAACAGTCAGTTGAAATCAATGATAAATTATATTGTATTATGAGAGCACATAGGAGGGGTACCAAACTACTCTTGGAAGATCAGAAAAGGCTTCCCAGAGAAAATGAATTCTAAGCTGGGGCCTGAGGAATTGGTTGGGCCAGGGGGGATGAAGAGGTGTGTTCTGGGCAAAGAAAAAGTCTGGTGCAGAGCTCTAAAGGTGGAAAGGGTCATGTTCCATTTGTGGAACTGAAAGAGGTTCAGTACAGCTGTAGCACACAGTTGAGACAGGAATAGAGAGGCAAGAGAAGTGAGGAGTGAGGCCATAGAGATAAGCAGTAGCAAGATCAGTTTTGACTTTACCCTGAGGACAATGAGGAGCCACAGAAGGGTTTTTTCAGGGAGAAACAAAATTAGATGTGTATTCAAAAGTGGTACTGGCATAAAAACAGACATATAGACCAATGTAATGGAATAGAGAGCCCAGAAATAAACACCTATCAACTGGGAAAGGACAGTCTTTGCAACAAATGAGAAATGCAAATCAAACCACAATGAGATATCACCTCACATCCATTAAGATAGCTACTATCAAAAAAAAAAAACACAGAAAATAACAAGTATTGGTGAGGATGTGGAGAAACTGGAACCCTTATGCACCATCAATGGATTGTAAAATGGTGCAACTGCTACAGAAAAAAAATATGGCAGTTCCTCAAAAAGTTAAAAATAGAACTACTATATGGTCCAGCAATCCTACTTCTGGGTATGTACCCAAAAGTCTGGAAAGTAAGGTTTCAAAGAGATATTTGCATACCCATGTTCATAGCAGCATAATTTACACTAGCCAAGAGGTGAAAGCAACCCAAATGTTCATCAACCCAT
Organism: Homo sapiens; assembly: GCF_000001405.40. Taxonomy (NCBI): domain Eukaryota; kingdom Metazoa; phylum Chordata; class Mammalia; order Primates; family Hominidae; genus Homo; species Homo sapiens. Next base: position 45,371,372 of record NC_000001.11, read on the forward strand.
GAATGGATCAACAAAGTATGGTATATACATACAATAAAATATTTATGCAGCCATAAAAAGGAAGAAAATACTATCACATGCAACAACATGGATGAACCTTGTGGATATTATACTAAGTGAAATAATGTGATCCCCAAAAGACAAATACCATATGATTCCACTTATATGAGGTATCAAAAGTAGTCAAATTCATAGAAACTGAAAGTACAGGCTGGGTGTGGTGGCTCACGCCTGTAATCCCAGCACTTTAGGAGGCTGAGGTGGGCGAATTGCCTGAGCTCAGGAGTTCGAGACCAGCCTGGGCAACATGGTGAAACCCCATCTCTACAAAAAATACCAAAAAAAAATTAGCTGGGCATGGTGATGCACGCCTGTAGTCCCAGCTACTTGGGAGGCTGAGGTGGGAGAATCCCTTGAGCCTGGGAGGTGGAGGTTGCAGGCAGCCGAGATTACACCATTGCACTCCAGCCTGGGTGACAGCGAGATCCTGTCTCAAAAGTAAAAAGAAAATAGAATGGTTGTTACCAGGAGCTGGGAAGAGGGAGAAATGAGTAGTTGTTGTTTAATGGGTATAGAGTTTGTTTCACAAGATGAAAAAGGCCAGCCATAGTGGCTCACTTCTATACTCCCAGCACTTTAGAACAAGGTGAGAGGATTGCTTGAGCCCAGGAGTTTGAGACCAGCCTGGGCAACTTAGCGAGACCTCATATTTACAAAAAATAAAAAATTAGCCAGATGTGGTGGCACACGCCTGTAGTATCAGCTACTCGAAAGGCTGAGACAGGAGAATCACTTGAGCTTGGGAGATCAAGGCTGCAGTAAGCCATGATCATCCCACTGCATTCCAGCCTGGGTGATGGAGTGAGACCCATCTTATTTTTGAAAAAATAACAATTAAAAAAAAAAAGATGAAAAAGATCTGGCAGCCAGGCACAGTGGCTCAAGCCTGTAATCCCAGCACTTTGGGAGGCCGAGGCAGGCAGATCACCTGAGCTCAGGAGTTCAAGACCAGCCTGCGCAACATGGTGAAACTCTGTTTCCACTAAAAATACAAAAAATTAGCCGGGTGTGGTGGTGCATGCCTGTAATCCCAGCTACTCGAGAGGCTGAGGCAGGAGAATCGCTTGAACCCAGGAGGCAGAGGTTGCAGTGAGCCAAGATCGTGCCACTGCACTCCAGCCTGGGTGACAGAGCGAGACTGTCTCAACAACAACAACAACAAAACAAGATCTGGCCTGGTACAGTAGCTACTGTCCCTATTACGTGGGAGGCTAAGGCAGGAGGACTGCTTGAGCCCAAGAATTTGCGGCTGTAATGCACTATGAACTCTAGTCTGGGCAACAGAGCAAGACTCTGCTTCTTTCTTAAAAAAAAAAAGAAAAGAAGGCCAGGCACGGTGGTTCATGCCTGTAATCCCAGCACTTTGGGAGGCTGAGACGGGTGGATCATCTGGAGTTCGAGACCAGCCTCAACATGGAGAAACCCCATCTCTACTAAAAATACAAAATTAGCTGGGCGTAGTGGTGCATGCCTGTAATCCCAGCTACTTGGGAGGCTGAGGCAGGAGAATTGCTCGAACCTGGGAGGCGGAGGTTGCGGTGAGCCGAGATCACGCCATTGCACTCCAGCCTGGGCAACAAGAGCGAATCTCCGTCTCAAAAAAAAAAAAAAAAAAAGAAAAGAAAAAGGTCTGGAGATCTGTTGCACAACAACGTGATAATACTTAATACTAACTGCTGAACTATATATTTAAAAATGGCTAAGATGATTCAAAACAACAAAAAAAGATTTGTATTTCAGGACCACTCCAGCTGGCAATAGAGACTATAGATTTAAAGTGTGGAACAAGACTGACAAAGAGACTAGTTAAAAGGTTATGGCAAGACATAATGATGGCAGAAGGAATGATGTAAGATAAATGATTCAAGAATAGTAAAGAGGTAAGATGAACAGGACATGGTGATTGGTAAGATTTGGAAAAGGGATAGATTAGGGATAAAGGAAAAGGAAACTATCATTTGTAGAAGAGCCATTCACTATATTAATACTTTTGCAAGTTATTAATTCATTTAACAAACATTCATTGAGCAGCTACTTGTGCCTAGTATTACAGAAGATTTTAGACAATCATTCTGCCACTATGATAGAACAACTTCTCATTTTTTGAAGTTCACTAAACTAGCCATTGACACAGTACCTGCTTAATAATTATTTGTTAAATAGGAAACAGACACAAGCAATTGCATTGAAATGAGCTAAAATGAGCAAGTAAGGAAATAAATGCCTATGACTGACTCTGGAAAACACTGATCTAAGAATTTATTATCTAAGCAAATAATGGTGACCAGGATAACAAGAAAAGACCACATAAAGAGAAAGAGAAAGTAAATACAGAAAGTGCAGACAGTGATTATGTATCAGGCACAGGGATGCAGAAATGCCCCTGAGTAGTAGCAATGTGTGAGAGGTATATTGGGAGACCCTCCTTCCATGGTCCTACTTGCTACAGATTCCAAAGTTGGAACAGCTCCCAGGAGCCAACATAGAACCAACTCCTGGGAATGATACCACTTATCAAGTTAGGAAAATTACACTTGGCAAATCTATTAGAAACATATCTAGCCTAAACTCAAAAAGAACTCTGTGAATTCAAGTGTCACACTAGTTTAACAATCATGAGGGGATTAGGAGAAAGATTAGCTAGAAATCCTCTGAAGAACTTTCTAAATCCTTCTGCTGTCCTCATACTACCAATGCTGTAAAAAGATTCATCAAATGGATGGCTGAAATGACCTTGAAAGAGGCAGATATCTTTGCAGCTAACAGTTTAACTGTTAAAAGCTCAAGTGTTGGGAGCAGTACTTATTTATCCATTTTCCATTTACCCAACAAATATTTATTGCATGCCTTTATGCTCCAGTTACTGACAATTCAGCAGTGAACAATAGCCAAGCCCAAGGAGCTCAAAGACTAGTAAGTACAGGATTATAGTCAGCCAAAACTTGATTTAAATCCTAGCTCAGCTACAAGACCTTAGCTAACTTAATCTCTTTCTGAGCCTCAGATTTGTCATCTGTAAAATGGGAAAAATATTACCTATTTCATAGGATTGCATGCTAATTAAATAATATATTGAGAGGGAGAAAAAAAAAGCTTAGCAGACCCTGGCACATAGAAAACATTTAGTATGAAAAATCACTGAATGATTTTTTTATTTTTGTTACTCAGGAGATAATACAGCAGTTGAAAAATGCCTCCTTCCAAATCAATGAAACACTCTCTAATGAAAATGTTGATAAACAGGATATGAACAAGGAAGGTATCACTCAGAGTACTCCTTCAGACACCAGTACTCTATGAAGATATCTCAACTCGAATGTCCAATAAATATCTCAAACTGAACCTATTCAAAAATGACCTCTTGATCATCTCCCATTGTGTACCTCCTATAGTCTTCCCATCTCCATTAATGGCAACTCTATTTTTTAGGTGTTCAGGCCAAAAACCTCAGAGTTATCCTTGACTTCTCTCATCCTCTCATACCCCACAGCCAATGCATCAGGAAAGCCTATTTGTTTGTTTTTCTTCTGCTTTCAAAATGGATCCAGAATTCCCAGCTCCACTGCTATCATTCTGGTCCATTACCATTAACTCTCACCTTTTTTGCAGTCTTTATGTATTGCACAGACTTTATTGTAACAGTCTCTTAACTGGTTTTCCTGCTTCCACCCTTTCTCTTTTTTCAGTCATTCACCAAACAGTAGCCAGGATGATCCCATTAAAGAATAAGTCACAAAAACCTCCAAAGACTTCACAATTTATCCTGAGTAAAATCTAAAGTTCTTACAGCAGTATATATGAGACTCTGATCTAGCCAGTGTTTCCTCTCTGACCCCATCTACTACTGTTCTCTTCATGCTCTCCACTGCAGTCACATCACCCACCTTGGAGTTATTCAACCAGACCAGGCACACTTCTGCCTCCACGCCTTTGCATATACTATTCCAACTACCTAGAACACTTTGATATCCACACAGCTAGTTCCTTCACCCTTTTTTTTTTTTTTTTGTGAGCCACTGCACCCAGCCCACCTTCTTAAATTTTAGCCTCTTTTATGAGGCCTTCCCTGTCTACATGTTGAAAATTGTAAACCACCTAGCACTTAACATCACATATATTACAATTTGTTCCCTTGTTTAGTTTAACTCCTCTGCCCGCCCCCTGCTGATTAAAATATAAATTCCAGCTGGGTACAGTGGCTCATGCCTGTAGTCCCAGTGCTTTGAGAGGCCAAGGTGGGAGGATCACTTGAGCCCAGGACCAGCCTGGGCAACACAGCAAGACCCATGTCACTACCAAAAATAAAAAATATAAAATAAAGTTAAACTTAAAAAAAATTAAAACGTGGGACAGGGATTTTTATTTGTTCATTATTGTATTCCCAGTACCTGGAATAGTGCCAGACATGGTAGGAGCCAAATAAATATCTTTTGGATGAATAAATGAGCCAAAAGCAAGCAAGCAAGTCAGAGAAAAACTGTTTTAAGGATAAAGTAAACTAAATAAACTCTTCTATTATTTGTGGGCTAGCTTGCCAACCTCAAATTCTTGTTTCTCAAATGTCACAGGGAGTTACTAAAAATAAGAACAGAAATGTACCACAGTTTGAGAGTTTTTTATTACTAAATGAGCAAAGCAAAAAAATTAAATAAAAATTACTTTTTCCAAAAGCAAAGTACATGTCAAACTGTATTTGTAGAAATATTTTTTGCACATAGAAGTTTAAGTGAAATAAACTTCTAATTATGAAAGGATTTGAGATGTGACATTTCTTTCTCTCTCTTTTTTTTTTTTTTTTTTTTTTGAGACAGAGTCTCACTCTGTCACCCAGGATAGAGCATAGTGGTGTGATTTCGGCTTTGTAGCCTCTGCCTCCAGGGATGAAGCAATTCTCCTGCCTCAGCCTCTCAAGTAGCTGGGATTACAGGCCCCCGCCACCACGTCTGGCTAATTTTTTTTTTTTTTTTAGTAGAGACAGGGTTTCACCATGTTGGCCAGGCTGGTCTTGTACTCCTGACCTCAAGTTATCCATCTGCCTTGGCCTCCCAAAGTGCTAGGATTACAGGCGTGAGCCACTGTGCCTGGCCTTCACACTATTTTTGATTTCTGGCTCTTTCCGCTAGGGCTAATTCAGCTTTCTTAGAGTTGGGTCTACACTAGACCATCAACTACAAACACACACTAAGCATATACTATGGGCCCAGCCACACAGAGTATTATTATAAGCTCTATCTAGGAGACTTAGTTCCATTAGAGAACCTGGGATTTGACACAGCTTGGAGAGAAGAGAGATAAGGACATTCCTAGTACTGGAAGGGACACCTAAAGCAAGAATGTATAGAAGAGAGCAAAAAGACCCATGTAACTAAGGGAGGGATTCGTATTATCAAACGAGATTAGAGAGAATTTAGAATAGGAAACATAATTTTTTAGACAGAAGCATCACATTATCAGGTGTGCTTGATGATGATTATTCAGATAGTAGTATGTCAAAATGAAGAAAACAGGTCAGGTGTGATAGCTCACACCTGTAATCCCAGCACTCTGGGAGGCCCAGGTGGGAGGATCCCTTAAGGTCAGGAGTTCGAGACCAGCCTGGGTGATATAGTGAGACTCCATCTCTACAAAAAATGTAAAAATTAGCTGGGTGTGGTGGCATGCACCTGTAGTTCCAGCTAATGGGGAGGCTGAGACAGGAGGATCATTTGAGCCCAAGGGTTTGAGGCTGCAGTGAGCTATGATGGTGCCACTGTATTCCATCTTAGGTGACAGAGCAGCAAGACCTTGTCTCTTAAGAAAAAAAAAAAGTATTTGTAGGAATTGAGGCATGAAATAATATTATGGCTTTGGAATGAAGAGAAAGAAAAATAATCAGAAAGATATCACAAAGAAGAAAATAGGAAAAGACGGCGGACCGATTAAATTCAAGTGATGAGAAAAAATCAAAACTAACCCCAAAGAACAAAGGATTCTAATAAGAGAACAAGGATTTTTTTTTTTTTTTTTTGAGACAGTCTTGCTCTGTTTGCCAGGCTGGAGTGCAGTGGTGCGATCCCGGCTCACTGCCACCTCTGCCTCCCAGGCTCAAGTGATTCTCCTGCCTTAGCCTCCCGAGTAGCTGGGATTACAAGCATGTGCCACCATGCCCAGCTAATTTTTGTATTTTTAGTAGAGACAGGGTTTCACCATGTTGGCCAGGCTGGTCTCGAACTCCTGACCTCAGGTAATCTGCCCACCTTGGCCTCCCAAAGTGCTGGGATTACAGGTGTGAGCCACTGTGCCCGGCCAAGAACAAGGATTCTAATAATGATAAGGGCCGGGCACAGTGGCTCACACCTGTAATTCCAACACTTTGGGAGGCCGAGGTGGGCGGATCACGAGGTCAGGAGTTTGAGACCAGCATGGCCAACATGGTGAAAACATGTCTCTATTAAAAATACAAAAATTAGCTGGGTGTGGTGGTGTGCGCCTGTAGTCCCAGCCACTTGGGAGGCTAAAGCAGGAGAATCTCTTGAACCTGGGAGGTGGAGGTTGCAGTGAGCTGAGATGGTGCCACTGCACTCCAGCCTGGGTGACAGAGCAAGACTCCATCTCAAAAAATAAAGAAATGAAATGATAAGGTTGGAATGGATGGCCAGTTTGGGGAAGGTAACCAAGCTAAGCTGTACTGCAAACACTAGCAAAATAACTGAGTGGAAAAAAAGAAAATGAACTATAATGAGTAACAACTATTAATATACAGAGAGATCTGAGAGTTAACAGCATGGGATAACAGATTTTTAAAAAACAGTTTCTAAGGAAGGGCACAGTAAGAATTTTCTCACTATCCCAGCCATTAACCATTGAGTTCATGAAAGACACTCCAGTGAACTAAAGATGGTCATTGACAGATGGCCTTAGTGACTTGCTTGACCAATAAAATGCAGCTTAAGGGACATTCTGGAACTTGCAAGGCTAGGTCATAAAAGGCTTGCAGCTTCCACTTGAGTGGTTTGTACCAGTCTAACTATCCTGAGATCACCATGCTGTGGGAAGCCTAAGCCATATGGAGATGATCTAAAGAATGAGACACCATGTGGAAAAAGAGAAGAACCAAGGAGTACCATGGCACCAGATATGCAAATGAAGAAGCCATCTTGGAAATGGATTTGCCAGCTCAGTCACTCCAGCTGACACATATGGATCAAAGATCCAGGAAAGCCCTTCTGCATACCTGACCTACAAAATCACAAGCAAACTAAAATTAGAAAGCCACTAAGTTTTGGGGTAGCTTGTTATGTAACAATAGATCATGGGAGCAGATGTCTTTTTATCCTAAACCTAAAGCCTAGCAAAGTACCTAGCCCATAGTAGATTCACTCAAAATGGTGTGTATCAAGTGAATCTCTACCTTCCCGTGTATTTTCTAATTTACATCTTTGTCGTTTCCCCCTCACTTGTCCTTTTAGGAAAACCTGAATCACAGATGCAATCACTGTTAGTACCTCTGGTGTGTCTCTAAACTACCATGTGGTGGTTAACAGCTGCCAGTCCCAAACTTGAAAGATAGGTATGCCTTTGCTGCCAAAGTTAACCCAAGGCAGGGCACCAAGCAACTTCACATCTTTATCATGGTAAATAAGGATAGGAAAATATTCTGTACTGAAACACACAAAAAAATAAGAAGCAGGCACAACTAATAACAATATCACATATCACAGCACACCAAAAAAACTGGAATCAGGGTCTGCCTTGCTCACTTTTCCTTTCTTTGAGATGGGGTCTCACTTTGTTGTGCAGGCTGGGGTGCAGTGGCAGAATCCTAGCTCATTGAAGCCTTGCCCTCCTGGGCTCAAGTAATCCTTCTGCCTCAGCAGGAGTAGCTGGGACCACAGGCACAAACTATCATGCCTGGCTAATTTTTAAATTTTTTTGTAGAGATAAGGTCTCACTATGCTGCCTAGGCTGGTCTTGAACGCCTGGCCTCATATAATCCTCCTGCCTCTCAACCTCCCAAAGTGCTGGGGTCACAGGTGTGAAGCCACTGGACATGGCCTTGGCTTGCTCATTTTTATAAATAACGCATGAGTTTGGTCACTGAACCCATGGAGTTTCATTGTAAGCTGTCTGATTATATAAGGCTTCTTATAAGTCTGACAAAACCAACTCAGAAGCAATACATATCAACCCGCATAAACAAGAAATTTCCAAAGTCACTAATACTCTTTAATAAAGAAAGAAGATGTATGGTTGGGTGGGAATAGGGAGTGACAGGAGGATCAGAGCTATGTGAATAACAAACTCTCTGCAATAGCCTTTAGCTAAAAGCATTTCTTTCAGTACCAAACATCTGCTCGACTGAGATGGCTCTGTTGTAAAAAGACCGAATCACCTCGACTAGGCCAAGGAATATTCTGCAACTGCAGAATTGGCTGAGTGGTTCTCATCGCCACAGAAGAAAATAAGAATAGTTTATTTTTTTTTAAATTTTTTTTTTAGGCAGAGTCTCGCTCTGTTGCCTAGAGCTCTGTTGGCTAGAGTGTAGTGGCATGATCTCGGCTCACTGCAACCTCCACCTCCCAGGTTCAAGTGATTCTCCTGCCTCAGCCTCCGGAGTAACTGGGACCATGGGCTTGTGCCACCCATGCCTGGCTAATTTTTGTATTTTTTATAGAGACGGAGTTTCACCATGTTGGCCAGGCTGGTCTCAAACTCCTGGCCTCAGGTGATCCACCCGCCTCGGCCTCCCAAAGTGTTGGGATTACAGGCATGAGCCACTGCACCTGGCTGGATAGTTTTCTTCATGGCAGAAAAGGCAAGAGAGACCCCCAAAACATCCTGCTCACCAAGCAATTCAATTGCTGACTCTCCTGATCAGAGAGTACTGCCATTTGTGAACCCTCTCCACAACCATATACCTTACCCAGTTCCCCAATCTTCTAGCCACTGAGAGTTTCTGCACTAACAGGTTCCCAAACTGCTTGATTTTGACGGTATTTCCTTCTCTGTGCCTTTCTTAACAATATTAAAAGGAAAAAGCGCTTTGAGATGACATACAATCTATCCAGAGGCATCTCTTTCTCTTCTCTCTTTCTTCCTCTCCTCTCCATCCCAACCTCCCACTCATCTTGGCTATAGAAGAGAAAACATATACCATGTAAGTTTTTGGCAGCTACTTTTTGATTATGAGTGACAGACATCTTTATTTTAGGATGAAACTGACAACATAAAGACAGAGCAAAGAGAAAGAATAAGGTCTCTGGACAGCGTCAATTTAACCATTGAATTATATCAATACTTAATCTAATAAACTGCTAAAATTCCAGTTATATGAGTCCTTTTGTTGTTTAAAGCCCATTTAACTATTTTCTGTTACTTGCTCCCAAACACATTCTAATACACCCAATGACCAGGAAGAAAGTATCTTTTCCAAATAACCCAGAATACATAAAAAGTGAGTCAGAATTGAATTCTACAAATACTATGCATGCTACACACATAAGATCTTGTGCTTAGCACCGTGGGGAATATAAAAATCAATTAAGCACAGCATGTTGTAATAGAAATAGACTTTGAAGTCAGATGAACCTGGATGCAATCCTACTTTGGGGAAGTAACTTAATTTCTCTAAGCTTTAGTTTTCTCATCTACAAAATGGAAGAAATAAGATTATAGCATTGTGAGAATTATAGTTAATATACAGTATCAACCATAGCATTCTGCCCATAGTGGGAGTTTAAATAACTAATAGTTGTTATGGTTTAAGAAATGGGAGAAATTCTTTACTCTCCAATGGGGCAGAAAACACAAATACTTATGATCTGCTGACTGGGATATTTACAGGGCATGGTTGATTGTCAAAGGTTCCAATTCTTCGCCTTCTACTGAATCTGTGCCTTTTGACACATAACTTTGCGGCATATTCCTGATAAGGGCAGAGCATACTTCCTACCCCTGGACTCAAGCATGTGACTTGCTTTGTCCAATGGGATGTTGGCCAAGCAAATCTGAACATAAGGAGAGTCATGAAAATCAGTTGTGCAAATGGACTGTCATATTCTTGCTATTCTGGTATCATCTTAAAAAGGACAAGTCCAGTCTAGCCCACTGGCCCCAGAAGGAGGATGAGCCAGAGCAAAGTTCTCCCAGCAAATTTCAGCCTAGAGCAGACCACCAGCTGACCTGCAGATGCATGAGTGAGCCTGAGATCAGCACAACTGCCAAATCTAGCCCCACTCAGTTCAGCTAACTCTGGAAATGTATGAGAAATAAACGTTTATTGTATGCTTTTGAGGTTTTGTGGCTGGAGGGCAACAGCTAACCAATACACAGAATTATATTTTCTGTTAAAAAAAAAACAAAGATTTACACTTCCCTGATACTTGTGACTAAGTGAAAGACAAGGTTAGGTCTTGTGAATGAAAGACATACTTATGGTACATTCCTATTCTTTTTTTTTTTTTTTTTTTTTTTTAAGAGGTCTCTCTCTGTTGCTCAGGCTGAAGTGCAGTGGTACAATCATGGCTCATTGCATTCTCAACCTTCAACCTCCTGGGCTCAAGCAATCATCCTGTCTCAGCCTCCCAAGTAGCTGAGACTGTAGGTGTGTATCACCACATCTGGCTGATTTTTTTAATTTTTTGTAGAGTCTGGGTCTCACTATGTTGCCAAGGCTGGTTTCAAAATCATGGCCTCAGGCAATCCTTCTGCCTCTACCTCCTAAAAGTGTTGGGATTATAGGCATGAGCCACTGCACCCAGCCTCAATACAGATTCATATTTCAACTCATTAAATTTAAAAGGTTTCATGTGACTTTTCACCAAACCGTTTTCACTATATATTTTTTGAAACAGGGTCTTGCTCTGTCACCAAGGCTGGAATACAGTAGTGCAAGTATGGCTCACTGCAGCCTCAACCTCCTGGGCTCAGGTGATCCTCCTACCTCAGCCTCTCCAATAGCTGGGACTACAGGTGCATGCTACCACACCTGACTAATTTTTGTATTTTTTGTAGAGACAGGCTTTTGCCATGTTGCCCAGGCTGGTCTCAAATTTCTGAGCTCAAGCAATCTGCCCACCTTGGCCTCTGGAAGTGTTGGGATTACAGGCGTGAACTACCATGCCCAGACTATGCTTTCACTTTAACAAATACTAGTTTGCTTAAAAACTTGAGTCAGCTGGCCGGGCGCGGTGGCTCACACCTGTAATCCCAGCACTTTGGGAGGCCAAGGCAGGCGGATCACCTGAGGTCAGGAGTTCAAGACCAGCCTGACCAACATGGAGAAACCCCGTCTCTACTAAAAATACAAAATTAGCCGGTCATGGTGGCGCATGCCTGTAATCCCAGCTACTCAGGAGGCTGAGGCAGGAGAATTGCTTGAATCTGGGAGGTGGATTGCAGTGAGCTGAGATCGGGCCATTGCACTCCAGCCTGGGCAACAAGAGTGAAACTCCGTCCCCCCAAAAAAAAAATCTTTAGTCTATCATTACTACAGGTAGTTTAAAAATAAAAACTAAGTGTCTGACTGTTCCAAGTTCAATTAATGTCTACAATTACAAAGAAGACTCATGGAAATGGTTCAAGCCCAGGAAAGTCCAGATCACTAATGTATATGGGAAATATTCTTCCTAATAATGTCAATGTTTTATAGGTATTAATGAGTGCCATGCTTGTCTACTGTAATTATTGACAAATAAATGTGAAGAGAAATGAAGAATGGTACTCACATTACTTTGGAGGACAAGCATTCCACCAACTGAAAAGTATTTGGTGAATGTCATCTAAGTTTCAAGGACTGTGCTAGATATTTTTAATAATTTATTTTTTATTATCCTTACCATATAGTTGTGCTGCCAAGTCAAATTATAAGGCAATTAAACCTAGAAGTCTCGAAAGACCTATGCCATCAAGGCCTTTGCTGATCCCTTCTAAAAATAACCAAGAGCATTTGGCTATTTGGGCTTCATCACTACCAGTCTATTAACATCATATTAAAAATTACTAATATCATAAGCTATGTCAAAATCTCATTAATGCTGCTGGAAAGACTGGCAATAAATACTCTTCCATAAAGTACACATTGTATGTTTTATATGGCTATAAAGAAGCTAACAAGCAGCAGATTAAGTACAACATGGCCAAGAGAATATTGCATTATGATCACTCATTACTGTCATTTCCACCACAACCTGCTTTAAAATATGCAACTTAACACAGATTTTAAAGGATGTTCTTCTCTGTCGGCAAAATTAACACACCAGCCCTTCCAATGAATTCACATTTCAGAGAACAATCACACATGCAGGGAATGCATCAAATACTTTTATGCTTGTTAGCGTCAGAACTCTGGTAGACAGAAGGAAGGGGAGAATTTTATCTCTGAAGAATTTATAGACTCACTTCCAAGAAAAAAAATACATGGCAAATGTTTCTTGATCTGGGGTGCTGGTTATGGGTGTGTTCATTTGTAAAAATTTTGTGAGTGGTACTTTTCATATGTATACTTTTTCTGATATGTTATACTTCAGTAAAAAGTCTAATTTAATGACACTAACAGCGGTATAGGACTAAGTACAAAATGAAAAATATTAACAATTCAGAGTTCAGAAGAGGGACTAGTCACTGTTATTTTGTTCAAAGAGTTAACATGTATTAAATAATTTATACATGCCAGGCACTGTACTAAATAAGTATTTTATATTTCATCCTCCCAACATCCTTGTGAGGTCAACATTATATCAACAGCATTTGCCACAATTAATACTCCTTCCTTGAAACTCTTTCCTTTTCATTACAGGCCAGCACGTTCTTCTGGTTTTCTACCTACCTCACTAACTGCTCCTTCTCAGTCTGTCCTTCTCCCCAGACTTTCATTCATTCATTCATCTATCTATCTATCGACAGGGTCTCACTCTATGTATGTATGTATGTATGTATGTATGTATGTACGTACGTATCTATCTATCTATCTATCTATCTGTCTATCTATCTATCTATCTATCTATCTATCTATCTATCTATGTATCTAGAGACAGGGTCTCACTCTGTTGCCCAGGCTGGAGTGCAGTGGCACAATCATGGCTCACTATAGCCTCAAACTCCTGGGCTCAAGCAATCTTGCTGCCCCAGACTCCTGAGTAAATAGGACTACAGGTACATGCCATCACATCCAGCTAATTATTAATTTTTTTTTTTTTTTTTTTTTTTTTTTTTTTTTGTAGAGACAGAGCCTTGCTATGTTGCCCAGGCTGGTCTCGAAATCCTGGTCTTAGGTAATCCTCTCACCTCAGACTCCCAAATATTCTAGGGCTCAGCTCTTGGTCATCTTCTCTATCTAAACTCCCTGGGGCAGGTATTATTAATTATTATTATCCCCATTATACAGATGGAAACTTTGAGATACAGACAGATTCAAACGTATGTAATCAAGACTTCAGAGGCCATGCTCTTAACCTCTTCACCATTCTGTCTTCTTTGGCTTTCCATTTAAGAGGCAGGGCATAGCTGCACACATTCCACATTCTAGTGCCTTCAGTAACTGAGAAAAGAGAGAGACTGAGGCACATGGGACCCTCTTTCATAAGCTATTAAGGACTAATACCAGTTACCAAGCCAGTAAAAAACCAACACTCTTGCAAATTCTGTTAAACAACTTTCCTTCCTAAGTTTCTTCACTTTGTACTTTGGTAATTGCTTCTCAAGGAGGAATGTGAAAAGAATCTAGAACATAGATTCTCAAATCCAGATGCTCATGAAATAATCTGAGGAGCTTTTAAAAATATAGATGTAATAGGCCCTATACAAACCTATTAAACCTAGAAGATTCCAGGAATCTGTGTTTCCAAGGAGCACCCAAGCAAGGTCTGAAGTTGATAACTTGGTACCTGAATTGGCTCTAAAGAGAGTTCTCTGATCCTCGGAGGATGAATAATGACTATCACATATTCCGCCTAGCAGAGGCTGGAAATGAAACGAGAATGAAGATGTAAACTGATTCCAACAAGTAATAAGACCAACCAGGAAACCACAGCAGGGACTGTGGAATTCTAGATCAGGACAGCAAACATTACCAGGTGGTCTGGTAATTTGTTGCCATAGAGAGTTTGCAGTCAAGTGCTGTCATCCCTTGGCTTAGGATGGAGTCATATCTAGGCAGCAAGAGCTAACTTAATACTTTAATACTTGAGCACTCATATTGTCAGAGTATTCACCAAGTATTATGAGGGAATAGAAGGACATTAAGAAATACTGCCCATTCTGCACATGTACCCCAGAACTTAAAGTGTATGTGTGTGTGTGTGTATATATATATATATATATATATATAAAGAAATACTGCCATTGTTCCCAGGCAACAGAATAAAGCATTATTAACACTGCCATTTTTGCATAAACATAAATGCACATACATTTTGTTTACATATGCAAGCAACACTTACTATGGAACTATAAATGCTGAAACTAAGGCAAATACGTTACTTCAACACTTACTGATGTCTTACCTCTGTAAGTGCATGCAATTGTCCTTGATGAACACATACACCCATGAACCTAAAGAACAAGACAGAATTATTTAACAAGTGAAAAGGACACAAATATAAATTCATATAGAGAAATCAGGTTAGTTACCCATGCATTAGAAACAACCTGTGGGGTGCGGCATGATGGCTTACATCTGTAATCCCCGCACTTTAGGAGGCAGAGGTGTGCGGATCACCTGAGGTCAGGAGTTCAAGACCATCCTGGCCAACATGGTGAAACCACATCTCTATTAAAAATACAAAAATTAGGCAGGTGTGGTGGCATGCGCCTGTAGTCCGAGCTGCTCAGGAGACTGAGGCAGGAGAATCCCTTGAACCTGGAAGGCAGAGGTTGCAGTGAGCTGAGATCGCACCATTGCACTCCAGCCTAGGGGACAAGAGCGAGACTTTGACTCAAAAAAAAAAAAAAAAAAAAGAGACTGCATCTAAAAAAAAAAAAAGGAAAGATAGATAGAAAAGAAAGGAAGGGAAAGGGAAAGGCAAAGAGAAAGGGAAAGGGAAAGGAAAGGAAGAAAGAACCTGTGAAGCCCCCTGCTATCTTGTACAGCCCTGTAGACTCTTAATCTTTTTGTTGTTTTTAATTATTTCAAGAGTTTTAGGGGTACAGGTGGTTTTTGGTTATATGGATTAGTTTTTTTACTGGTGATTTCTGGGATTTTGGAACACCTGTCACCTGAGCATTGTACACTGTACCCCATATGTGGTTTTGTTGCTTTTTTTTTGAGACAGAGTCTCACCCTGTTGCCAAGCTGGAGTACAGTGGCATGATCTTGTCTCACTGCAACCTCCGCCTCCCGGGTTCAAGCAATTCTCCTGCCTCAGCCTCCAGAGTAGCTGGGACTACAGGCATGCGCCACCACGCCCAGCTAATTTTTGTATTTTTAGTAGAGACGGGGTTTCATCATGTTGGCCAGGATGGTCTCAATCTCTTGACCTTGTGATCCACCCGCCTCGGCCTCCCAAAGTGATGGGATTACAGGCGTGAGCCACCGCACCCAGCCCCATATGTAGTTTTTTATCCTTCATCCCCCTCCCAACCTTTCCCCCCAGGTCCTCAGGGTTCATTATATCATTCTTACGCCTTTGCATAAGATTTGGCATAAGACTCTTAATCTTGATTAAGATGCCAGGCTGATAAATTTCTAAATTTACCATGAAGTATCTGGTTGTAGCAAGACCTGGTGGTAAAAAGCAATGGTGGAAGAAGGAGAGTAGTCTTGAAAACAGCATGGTATAATGGAAAAAGCCCCAATTGGAAGTAAATAAACTTGATGCTGGTTTCAGCTCTGCCATTACCTAACTAAATGCTTACACACAGACACAAAGTCACTATTTCTTTTTAGTTTACACATTTAAGTGATATTTGAAGTTTTTCTCAACCAACAGGTTATATTTATATATATGAATGATTTTTAAATAAAAACCATAAATCAATGAGTATGACTGATGATGATCATAAAGTAGGAGAAGATAAACGTCTTAAAGCCATTAACAATACCCAAGTCCCAAGTAAGTTCTAGTTTAGAAGAGCAAAGGAATGGGAAGAGACTGACTACAAGCAGAGTGTAAGGCACAGCAGTGACTGTGTTAGAAAGGATCATAAAATTTCCAGGAAGACAGGGTCCATGTCATATTCTTCCCTGTGTTCACAGAACCTAACACCACCTAGTAAACAAAGAGTAAGCAAATTCAGTAAATGATTGCTGAGTGAGAAGAAACAAAGGAGAATGCCTGGTTGGCTATAATATCACAGCAGAGTTTTTAAAACATGCTGCTTCCACATTTCAACTAATGTGGAAATATCCCAGCATTTTGGGAGGCCAAGGCGGGTGGATCACCTGAGGTCAGGAGTTCAAGACCACCCTGGCCAACATGGTGAAACCCTGTCTCTACTAAAAATACAAAAGTTAGCTGGGCATGGTAGCAGGTGCCTGTAGTCCCAGCTACTCAGGAGGCTGAGGCAGGAAAATCACTTGAACCCGGGAGGCGGAGGCTGCAGTGAGCCGAGATCGTGCCATTGCACTCCAGCCTGGGCAACCAGAGCAAAACTCTGCCTCAAAAATAAATAAATTGATTAATTAATTAATAATAAAAATAAAATAAGATGGGTCATTTTTCTCTAAATGTTCATACAACTCCCCAATCACTAGAATTTTGAGGGTATGCCATTAATTTATTAAACAATTATTTATTGAATGGCTGCTATGTTGAAAGTATTAAGGACAGAGAGTAAATAAAAACTTTCATTCTAGGGTCATTCTGTTGGAGGGCAATTATAATAAAAAGATAAATTATGCAGAATGTGGTTAAATTGTATACATGAACTGCTGTTTCTAGTCAGCCTCTTTTAGAAAGACTGCTTCTCTGAGATTAAATTATATCCCTGCCTAGGAATAATTCTATTCCCATTATCCTACTATAACAAAAACAGTTAAAGTAAAATATGATAAGCTACATTTCCTGCATGATTAAGGCTTTCCAAACTATGATGGGTACTAGCAGGAATTGGCTAACTATGGCCAACTACCTGTTTTTATAAATTAAGTTTTACTAGAACATAGATATGGTATTATCTATGGCTTCTTTGATGTTATAATGGCAGAGTTGAATAGTTGTGACAGAGACTGTGTGACTTGTAAAGACTAAAATATTTACTATCTAGCCCTTTATAGAAAAAGTCTGCTGACTACAATGGTTTGAATGTTTGCTCCCTCCAAAACTCATAGTGAAACTTAATTCCCAACGTGGCAGTATTGAGAGGTACGGCTTTTTTTTTTTTTTTTTTTTTGAGACGGAGTCTCATTCTGTTGCCCAGGCTGGAGTGCAGTGGCGCAATCTCGGCTCACTGCAAGCTCCGCCTCCCTGGTTCACGCCATTCTCCTGCCTCAGCCTCCCAAGTAGCTGGGACTACAGGCGCCCGCCACCACGCCCGGCTAATTTTTTGTATGTTTAGTAGGGACGGGGTTTCACCGTGTTAGCTGAGATGGTCTCGATCTCCTGACCTTGTGATCTGCCCGTCTCAGCCTCCCAAAGTGCTGGGATTACAGGCGTGAGCCACCGCGCCCGGCCGAGAGGTATGGCTTTTAAGAGGTGATTGGGTCATGAGGGCTCTGCCTAATCCATTCATGGATTAATGGATTATTGCAGGAATGAGTCTGGTAGCTTTCTAAGAGGAGGAAGAGACTGGGCACAGTGGTTCATGCATATAATCCCAACACTTTGAGTGGTCAAGGCAGAAGGATCGCTTGAATCCAGGAGTTCAAGACTAGCCTGGGCAATATAGGGAGACCTGAGACCTCGTCATATACATATGTTAGCTGGGTGTGGTCACACACTTTTGTGGTCTCAGTTACTCAGGAGGCTGAGGTGGGAGGACCACTTGAGCCCAGGAAGTTGAGGCTGCAGTGAGCTGAGATCATGCCACTGTACTCAAGCCTGGGTGACAGCGTGAGACCCTGTCTCCAACAAAAATACACAGGAAGAGAGACCTGATCTGGCATACTCAGCCCCTTTGCCATGTGATGCCCTGAGCCACTTCGGGACTCTGCAGAGAGTCCCCACCAGCAAGAAGACTCTCACCAGATGTGGCCTCTCAACCCTGGACTTCTCAGCCTCCATAACTGTAAGAAATAGTTTCCTTTTCTTTATAAATTACCCAGTTTCTGGTATTCTAAGCAATAGAAAACACTAAGGCATTGACCCTTCCTCTAGAGCACAGGGATATCTCTCCATTTCCACCTGGGAGACATTAAGAAAGTTACCTAATCTTTATAAATCGCAATTTCCTCATCTATAAAAATGGACAGAAAAATAACACCACCTTAAAAGGTTGTTATGAGAATTAAATGGGATATTTTCAAGTATACTGTGTAGCAATGCCTAGTGTATGCTCAAATAAAGGTCAGTGGTTTTTATTTTATCATTATTAACAATCCTAAATTACATTATCCTTTACATGGCTATGAGAGTTACCTTTTCAAAACACAAAATATGTCATTCTCTTTTTCATAACCCTTCAATGGTTCCCTTCTGCCTACAGAATAACATTAAAACTTCCCATGATCCACTCCAACTTATCTTTGAAACCTCACATTTTCCCATGAGCCTTATTCTTCATCCACCTGTCCTTTTCCTCTGGGCTCTATGACCCTAGCCTACAAATATATAGTTAAATTTCCCTCATCTTAAAAAATTCTTCCGCCAGGCACAGTGGCTCACACCTGGAATCCTGGCACTTGGGGAGGCCAAGGCGGGCAGATCTCTTGAGCCCAGGAGATCAAGACCAGCCTGGAGAATACGGTGAAATATGATCTTTACAAAAAATACAAAATAATAATTGTATTTTTTATACAAAAAAATACAAAAATTAGCCAGGCATGGTGGCATGCCTGTGGTCCCAGCTACTCAGTAGGCTGAGGCAGGAGGATCACTTTAGCCAGGGAGGCAGAAGTTGCAGTGAGCCAAGATCACGCCACTGCACTCCAGCCTGGGCAACAGAGCGAGACTCTGTCTAAAAAATAAAAATAGAAATCTTCCCTTGCCCCCTCACTAAAATATGAATCTAATTCACTTTTTATTTGTTACCAAACTTTAAGAATAGGTTACATTCTCTATCTATGTTTCTAAGGTTTTTTTTTTTTCTTTAAAAAGAGTCTTACTTTGTTGCCCAGGCTGGAGTGCAGTGGTGTGATCACTGCTCATTGCAACCTTGAACTTCTGGGCTCAAGCAATCCTCCCACCTCAGCCTCATGAGCAGCTAGGACTATAGGTGTGCACCACCACGCCTGGCTAATTTTGGTATTATTATTATTATTGTTATTGTTATTATTATTATTATCATAGCGATAGGGTCTCATTATGTTGCCTAGGCTGGTCTGGAACTCCTGGCCTCAAGAAATCCTCCCACCTCAGCTTCCTAAAGTGCTGAGCTTACAGGCGTGAGCCATTGCACCCAGCCTCTAGCTACATTTCTTTTTTTTTTTTTTTGAGATGGAGTCTCACTCTGCGCCCAGGCTGGAGTGCAGTGGCGCGATCTCGGCTCACTGTAAGCTCTGCCTCCCGGGTTCATGCCATTCTCCTGCCCCAGCCTCCCGAGTAGCTGGAACTATAGGCGCATGCCACCACACCCAGCTAATTTTTGTATTTTTAGTAGAGATGGGGTTTCACTGTGTTAGCCAGGATGGTCTTGATCTCCTGACCTCGTGATCCGCCCCCCTCAGCCTCCCAAAGTGCTGGGATTACAGGTGTGAGCCACTGCGCCCAGCCCTTTTTTTTTTTTTTTTTTTGAGACAGGGTCTTGCTTTGTTGTCCAGGCTGGAGTACAACAGTGTGATTATAGCTCACTGCAACCTCAACCTCATTGGCTCACGTGATCCTCCCACCTCAGCCTCCTGAGTAGCTGGGACTACAGGCACACATCACCACAGCGAGCAAATTTTTTAATTTTTTAAATAGAGCTGGGGTCTTGCTGTTGTCCAGGTTGGTCTTGAACTGTTTGTGTCAAGCAATCCTCCTGCATTGGCCCCATATCACTCTTGAAACTTTTCTCACTATGGAAGATTCAGAGCTTCATTTATCTCTGCATTTCTACTACCTAGTATAGTGTCTGGAACACAGTAAGCTAGTTATCAGTAAAGATTTATTAAATGGCATGAATGATTTTTATGACTTGGAAACTTGGTTGAAGTTCCTTCCTTGAATTGGAATACTATATTTACTGAAAATCATCCAAGATCAGCTAAAATTTCATCTTCTATACAAAGGATCTCCTGGACGCCCTTAGCATTAATCTCTTCTCTCTCTCTTTTGTCTCTCCCTACCTCCCACAGTATAACTAGCACTTTTCACCCTACTTTGAATGACTGCTAATTAGCATTAAGTTAAGTGGTCTGGATCTAGAGTTAGACTGCTTTGATTTGAATCCTGGCTCTACCATTTACTGATGACCTCTCTGCAATTCAGTTTCTTCACATGCAAAATGTAAATATTAATATTACCTAACCCATATGGTTATTGTGAAGATGAAATAAGATAACTTGGGCTTCTGGAACATAATAAACACTAGAAAATGTTAGCTATTCTTGCTAATCTAACATTTCTGACTCCTTCCCCAGACTGGAATATAAGGTATTGATTGATTGATTGATTGACTGATTGAGACTGTCTCGCTCTGTCACCCAGGCTGAAGTGCAGTGGTGCAATCTTGCCTCACTGCAACCTCCGCCTCCCGGGTTCAAGCAATTCTCCTGCCTCAGCCTCCTGAGTAGCTGAGATTACAGGCACCTGCCACCATGCCCAGGTAATTTTTGTATTTTTAGTACAGACAGGGCTTCACCATGTTGGCCAGGCTGGTCTTAAACTTCCTCACCTTAGGTGATCCACCCACCTCAGGTGATCTGCCTGCCTTAGCCTCCCAAAGTGCTGGGATTACAGGCATAAGCCACCGTGCTTGGCCTATTTGAATATTTTTTAGCCCGGCGCGGTGGCTCACGCCTGTAATCCCAGCACTTTGCGAGGCAGAAGCTGGCGGATCACCTCAGGTCGGGAGTTTGAGACCAGCCTGACCAACATGGAAAACCCTGTCTCTACTAAAAATACAAAATTAGCCAGGTGTGGTGGCACATGCCTGTAATCCCAGATACTCGGGAGGCTGAGGCAGGAGAATTGCTTGAACCCAGGAGGTGGAGGTTGTGGTGAGCCGAGAGCGCACCATTGCACTCCGGCCTGGGCAACAAGAGTGAAACTCTGTCTCAAAAAAAAAAAAAAAATTTATTTTTTAGAGATAGTATTGCTTTGTTGCCCAGGCTGGTCTCAAATTCCTGGGCTCAAGTGATCCTCCCACCTCGGCCTCCCAAAGTGCTAGGATTACAGGCATGAGCCACTATGCCGGGCCAAGGCTTTTAAGAGTACAGATCTTGTCTCATTTGTTTCTATATACAATGTCTCACACAAAATGTTTCGTACACAAGTTGCTAAACACACATTTATTGAATGAAGAAGCAATAATTACCAAATTAACTTCACAATGTAAACTCGTGTTACATTAAAGAACATTAGAGGCAAGTACAAGGCAGTAAAGCCAAGAGGTATTTGATTTTCTTTAATCAAATATTTATAAAGAAGTCAGGCAATAGGATTCTACTAGAAAAACAATGGCTACATTTTAAAATCATGGGTTTTTCTAGAAGCTGAAAAGACCTGGTTTGGATGTGACACACCCTTGCTTTTCTTCCTCCCAGGCCCACTATTATTTTGACCACACCATCTACAGAGATGTCATAGCACATCCAGGCAGGCACTGGCTTCATAGGAGAGTTTTCTGTCTGCTTTCTTCCCACCCTCTACTCAAATAACCATATCACAATCGTGTCACACAACTCTACTTCTACGTGCAACTTTACTGCCTAACCTCTCCCAAATCATTCCTAATGGAAAACCACCACCACATCCAAAGTGGTGTCACAGAGCTGGCAAGCTGAGACATGCATTAGCTTTATATTGGAAAAAGAGCGGCCGGGCATAGTGGCTCATGTCTGTAATCCCAGCACTTTGGGAGGCCAAGGTGGGAGGATCACGAGGTCAAGAGATCAAGACCATCCTGGCCAACATGGTGAAACCCCATCTCTACTAAAAATACAAAAATTAGCCAGGCGTGGTGGTGGGCGTCTGTAGTCCCAGCTACTCGGGAGGCTGAGGCAGGAGAATAGCTTGAACCTGGGAGATGGAGGTTGCAGTGAGCTAAGATTGTGCCACTGCACTTCAGCCTGGGTGACAGTGAGACTCCGTCTCAAAAAAAAAAAAAAAAAGAGCTTGAACAGAGTTAATCACTCTAAATGTTGTAAAAAAACAATATACTATAAAGAGGAAATATTACTCATCCTTGACAGGGAAGTGACATGTGCCTAGAAAAGCACGTAACATCAACAATAAGTTTTCACTAAAGTTTTTATTGCTAACTATATCAAAAATCGAAATGAAGCCTCAAATCATTGTCATGTCACAAGACCTTAAAAATTTATATTCTGAATGATTTTTATTCCCCTATCCCCATACCCCACCCCAAATCATACCAGCTAGAATTACTTAACTCAGGAAGGGGGTGCTTTCTTAATGCATGTGCTTTGAGAGTAAGTGATTACTCAACTTTGTTATTTTTAGTTTCATATGACATACAGATTCATGTTGAGAAGGAGGGTTGCTTTTTTTTTTGAGACAAGGTCTTGCTCTGTCGCCCAGTCTGGAGTGCGGTGGCACAGTGCAATAGTGTGATCATAAGCTCGCTGCAGCCTCAACCTCCCAGTCTCAAGTGACTCTCCTGTCTCACTGTCTCAGCCTCCTGAGCAGCTGGGACTACAGGCACACACCACAGCTGGCTTTTTTTTTTTTTTTTTTTTTGGTAGAGACAGGGTCTCACTGTGTTGCCTAGGCTGGTCTCAAGTTCCTGGCCTCAAGTGATCTTCCTGCCTTGGCTTCCCAAAGTAAGCCACCACACTAGGCCAAGGATTGCTTTTGTACTTTAGACCACTGTGGAAACAAACCCATGAAGGATCTTGTCAAAATGCAGACTCGCACTCTGTAGGTCAGGGATGGGGCCTAAGAATCTGAATTTCTAAACTCCCAGGTGATGCTGATGTCGCTTGGTCTACAGACTACATGCAGTGAGTAGCAAAGCCTTTAAACAAATGACTGTTTATCACTGCTCTAAAGATAGTAAGACCAACAGGAAACTCTTTTTTTTTTTTTTTTTTTTTTTTTTTTTAAAGACAGAGCCGCACTCTGTTGCCCAGGCTGCAGTACAATGGCTCAGTCTTGGTTCACTGCACCTCTGCCTCCTGAGTTCAAGCGATTCTCCTGCCTCAGCCTCCCGAGTAGCTGGGATTAGAGGCGGCCACCACACCTGGCTAATTTTTGTATTTTTAGTAGAGACGGGGTGTTTCACCATGTTGGCTAGGCTGGTCTCGAACTCCTGACCTCAAGTGATCCGCCCGTCTCAGCCTCCCAAAAGGCTGGGATTACAGGCATTAGCCACTGCACCCGGCCCCAACAGGAAACTCTTAACTCTGATACTACTGGTAAACTAGACTTTGTCTAGAGACTAGAGTCTTTTCTATAGCATGATTTACCATTCCCCATAAAGTGTCATTATTAAGCTTTTCCACATCTTTGCCTTTTCTCAGACTGTTCCCACTACCTAAAATGCCCCTCTCTTCATTTCCACATACCTTACTTAACGATGGGGATACATTCTGAGAAATGCATTCTTAGGTGATTTTGTGGTTGCATAATCATAGAGTGTACTTACATAAACCTGGATGGTATAGCCTACAATACCCTCAGGCTATACGGTAGAGTCTATTGATCCTAGGCTACAAGCCTGTACAGCATATTACTGTACTGAATACTGTAGACAACTGCAACAAAATGGTAAGTTTTGTGTATCTTAACATATCTAAACATAGAAAAGGTACAGTAAAAATATGGTATTATAATCTCATGGAACCA
This sequence comes from Homo sapiens, assembly GCF_000001405.40. NCBI lineage: Eukaryota > Metazoa > Chordata > Mammalia > Primates > Hominidae > Homo > Homo sapiens. The sequence continues at coordinate 45,395,452 of NC_000001.11, forward strand.
CCATCATGTATGCGGTCTGTTGTTGACCAAAACATCTTATGCACTGCATTACTGTAGTTAGATTCTACTCATCCTCAAATACCAGTTCAAATACTTCCTTCTCATGTTCTTCAACTACCAAGGCAGCCATTTACACTCCTTTCTTTTCTTTTCTTTTCTTTTTTTTTTTTTTTGAGACAAGGTCCCACTCTGTCACCCAGGCTGGAGTGCAGTGTTGCAATTACAGCTCACTGCAACCTTGAACTCCTGGGCTCAAACAATCTTTCTGCCTCACCCTCCCAAATATGCTAGGATTACAGGTGTGAGCCACCATGCCCAGCCTATATCACCTTCCTATAGCATCATTTCCAAGCTTTAACTATGTTTTATCACATGCCTTATAACTTTTTTACTAGACCACAAGCTTCTTAACAGCAAGATACCATTCTCTTGCCTGGCATATGACAATATATAAACGCTTGTTAGTCTTTCTCTGAAGGAGGTTAAAAATAAAAAACACTTGCTGGGTAAATTATGGTTTGTTTTGTTTTGTTTTGTTTTTGAGGCAAGATCTAGCTCTGTCAACTACGCTGGAGAGCAGTGGCACCATCATAGCTCACTGCAGCCTCAAACTCCTGGGCTCAAGTGATTCTTCACTGGGTAAATTTATTTTTATTTATTTTTATTTATTTTTATTTTGAGACTGGGTCTTGCTCTGTCACCCAGGCTAGAATGCAGCAGCGCTATCTGGCCTCCATGTTCAAGTGATTCTCCCACCTCAGCCTCCCAAGTAGCTAAGATTACAGGCATGTGCCCCCATACCTGGCTAATTTTTTTGTATTTTTAGTAGAGACAGGGTTTCACCATGTTGGCCAGGCTGGTCTTGAACTCCTGACCTCAAGTGATCCACCCGCCTCAGCCTCCCAAAGTACTGGGATTACAGGTGTGAGCTACTGCGCCCAGCCTTCACTGGGTAAATTTAAAACACAACTCAAAATTTTTTGAGTACCTATTATGTGCCAGGCACTGGCAACGATGATAATGATGATGGTATGAGATAACTCTTTTTTTTTTTTGAAACAGAGTCTCACTCTGTTGCCCACGCTGGAGTGCAGTAGTGCAATCTCAGCTTACTGCAACCTCTGCCTCCCAGGTTCAAGCAATTCTCCTGCCTCAGCCTCCCGAGTAGCTGGGATTACAGGCGCCTGCCACCATGCCTGGCTAATTTTTATATTTTTAGTAGAGACAGGGTTTTGCCACGTTGGCCAGGCTGGTCTCGAACTCCTGACCTCAGGTGATCCACCTGCCTCGGCCTCCCAAAGTGCTGGGATTACAGGCATGAGCCACCACGCCCGGCCTGGTATCAGCTAAGTTGTTTTTTTTTTTTTTTTTTTTTTTGAGATGGAGTCTCACTTCGTTGCTCTGTTGCCCAGGCTGGAGTGCAGTGGCACAATCTTGGCTCACTGCAACCTCCACCTCCCAGGTTCAGGGGATTCTCCTGCCTCAGCCTCCCAAGCAGCTGGGATTACAAGCGTGCACCACCATGCCTGACTAATTTTGGTATTTTTATTAGAGACAGCATTTTACCATGTTGGCCAGGCGGGTCTCAAACTCCTGACCTCAAGTGATCCGCCATCCTCGGCCTCCTGAAGTGCTGGGATTACAGGTGTGAGCCACCACACCCAGCCTGGTATCAGCTAACTCTTAATGAGCACTTACTATGCAGGCATTGTTCTAAGCACTTTACCTTATATGAAATCATTTAATCCTCATAATAACCCAATGAAGTAGTACTTTTATTATCCCAATCATACCAATAAAGAAACTGAGGCACAGAGATTAAGTAACTTGCCCCAAATCATACAGCTAATAAAAGGCAGAGCCGGGAGTCAAACCTAAACAGTTGATTATAGAGTCTGTGTTCTTAATCACAATGCTATATTACCTCTCTGTATAGTTATACAAAGTATATAAAGATGAGCAAGACACAATCACTTCCCTTGAGAAACTGCTACTCAAAAAGCTTTTGTGGCAGCTTACAGATCCCGATTAAAGTCCAAATTCCTTACCATGTTATTCAAAGGTCTGAATGATCTGATCCAAACCTCTCTTGCTTTATCTCCTATTACATCCACCTGCATTCTCTCTCTTTTCTTTTTCTTTTGCATTTTATAAAATTCTTATTTTTCCAACCCGGACCCAGAGCCAGCACCGCCTGCAGGCTCTGAGGCCACAGGCACCACCTGCATTCTCTATGTTGCAGTTATACAACCTGCCACTTCTAAATATGTCCTGAATCCTCCTACTTCCATATTGTTGTGAGAATGAGTCTCTCTGTCTGGAATCCATTTTTCAAAGCTCTATGAATCCTTAAAAACTTGGCTCAAGAACACCTCCAAATAACAACAACAATAATAGCACCAAACATTTATATAGCATTTAGTGTGCCAGACATGTCCACATATTAAATCACCTAACTCTTTTTGTGTTTTTTAGAGACAGGATCTCACTCTATCACTCAGGCTGGAGTGCAGTGGCGTGATCATAGCTAACTGCAGCCTTGAACTCATGGGCTCACACGATCCTCCCACCTCGGCCTCCAAAATAGCTGAGACTACAAGCATGCACCATCTCACCTGGCTAATTTTTTAATTTTTTTGTAGAGATGGGGTTTCCTTATGTTGTCCAGGCTACTCTCGAACTCCTGGCCTCAAGCAATTCTTCTGTTTCAGCCTCCCAAAGGGCTGGGATTACAGGTGGGAGCCACTGTGCCTGGCCTGTCACTGAATTCTTAAAATAGCTCTTTGAAGTTGGTTATAAGAATCTCTAGCTCAGAGATGTAATTTCAAATATTTCCAATCATAATTAATCTTTCTCGAGGCGGGAGAATCACTTGAGGTCAAGGGTTCAAGACCAGCCTGGCCAACATGGAGAAACCCAATCTCTACCAAAAATACAAAAAAAATTAGCTGGGTGTGGTGGCGTGCACCTGTAGTCCCAGTTACTCAGGAGGCTGAGGCAGAAGAAAATTGCTTGAACCCAGGAGGCAGAGGCTGCAGTGAGCCGAGATTGAGCCACTGCACTCCAGCCTGGGTGACAGAGCAAGCCTCCGTTTCAAAAAAATAATAATAAAAATAAAAATAAACCTCTACTGGAGCATTTATTAGGCCCTGCCTTCTACATCAAGTTTTACCTAATGTCTACCTCTTCCATGATATTAAAAGGTTTTTGAGGGCAGGGATCCTGTGTGTGGAAGAGAATAGCTACTTGTTCAACAAATTGCTTCCCCTTTCCTCCTGAAGTAGATTACATTTCCCAGTGTTTATTATAGTTGGTTAAGACTGTAACACTAAGTTCTGGCCAGTGGTATATGGGCAGAAGTGATTATGTCATTTCTAGGCCTGTTCCATAAAACCTCAACACTATTTTCCACAGCTTCTTCCTTCATCTGCCAGCAGATGCAGAAGATCCAGTGGAGGAACCTGAGGCCCTCTTCTAGGTGAAAATGAGCTCTCCTTCCACCTCTACCCAACCTCCATTGGACTAGGACCTGAAAAAAAAAAAAAAAAAAAAAAAACAAGCCTTTAAGCCACTAGTTAGTCCACCTGGACAACATATACCATGTAGTTTTGTGCCTCTCCATACACTTAAAACATTGCCTTGTTCACAGTTAGTTCTCAGTATTCATTGAACTTAAATAAAAGTTGAAATTTTTTTTTTTTTTTTTTTTTTTTTTGAGACAAGGTCTCCATCTTTTGCCCAGGCTGGAGTGCAGTGGCACGATCTTGGCTCACTGTAGCCTCCACTTCCTGGGCTCAAGCGATCCTCCCACCTCAGCCTCCCAAGTAGCTGGGACTACAGGTACGCACCACCACACCCAGCTAATTTTTGTATTTTTTTTGAGATGGAGTTTTGCTCTTGTTACCCAGGCTAGAGTGAAGTGGCATGATCTCAGCTCACTGCAACCTCCACCTCCCAGGTTCAAGCAATTCTCCTGCCTCAGCATCCCGAGTAGCTGGGATTATAGGCATGCGCCACCACACCCAGCTAATTTTTGTATTTTTAGTAGAGATGGGGTTTCTCCATGTTGGTCAGGGTGGTCTCAAACTCCCGACCTCAGGTAATCCGCCCGCCTTGGCCTCCCAAAGTGCTGGGATTACAGGCGTGAGCCACTGCACCAGGCCTAATTTTTGTATTTTTGTAGAGATGGGGTTTTGTCATGTTACCCAGGCTGGTCTTGAACTCCTGTGCTCAAGCAATCTGCCTGCCTCGGCCTCCCAAATTGCTGGGATTTCACAGGCACGAAGACACTGCACCCTGCCAAAAGTTGAAATTCTTATTCCAAGGCAGGTCTTTTCCTAGGACCTACTATTAGCCAGCAGTCTCCAAAATGGGTAATGAGCCGCATTATCCGTTGGAGTATGGGAAGAAAATGAAAACTTTTACTTATTTTTGATAAAAAGAGAAATTTCATTTTACTAATATTTAATTATGGGTTAATAGTAGCACATGGGGATGTGCTCAAAAATGCTTTCCTAATGGGATACTGAGGTAGGCAGACTAATGGCCCCCCAGAGATGTCTATGTCCTAATCCCCAGAACCTGTGACTGTGTCGCATTATATGGCAAGGGAAATAAATCAAAATTGTAGATGCAATTAAAGTTGCTGGTCAGAAGACTTTAAAAGAGAGATTATCCTGGATTATCACTGTGGGTCCAAAGTAATCACAAGGTCCTCATAGGTGGAAGAGGGAGGCAGAAGAGTCAATATCAGAGTGATGCAATGTGAGAAAGACTCATTGCTGGGTTTGAAGACGGAAGGGGTCTATGAGCCGAGGAATGCAAACAGCCACTGGCAGCTGAAAAAAGTAAGGAAATGGATTCTCCTCTAGAGCCTCCAGAGAGGAATGCAGCCCTGCTGATACCTTGATTTTAGCCCAGTGAGACTCTTGTCAGACCTCTGACTTATAGAACAGTAAGATAAAATAAACGTGTGTTGTTTTAAGCTACTAAGTTTGTGGTAATTCGTTATGATAGCCACAGAAAACTAATAATAGGTACATAACACAAAAAATTGTATGGGTCACTCCCCTGTGATATAACATTAACAGATCTAAAACAAATTTTAGACTTTAACTCTTTGTAAACTAGCATAAGGAAAATAACATTAACATGTTCCTTGGTGGCATTCGCATTCAGTCAGTCAAATATTTATCAAATTCACGGTTCTGTATAAAGCTCAGAGTTAAACATTAAAGCATAAATGTCCTCCCTCAAACTTTATTACCTAAACAAAGAAGTGAACGAAGAGCCAGGCATGGTGGCTCACACCTATAATCCCAGCACTTTGGGAGGCCAAGGCAGGTGAATCACCTGAGGCCAGGAGTTCAAGACCAGCCTGGCCAACATGATGAAACCCCATCTCTACTAAAAATATAAAAATTAACCGGATGTGGTGGCACACACCTGTAATCCCAGCTACTCAGGAGGCTGAGGCACAAGAATTGCTTGAAACCAGGAGGCGGAGGTTGCAGTGAGCCGGTATCATGCCACTGTACTCCATCCAGCCTGGACAACAGAGCGAGACTCTGTCTTAAAAAAAAAAAAAAAAAAGAAGTGAAGAAAGAGGTGTGACATAGTCTAAAACATATCCTTACTCTGATTTAAAAAACACTGACACTACTGGCCAAGTGTGGTGGCTCACATCTGTAATCCCAGCACTTTGGGAGGCCAAGGCAGGTGGATCACCTGAGGTCAGAAGTTTGAGACCAGCCTGACCAACGTGGTGAAACCCTGTCTCTACTAAAAATATAAAAATTAGCTGGGCGTGGTTGCAGCTGCCTGTAATCCCAGCTACTCAGTAGGCTGAGGCAGGAGAATTGCTTGAACTTGGGAGGCGGAGATTGCAGTGAGCCGAGATCTCACCATTGCACTCCAGCCTGGGCAACAAGAGCAAAACTCCATCTCAAAGAAATAATAATAATAAATAAATAAATAATAAAAATTAAAAAAACACTGACACTGCTATTACTACTGTTCATGGACCTCCTGAAGGCTGAATAACAGCACCTGGTAGGAAGAGTTCTGGGGCCACTGTATCAAAGCTGTCAAGAAAATTACTTACTGCTTACCTACAATATACCTGGAAACTGTGCTAATTGCTTTATAAATATATTACCTGAGATGAAATTACCCCCACTTTATCATCTAGGAAAATGAGGTTTGGAGTATTTAAATGACTTGACAAAGGTTAAAGAGGGTACTGGAATCTGGATGTTTGGCTCCAAAGTCTGTGTTTTGCCTTGTGATAATGAGAAAGAAAGAAAAAAAGGCCAGTGGTTCAATAAAACCACTTTTGGTTTTTGATTCATAAAAAAGAACTGCCCTTCTACGAACCAATGAAAATCTACCTGGTTTGCTTTACAAGCTTTTCTGCTGCCAACGTTGAGCAGTAAGCAGCATACATATCATAGGGGTTCTTCTGACCCATACTGGTCTTTCCAGAAAAATGTGATTCTAAAGGTTATGGTAACAACAATTAAGAGGCCTAAATAAACCTATAATACAATGTTAAAACGTGGACATAATTTTGATACTTATGTTTTCTAAAAGGCCTACATCTAAAACACTGAAACCCTGCTAATAACCATTAAAAAAAAAGAAAAGAAAAGAAAAGAGGCCAGGCACAGTGACTCACACCTGTAATCCCAGCACTTTGGGAGATCAAGGTGGGAGGACCACTTGAGGCCAGGAGTTCAGGACCAGTCTGGGCAACATAGTGAGACCCTGTCTCTAAAAAAATAAAAAAATTAAATTAGCCAGGCATGGTGGTGTGTGCTTGTAGTCCCAGCTACTCAGAAGACAGCCAGGAGGATCACTTGAGGTCAGAAGGTCAAGGCTATAGTGAGCTATGACCATACCACTGCACTTCTCTGCCTGGGCAAAACAGCAAGATCTTGTCTTTAAAAAAAAAAAAAAAAGAAAAAGAAAAAAGAAAAAGAAACAGATGCATGCAAAGATTGATGAAACCTAAATAAATTGGTGTACTATTTTTTCTTTTTTTTTTTTTGAGACTGAGTTTAGCTCTTGTTGCCCAGGCTGGAGTGCAATGGTGCGATCTTGGCTGACCACAACCTCTGCTTCCTGGGTTCAAGCGATTCTCCTGCCTCAGCCTCCCAAGTAGCTGGGATTACAGGCATGCAGCACCACACCAAGCTAATTTTGTATTTTTAGTAGAGATGGGGTTTCTCCATGTTGGTCAGGCTAGTCTCAAACTCCCGACTTCAGGTGATCCGCCCACCTCGGCCTCCCAAAGTGCTGGGATTACAGGCATGAGCCAATGCATCCAGCCTATTCTTTTTTAAAAAGTATGTTTTTCCAGAATTTTTATCTAATTTCCTCTCATAATTTTGGAAGAAAGGGACCTGTAACGTACTCTACCAGACTCCACTAACCTTTAACACGTAGCACAAAATAAATTGCTTTGCATTTTACTCCCAAATAATACAAAGATACCATCATTTCTTGGACTTGGGCTAGAAAAAAAAAATCACCAATAACAACAACAAAAAGGCCAGGTACAGCAGCTCACACCTGTAATCCCAGCACTTTGGGAGGCTGAGGTGGGAGGATTGCTTGAGCCCAGGAGTTCAAGATCAGCCTGGGCAACATAGGGAGACCTCATCTCTACTAAATATCAAAAAATTAGCTGGGTGTGGGGCACGCCTGTGGTCCTAGCTACTCAGGAGGCTGAAGTGGAAGGCTTGAGCCTGAGAGGTTGAGACTACAGTGAGCCGTGATGGGAAAAAAAAAAAAAAAGAAAGAAAGAAAAAGATGAAGAAGAAGAAAGAAGAAGAGAAGGCAATGGCTGAGATCTCAAGTCCCAGAAGAACTATGAATCTAAACCCGTAAAAAGGCAGTAATATCCTCGGGTAAGTGCAGTTCAAACATGTTTTAGAGGTATTACATCATGGAAAACTGGTTGTGCTAGGTCTTAGATAGGAGAATTCATAAGGAAAACTCAGCTGAACAGACATTAACCACCAGAGTCTCACATCAGGTGACACTAAGCAGAGCTGGTTCAGTCTCGCTTTCTCCTTTTTGTCTTTGGTTTTTAACAGTCCAATTTTAAGACAGCCAAAGGCAGAACAAACATTGCTTAGCAATCAGATCATGTCAATAGCACTACACATAATAACAAGAGGCCCAATCAAGTTCATGGTCCAATTTTACTTTTTTGGGGTAAAGCAATACAAAGATCTAAAAAGTTAAAGTCAGATCTGCTTGCTTACAAATATTAGAACAGTTTAATAAATAGAAAACAGCCAAGATTTCTGGGAGGAAAATATATACCCTCTATCTTGAATAACAAACTGAAATTAAACAAAGAATGAATTTATAAGTAGTTTAACAAAAATTTTAAATCACATTGCTCAAAACTGCCATGCAAGCGAAAAAAAAAAAAAAAAACAAGTCTCCTGACAAAGGCAGAACTATTAATACATATACATACAGTGACTTTAAATATGGCCAAAAAGCTTTTTCTTAATCCAGGAAGTTCAAAAGAGAACTAATATCCACAAACTCAAGTATTTAAGTTGTCTTCCCAAGCCCTGAAAAAGTTTCTTCTTCCTTTCCAAATTTCTCCTTTATTCTAAAATTACTTATAAATTTACACCAAAGTAACAAAATAGAAATATAGACTTCAATCTATGTGAGCACATTTCTGAAACAATACTCTCACAATGATTTATTTCTTCTCCCTCTCCCAAAGTGAATGAAATGTATGGAGGAAAGAAAATGTCAATCTACTAAGTATGTATCAAGCAATTAATATTTGCAAGGTTTGTGCTCTCCACAGATAAATATTAGAGTACTTGAAATTTTTGTAATGCCTGTCACATATATATTAAGTACAGTGCCATGCAAAGGGGATTAAGTGGGGGCTACAGAAATAAATGTGATGTTCCCTTCTTCAAGGGAACAAACGATGGTGATGTATAACATTTACTGAGCACCTAAGGACGTGTCAGACACTGTTCTAAATACTTTTACAGAGCTTATCTCATTTAATCCTTGTAAAAATATGTGATAAGTATATTTCTATTTTATTTAATTATTTTTTTTTTTTTGAGATGTAGTCTCACTTGATCACCCAGGCTGGATTGCAGTGGCGCGATCTTGGCTCACTGCAACCTCCACCTCCTGGGTTCAAGCAATTCTCCTGCCTCAGCCTCCCGAGTAGCTGGGATTACAGGCATGCGCCACCACGCCGGGCTATTTTTGTATTTTTATTAGAGACGGGGTTTCACTATGTTGGCCAGGTTAGTCTCGAATACCTGAACTTAGGTGATCTGCCCACCTTGGCCTCCCAAAGTACTAGGATTACAGGCCTGAGCCACCACACCAGGCCTATTTCTATTTTAGAGATAAGAAAAATAAAGATTAAGTGGCTCACCTAAGGGCACACAATGAGCAAATGGCGGAGTCAGGGAGTGGATTTTTACCTCTTAAACTTTAAGCTATACAGCCTCAATATATGATACTTCAGATTATTGTGACAGTAGTAATAACAATAATAAAAAATAGTGACAGGTAAGATTTAGTGCCTTTGTACTGTGATCAATTCTTTATGTATATTATCTAATTTAATCTTCCCATCAAGCTGATACAGCAGTACTACTATTATTTCCTACTTCACAGGTAAGAAAACTGAGGTTATAGATATTTCACAATTTGCTCAAGATCCCCTAAATTACTACGAGGCACAACCATCCTGAATCTCTCCTTTGAATTCCAAACTTGTTTATCCAACTGCCAAGTTGATATCTCCTGATCTCCCATTTCCAAAACTGTTCCCCACAATGTCTCCCCAGCACAGTTACTGGCAATTCAATTCTTCCAGTTGTTCAAGTCAAAACCTAAGTAATCTGCACATGTGTATGGTGGTTTGAAATAAAAAATGAATAAATTTAAAGTTTAAAAATTGACAAACAAAAAACCTAATTAAGAGGCATCCTTTATGCCTCCTTCCCTTGTGCTAATATCCCTCACCGATTTCCTCTTTAAAAAATATTCAGGGCCAGGTGCAATGGCTTACACCTGTAATCCCAGCACTTTGGGAGGCCGAGGCGGGCAGATCGCTTGAGCTCAGGAGTTCAAAACCAGTCTGCACAACGTGGTGAAACCCCATCTCTAAAAAATATATCTATATCTATATCTATATATAGATATATATATAAAATCTTAGTGTGTGTATATATCTACATATATATACACACACACACAAAAATTAGCCAGGTGTGGTGGTGTATACGTGTAGTCCCTGCTACTCGGGAGGCTGAGGTGGGAGGATGATTTTAGCCCAGCAGGAGGCCAAGGCTGCAGTGAGCCATGATGGTGTCACTGCACTCCAGCCTGGGCAACAGAGCAAGACCCTGTCTCAAAAAAAAATCTCTATTTTTTCTTGGAGAAATAAGAAAAATTAAAAGAAAGAAGATATTCAGAACCCAGCTGGTTGCAGTGGCTCACACCTGCAATCCCAGTATTTTGGGAGGCCAGGGTGGGAGGACTGCTTGAGCCCAGAAGTCCAAGACTAGCCTGGCCAACATAGTGGGTCAGTCTGTCTCTATAAAAAAATTAAAACAAAAAAATTATCCCAGTGTGGTGGTGCTCACCTGTAGTCTCAGCTACTTGGCAGGCTGAGGCAGAAGAATTGCTTGAGCCAGGGGTTGGAGGCTGCAATGAGCTGTGATCATGCCACTGCACTCCAACATGGACAACAGAGCAAGATCTTATCTCAAAATAAATAATTATGAACAGTATTTTAAAATTTCTCAATAAAATATTTTGAACCTAAAATTATGTGGTTGGCCTGCCAACTAAATGTTAGGGCAAAATAAAGACTTTACCAAATGAGTAAGAACTCAAAGTCTCCAGGGTGTGGTGGCTCATGCCTGTAATCCCAGCACTTTGGGAGGCTGAAGTGGGATGATCACTTGAGGCCAGGAGTTAGAGACCAGTTTGGGCAACATAGAGAGACCTTGTCTCTACAAAAATAAGACAATTAGCTGGGTGTGACACATTTAGGTGGTACACACCTGTAGTACCAGCTGTTGTGAAGGCTGAGGCAGGAGGATCGTTTGAGCCCAGGAGGTCGAGGCTGCAGTAACCCATGATCACACCCACTGCACTCCAGCCTGGGTGACAGAGCAAGGCTCTGTCTAAAAATAAAAATAAAAATAAAAAAATTCAAAACCCAACTCCTCTTCACCTTTACTACCACCATGTGGTCCCAGTCATCATGAGCTCTATCTAGATGATTGCAATAGCCTCCTTAAGTAACTTAAGTTACACACTTACATAGCTTCAAATAGGCATATAATAAAAAATAACAGTCCCCTACCCTGCCCACACCACATTGAATCACCTCCTCAGAGGGAACCACTTTCAACTCTTTTTAGCTATTTATTCTATTTACCTTCATACATCTAGCTAACATACACTGCCATTTCTGACCTTATCTACTGATTTTACAGTGTAGCAGCTGAGGATTTAGCATTCTTAAATATTTCCCTTCCAATATTGTTATAAGATAATTTGGGGTAAAATTGACATTCAGGGGAAAAAAATCAAGACTCAGGATTACATCGTTAAAATTATTATTATTTTTTAGAGACAGGGTCTTGCTCTGTCACACAGGCTAGAGTGCAGCGGTGTGATTACAGCTCACTGAAACCTTGAACTCTTGGGCTCAAGAGATCCTCCCACCTCAGCCTCCTGGGTAGGTAGGACCACAGGTGGTGGCCCCACAATGGGTTTTTTTTTGTTTTTTTAATCTTTTGCTGAGACAGGGTCCCACTATGTTGCCCAGGCTGGTCTCAGCCTCCCAAAGTGCTAGGATTATAGGTGTGAGCCACCGTGCCTGGCCAGCATTTACATTATTATGACTGATTATAATCACTATGAGGCCAAGTACTATATTATGATTTCACTTTATTTCTTCTATAATTGTTTGTATTTTACCCCTTTTTTCATTTGCTTAGTTATTACATGCTATCATGGTTTGGTTGTGTCCCACCCAAATCTCATCTTGAATTGTAGCTCCCATAATTCCCATTTTGGAGGGACCTGGTGGGAGGTAATTGAATCATGGGGACAGGTCTCTCCCATGCTGTTTTCGTGATAGTGAGTAAGTCTCACGATATCTGATAGTTTTATAAAGGGGAGTTCCCCTGCACATGTTCTCTTGCCTGCAGCCATGTAAGATGTCCCTGTGCTTTTCCTTCATCTTTTGCCATGACTGTGAGGCCTCCCCAGCCACGTGGAACTACGAGTCCATTAAACCTCTTTCCTTTATAAATTACCCAGTCTTGGGTGTGTCTTTATTAGCAGCATGAGAAAGGACTTATATGCATGCCTACTGCTACTTCTTTCCAAAGCCTCCAACAAAATTGTAAAATTCTTCTGAATATGGATTTCCACCCTGCCAAACATATCAGGAAATACATAAGTTCTTTCCTCACACCCCCACTTCCCAACATCTCTCCTGAATCTTGTAATCCTTCGAATCCAACCTGAACTGCTTATTTTGTAGACTGTTGCACAACAGTCATCCTGGGACTTCCCATTACCTTTATACCCACTTCTTTCTAGGTCTCAAGGCTTCCTTTTTATTTTTATTAGGGTGTTTTGTTTACTTCCCTGTTTTGAAGGGACACATCCTCCAATAGCATCATGAGAAGGGGCTCATGAGAGGCAAATTTTTTGACAATTTGCCTATCTAAAAATATCTTCACTCTACTCTCATGCTTGATTGGTAGTTCAGCTGGACATAGGATTCTAAGTAGGAAATCATTTTCTCTCAGAAAGCATCTTCCATTGCTCTAGCTTTTTTGTATGGGATTTTTTTTTAAATTTTTTCCTCTGTGGAAATGTTTAGAATATTTTTATTACCCATATTCTAAAATTTCATAATGATATGCTCTGGGTGGCTGTTTTTTCATTCATTGTGCTGGGCCCTTTCAATCTGGAAGCACATGTCCTTTGGTTCTCCCCTCCAGGTATTAGCCAGGCCCGGCACAATGGGTTAGTCTGCATACTGAATGGTGAGAACTCAAAGAGCATGAGCCTATGGCTCATATAAAAAATGTTTTAATTTTATTATATTGCCAAAGCCAAATACTTCTGAGAAAGGTTGTCATTTTTAAAAAACTGTCTTCCTTTATTTGGGTCTATTCATTTTCTCCAGGAAAAAATCCATCAATTTCCTGGCAAGTGGCAGGGTTGAGGGTAGGATAGGAATGATTCTTGCCTGCCTGAGAGCCAGGTGATGGAAGGTGACTAGAAGTCTTATGAGCCTCACCATTCCAGTATGCAGACTATCCCCCCATCTCCTCTTTTAGGTATTGCATTCTATCAGATGTTCACTAGTATGAAGTATTTCTGGTTCAATTTTTCTCCAAAAATAAACCATGTCTTATTGGGGTGGGTGATATTTAACTGATTAGTTACAAGAAATGGGGATGTTGACTTTCAGGCCCAGTTACCCCTTAAAAGACTTTGAATAGCCCTCTTATTTTTAGCCCAAGCCTGACACCCACCTTCAGTTCCTGAGCTTTTATAAGTTTCTGTGATGCAAACTGGCTTGGTTCTAATTGGCATCAGCTTCTAGAGATACTACACTATAGGCACTACAAATACAGTGGTGAAAAAGATAAACTTCTACCCTCAGAGAGCTCATTCAATACTGGAGGCTTTAAGCAATAGGTAAACAAATGAATAAGGTTCTTTTCAGAAGTAATGAGAACTTGTAACAAATATCGATGTCTATTTTAGACTAGTCAAAAAGATTTCTTTGAAGAGGGGCTATCTCAGCAGAAATATATCATATGATTCTGGAATAAAGTAAGTACAAAGGCCCTGAAGCAGGGAAAAAAGCTTAATGTGTCTGAGAAACAAGAGGGTTAGTGAGTGTGGTTAGAATGATGTAAGAAAAAGGAAGAATGATTGGAAATATGGTCAGAGCCACGTAGGCCAAATCATTTAGGGCCTGATAGGTTAAAGCCCAGAGTATGAACTTTGAAGAATGACAAAAAGCTGTATTAGGAAATTCAGCAGGGAAATGACATAATCTGATTTACCCTCTTAAAATTCAATCTGGCTATTGTGGGGTAAAAGGGGAAGACAAGAGATCAATTAGGATGGTTGGGCTAGAGTAGTAAGTGTAGAGGTAAAAAGACTCAGGACATATTTTGAAGATAATGCTGAACTACTTGATGGTTTGAAATAGGGTGTAAGAGAAAGATAATAAGAATGGTAAGTTTTTGGCTCAAGTGATGGATGAATGGTGGGAGAGGTCTGGAAAGAAGAAAGGGAATGCGGCAGGAAATTAATAGTGGTCCATAATGGGTACTCAATAATTAGTAATCATTGTTTATATTAAAAATCTTCAGCCAAGACACAGTGGCTCACACCTGTAATACCAGCACTTTGGGAGGCCAACGGGGGCAGATCACTTGAGGCCAGGAGTTTGAGACCAGCCTGGCCAACATGGTGAAATCCTATCTCTACTAAAAATACAAAAATTAGCTGGGTGTGGTGACACATGCCTGTAATCCCAGCTACTCGGGAGGCTGAAGCACGAGAACCTGGGAGGCGGAGGTTGCAGTGAGCAGAGATCATGCCACTGTACTCCAGCCTGGGTGACAGAGTGAGACTCTGTCTCAAAAAAAAATTAAGATCACCTTACAGTCTAGTGTTACAAAAGATGCTTTGTGAACTCTCTTGAGAGTCTTTCACCTAGTTACCCACCAGGATTACAATGATAAAATCAGAGAGATCCACTTTATTATTTTTTTTTCAACCTTCAACAGATGCAAAAAAACATTTTAGGCTGGGAGCAGTGGCTCACGCCTGTAATCCCAGTACTTTGGGAGGCCGAGGCAAACGGATCACCTGAGGTTAGGAGTTCGAGGCCAGCCTGGCTAACATGGTGAAACCCTGTTTCTCCTAAAAATACAAAAAATTAGCTGGGCATGGTGGCGCGTGCCTGTAATCCCAGCTACTCGGGAGGCTGAGGCAGGAGAATCACTTGAACCTGAGAGGCAGAGGTTGTAGTAAGCTGAGATTGCACCATTGCACCCCAGCTTGGGCAACAAGAGCGAAACTCCAACTCAAAAAAAAAAAATTTTTTTTTAAAACACTGCCCATTTATTCTGGAACACACTCCACATCCACATTCACTCACCCTTAAGATATTTTAAAAACCTGATTATTTAAAAATTGTTCAACATTTAATTCAATGTGATTTCTTATTTATATATTTATTTATTTTATTTTTTATTTTTTTTTTAACATACATGGTCTCACTATATCACCCAGTCTGTGTTTCAGTGGCACAACTGAAACCACCTTTGCAAAAGAGAAATCTGACATCGTTAACTCTATCTTGCCTCCAACCTCAAGCTGTTTGTCTTTGGTCATTCCTGGGCATAGGCCAAGCTAACTTTGGGAGGAATTTAGTTTACAGTTTAACCTTAAAGCAAGGATGATAATAGCCCTTCCCAAAACTAAACTACCTTTGTAAAACTAAGGAAAGGCCACAAGGTTAGGATTATGGGAGGGGAGAGAATTCTGCTAAAATGTAGGTATAGTTCTACAATTTCTTACTGCTTGGGAGTCATGTGGCTAGAGATCACAAGATTTGTGACTTCTCCAACTGCTCCTATAGATAACATCACTATTATAGAACCTAAGACTGGTTTTCTGAGAGATTTTTTTCAGACCAACCCCACCCAGACTCATGACTCATGACTCAACTGGTCCTGTAGCCCAGCCTTCCCCAACCTTTTTGGCACCAGGGACTGGTTTTGTGGAAGACAATTTTTCCACAGACTCGGGTGAGGGTCAGGTGGAGGGATGGTTTTGGGATGAAACTGTTCCACCTGAGATCATCAGGCATTTGATTCTCATAAGGGACGTGCAACCAAGATCCCTCGCATGCACAGTTCACAACAGGGTTCACGCTTCTATGAAAATATAATGCCACCGCTGATCTGACAGGAAGCAGAGCTCAGGCAGCAATGCTTGCTCACCTGTTCACCTCCTGCTGTGTGGCCCAGTTCCTAACAGGCCACAGGCTGATACCGGTCCATAACCTGGGGGTTGAGGACTCCTGCTGTAGCCCTACACAGAGGCACACTCAGCGCACAAGGACTTTTCCACACCCCCAATTAATCAGCAGCACCCATTCCCTCAGCCCTGCCCACCAAATTGTCCATAAAAACTCTAACCTCTAGAGGGCTTCAGGAAGACTGATTTAAGTGATAACTGCCTCTTTGGCATGGCTGGCCTTGAGTCAATTAAACTCTTTCTTACTGCAATGCCACGATCTCAGGGAATTGATTTTGTCTGTGCAGCTGGCAGGAAGAAGCCATCATAGCTCACTACTCCTAGGCTCAAATGGATCCTCCCGCCTCAGTCTCCCAAGTGCTCAGATTATAGGTGTAAGCCACCATGCCCTGCCTCAGTGTGATTTCTAACAACTGATCTGGTCCATTCTCATTAAACAGAAGAAATCAAAGCACAGAGGTTAAATAACTTGTCCTAGAGAATATAATTAGGAAATTGTGGAGCTGTGTGAATTGTACAAGAGAAAGAGTGGAAGAAAAGGCTGGAAAAACAGACTGAACCTTAACTGTCAGTCTAAATAATTTTTGACTCGATTTTGAAACCAATGTGAGCCACAAAAAGTTTTAAGAAATAAACTATACAACCAGAGCTGAGTATCAGGAAGAGTGAAAAAGGGCAAAGAGACAGGGAAAATAATTCACTCCAGGTGAAAGTGAAGAAGGCTGAATTACAGCCCACATATACGGGAAGGAATAGATGCAAAAGCCTTTGAATATTTAGAATCACAGCTTAGCTTCTCATTAGAAGCAAGGAATACATGATAACCAAAAATGGCTGGAATTTTTCAGGATGGATAACTGGAAAGATGGCTGTCTTAATAACTGAGACTGGGAAAATATCCTGCCATATTCTCACAGCATTAGCTAATGCTAGTCTATTTCCTACATAGTATAATTTACTTCTTAAGGAGACTCTCTGGGAGACAAGAAGCCTCTATTTCTCTTGCATTAATCATGATATTACCTAGCACAGGGAGGGACTGAGTAGTTCCAAGCAAATATTTGTGAATTGAAGGCATAGTCTTCAATTTCATATTTGGTGAATTGAAGGCATATTTGGTGAATTGAAGGAGTCTAAAAGAAATATTAAATTTCTCATGGCATAAATAACAGAGAGACCCAGTGCAGTGGCTCAAGCCTATAATCCCAGCATTTTGGGAGGCCGAGGTGGGAGGATTGCTTGAGCTCAGGAGTTCGAGACCAGCCTGGGCAATATAGTGAGAACTTTCTCTACAAAAAAATTTTCAAAGTTAGCCAAGTGTGGCGGCATACGCCTGCAGTCCCAGCTACTCAGGAGGCTGAGGTGGGAGGATTGCTTGAGCCCAGAAGGCAGAGATTGCAGTGAGCCTGGGCAACAGAGTGAGGCCCTGTCTTGGGGTCGTGGGGAGGTATGAGAACAAATCTGAGTGTATAGTTCCTCAAAAAGGCCACTGGGGAGTGGAAGTGAGTGGGGCATAGAACTGGGTTACAGATCTTGAGCATAAGACTTCCTGGCGTAAACAACCTTATTCACAAGAGACCTAAACAATCAGTCCCTGCATTCAACAAAGTACTTTATTGTTCCTTTTTTTAACTGATAACTTTGAGCAACTGATGATAAAATAACCAATCTTCACTGGGCCCATGTATAAACAGAATACACACACATGAACAAAATTTACACAAGTACTACCTCTATGACTTACCAGGCCCACACTTTTCCTCCCAAATAGAAATCTTAGGAGGAAGGGAGATAAAGGGAAAAAGGGAAACTAGGAGGTTGGGGTCAAGAAAAAGAGAACTACAAAGGTTCAGCTCACTCACTCCTGCTGGGCACACAATAGCTCTGGCAGAAGAGAACCAAGGTATGCCCAGAGGATTAAATGCCTACCACCTGGCAGATCATGCAGATAGGCTTCTTTCCCAAGTAGCCTTTCCAAAGCACTAACAGAAGAATTTTCAACTCATTCTTTTTCTTTTTCTTTCTTTCTTTCTTTCCTTCATTTCTCTCTCTCTCTCTTTCTTTTAAGCAAGAGACCTTTTCTTCAAAACTCTTATACAGAAGTTCAATATAAAAAAGATAAAAAGTGCAACTGTTCTGACTAGATGAAGCCAAGAGAACAGAAGTCTCATCTACTCAGCCACCTCCCATACCCGGGGCCAGCACCTGAGAAGGCACATCTGTGTAATCCTAGGGTTCCAAGAGATGGATTCTTCCCAATGTAGATCTAATCTCAATTTGGGGAAAAATTCTGGTTCATACTTCTGCACCTATAAAAGAAAGCTTATAATGTTTACAGCTTGAAAATAGACTAAGAGCCATACTAACAAATAGTAACCAAAAAATTTAAATCCTAAGTATTAACAGCAAATTGCTAAGACAACCAGAAAGCATTTAGAAAATACAAATTCTAAGAACCTTGAGAATAAAACATAGTCATGCTTAGTTTGGCATTTAAGGAGTCACAGGGAAGTATAATAAATGTTTCCATTACATTAATACTCGTCTGGGTAACAAAAGCCAAAAGGACTTTGTTTGCTCTAGGCCACTGGTTAGAATAATTTCCTTTTGTTGTCTTCAAAATATATAGTGAAAGTGAAGACATAAAAACATAAATGATATAAATAATTAGAAGCTTCTTTTAAAAAGTAATCCATTTCAGGCTTTTAAACCACAGTATCTTTGAGACAGATGGCTTATGCAGAACAAAAATGGTCACCATCAGAGGGCAAACCCACGTGGCTAACAATAATTACATTCTCATGTATTATACTTGCAGTGTGACAGTTCCTGTGCCAGAGGCTTTATATATATCATCTCATTTGTGGGCTTATTGGGAAGATTTAGATAGACTGAATGCTACCTTTCATACATTAGAAAACTTGGCTGAGAGCAAAGAACATTACTTTTTTAAGTTAAGGGGGATGAGGGTGGAGGTGGGGATCATTCCTAAGCAATAGGATCAAAAGGAGATAAGCTAAGAAAGTACATCAAGGAGATATGGAATAGGAATGGTAATGTTGGTCTCATCACAACCCTACATGTTTCTAGGCTGGAATACATATACCCGTAGCAAAGCAAAGGCAAAGATGTAGGTAGCCCAGCATTATCAAATACAGTAGGCACTAGCTTCATGTGGCAATTTAAATTTAAAGCAATCCAAATAAAATTTTAATTTCTTGTTTGCATTAGCAATATTTCTGTGCTTATTAGCCACATGTGGCTACTGGACAGCAGAAATATAGAACATTTCCATCACTGCAGAAGGTTCTATTGGACAGCAATGCTTTAGTAGAAAACCGTTGAATCTATTAAAAGCAACAGTAGGCACTCAACAAGTGTTTAGTGAGTAAATGAATAAAAAAAAGATAGGTGCTTTGTGGACACTGCTGCCACCGCCAGGAGCCCCGTACTATCAGCCATGGTCAACCCCACCATGTTCTTCAACATCACAGTCAAACAGCGAGCCCTTGGGCCACGTCTCCTTCGAGCTGTTTGCAGACAAGTTTCCAAAGACAACAGAAAACTTTTGTGCTCTGACCACTGGAGAGAAAGGATTTGGTTATAAGGGTTCCTGCTTTCACAGAATTATTCCAGGGTTTATGTGTCCGGTTGGATGGCAAGCATGTGGTCTTTGGCAAGGTGAAAGAAGGCATGAATATTGTGGAGGCCATGGGGCACTTTGGGTCTGGGAATGGCAAGACCAGCAAGGAGATCACCATTGCTGACTGTGGACAACTCTAATAAATTTGACTTGTGTTTTATTTTAACCACCAGACCATTCCTTCTGTGGCTCAGGAGAGCACTCCTCCACCCCATTTGCTCGCAATATCCCATAATCTTTGTGCTTTCGCTGCAGTTCCCTTTGGGTTCCATGTTTTCCTTGTTCCCTTCCATGCATAGCTGGATTGCAGAGTTAAGTTTATGATTACGAAATAAAAACTAAATAACAACAACAACAACAACAACAAAGGCTATAATAGGCCACTGAAAGAAGCAGCCAGAGGAAAAGAAACTAATAATAATAGCTAACATTTACTGAGCACTTACCACATACCAGGTACTATTCTAAGTGATTTACGTGTACTAATTTAATTAATCTTCAATAACAACTCCGTAAAATATTTACTGTCATTACCCTCATTTTATAGATGGGAAAACTAAGGCTTAGAGAGGTTAACTAAACTTTCCTAAGATCCAGGATTTGAATCCAGGCAGTTTGATCTAGAATCTAGAGCAAGCTTGTCCAACCCACAGCCCATGGGCCACATGTAGCCCAGAATGGCTTTCAATGTGGCACAACACAAATTCATAAACTTTCTTAAAACACTATGAGATTTTTTTTTTGCAATTGTTTGTTTTAGCTCATCAGCTATTGTTAGTGTTAGTGTATTTTATATGTGACCCCAGATAATTCTTCTTCCAATATGGCCCAGGGAAGCCAAAAGATTGGACACCTCTAATCTAGAGCCTTTTTTTTTTTTTTTTTTTTTTTTTTTTGAGACAAGCTCTGGCTGTATCACCCAGGCTGGAGTGAAGTGGTATGATCTCAGCTCACTACAAGTTCTGCCTCCTAGGCTCAAGCCATCCTCCCACCTCAGCCTCTAAAGTCGCTAGGGCTACAGGCGCACACCACCATGCCCAGTTAATTTTTGTATTTTTTGTAGAGAAAACAAGGTTTTCTCTACAAAAACCATGTTTTCTCTACAAAAAATACAAAAGAAAACATGGTTTCACCATCTTGCCCAGGCTGGTCTTGAACTTGTGAGCTCAAGGAATCTGTCTGCCTCGGCTTCCCAAAGTGCTGGGATTACAGGTGTGGGCACACCCAACCTAAAGCCTTCATTTTTAATCATACTATAGTACTACTTTTTAAAATAGATCAAACATAAATGTATACAGTGTAGAATGATTAAATCAAGCTAATTAACATATCTACTACCTCACATCATTTTTTGTGGTGACATATTTAAAATTTACTCCTATTCCTGGATCATATAGCAGTTCTATTTTCTGTTTTTGGAAATATACATTATTATTAACTATAGTCACCATACTGCACAACAGATTTCAGAAATGTATTCCTCCTATGTAACTGAAACTTTGTGTCTCTGACCAACTTCCCCCTATTTCCTCCCCCATCCCATCCACTCACCCCATCCTCTGGTAACCACCATTCTTCTCTCCACATTTTTTTTTTTTTTGAGACAGAGTCTTGCTCTGTCACCCAGGCTGGAGCGCAGTGGTGCGATCTCGGCTCACTGCAACCTCCGCCTCTCGGGTTCAAGTGATTCTCCTGCCTCAGCCTCCTGAGTAACTGGGACTACAGGTGTGTGCCACCACACCCGGCTGATTTTTTGTATTTTTAGTAGAGATGGGGTTTCACCGTGTTAGCCAGGATGGTCTCGATCTCTTGACCTCGTGATCCACCCACCTCAGCCTCCCAAAGTGCTGGGATTACAGGCATGAGCCACTGCACCCAGCCTCTTCTCTCTACTTCTATGAGATCGACTTTTTTAGAGTTCATACATAAATGAGATCATGAGTTATTTGTCTTTCTGTGTCTGGCTTATTTCATTTAGTGTAACATCCTCCAGGTTCATCCAAGTTGTCCCAAATGACAGTATTTCCTTCTTTTTTGTTGTTTTTTGAGACAGTTTCGCTCTTGTTGCCCAGGCTGGAACGCAATGGTGCAATCTCAGCTCACTGCAACCTCTGCCTCCCAGGTTCAAGTGATTCTCCTGCCTCAGCCCCCTGAGTAGCTGGGGTTACAGGCATGCACCACCACACCCGGCTAATTTTATATTTTTTAGTAGAGACAGGGTTTCTCCATGTTAGTCAGGCTGGTCTCGAACTCCCGACTCAGGTGATCCACCTGCCTCGGCCTTCCAAGCTTTTAGTTTGATGCAATCTCATTTGTCTATTTTTGCTTTTGTTGCTTGTGCACATCCAAAAAATTGTCTACCCAATCTCATGGAGATTTTTCTATTATGTTTTCTTTTTTTTTTTGAGACAGAGTCTCGCTCTGTCGCCTGGGCTGGAGTGCGGTGGCGCGATCTCGGCTCACTGCAAGCTCTGCCTCCAGGGTTCACGCCATTCTCCTGTCTCAGCCTCCCGAGTGGCTGGGACTACAGGCACCCACCACCACACCTGGCTAATTTTTTATATTTTTAGTAGAGACGGGGTTTCACAGTATTAGCCAGGATGGTCTCGATCTCCTGACCTCGTGATCCGCCCACCTCGGCCTCCTAAAGTGCTGGGATTACAGGCGTGAGCCACCGTACCCAGCATACATTTTCTTTTAGTAGTTTTACAGTTTCAGGTTATACTATACCATTTTATTATATAACAAGTATATCTAAAGATTTTGCTGTAATGGAATAAAATTTATTTAAAGTCAACTTTCCATGCATTTGCTAGTTCAGTTCACAGTGAAGAGAGTAAGAAAAGGAATGATAAAATAAAAAGATTAGCAGGAAAGATGCCAAAATGCTAATACTAGTTTTAGCCCTACATGCTGAGATTAAGGGCAAGTTTTATTTTCTTTTTCTTACTAATTCTATTTTCTAAATGTTTGCATTGCAATTATGTATCACTTCTGTAATAATAAAAAAATTAAAATATTACTTCTTAAGCTAGATATTACTTAAAATATGATCATCTTAAAAATTCCTAAGCAGAATATCAAAGCCTCATCTACCTCACTCTCAAACATGGTGGAAGCCCCCTAACTGATCTCTTTGCTACCAGTCTCTCTAACACTAAACCATTCTGCATCTTGTCATCAATTACCTTATCATTCTAGTTTCTGCTCAGAATCCAATCACAGATCATAAACTACAATCCTTTGGATTTATGCAAAGCATTTCTGGATAATTTGACCCAATTCTACTTTTCCACCTTTATCTACCAATACTATCCTATCAAATCCTCAGTTCTTCTAAGAGAAGCCTGGTAGAAAGAACATAGGCCTTAGAGGAGACTTTGGCCCATACATAATCTCTTGGCCTCAATGGAGAGTGAGTGTGAAGATGAAATCTTTAAATAAGTAACACACCCAGTATACAACATGCCTTCAATAAATGGTCATTATTATTATTGTCATTATTAGCCAAATAGGATTTTATTCACTGACTCCTCAAAAAGCTTTGCATTTTTATATCTGTGCTTTCTATATCACTATTTGCTCTGAGTTCCTCCCCTATCTTCTAAAATCCTTTTAAAAATCAAGGTTCATTATTATGCACGACATGCCTGCATCAAAATATTTTATGTAACCCATAAGCAGATATACTTACTATGTAATCACAAAAATTAAAAGTAATTTAAAAAAAAATTCAAAGTCCGGTTCAAGTCCCCTCCTAGAAGGCTTCCCTGACCCTTTTTTTTTTTTTTTGAGACAGAGTCTTGCTCTGTTGCCAGGCTGGAATACAGTGGCGCAATCTCAGCTCACTGAAACCACTGCCTCCCAGGTTCAAGAGCTTCTCCTGCCTCAGCCTCCCGAGTAGCTGGGACTACAGGTGCATGCCACCACACCCAGCTAATTTTTGTATTTTTAGTAGAGACGGGGTTTCACCATGTTGGCCAGGATGGTCTCGAACTCTTGACCTTGTGATCTGCCTGCCTCAGCCTCCCAAAGTGCTGGGATTACAGGCGTGAGCCGTCACGCCCAGACTTCCCTGACTCTTCAAAGTTAATATGACCCCTCACTCATTTGAACTCCTAAGGCACTTAAGAGTTTATTCTACTCAAATGGTGGTGTCTTAGTTAATTTATTAGTTCTCTTTCCATCAATGTAAGTAGAGCAAGTAAAGTATAAATTCCTTGCTAGCAGACACTCTATTTTATATATATCTTGATATCTTTCTGATGTCTGAATATATCACCAGGCATATAGTAGATGCTCAAAAAATGTGTTAATCTGGCCAGGTGCGGTGGCTCACACCTGTAATCCCAGCACTTTGGGAGGCCGAAGCAGGTGGATTACCTGAGGTCAGGAGTTCAAGACAAGCCTGGCCAACGTGGTAAAACCCCGTCTCTACTAAAAATACAAAAATTAGCCGGGTGTGATGGCGAGTGTCTGTAATCCCAGCTACTTGGGAGGCTGAGGCAGGAGAATCACTTGAACCCAGGAGGTGGAGGTTGCAGAGAGCTGAGATCGAGCCATTGCACTCCAGCCTGGGCGACAAGAGTGAAACTCCGTCTCAAAAAAAAAGTGTTAATTTGACTTATAAATTTGAAAGAAAGTCACCACAATAAAAATACTGGCTGAATATTTTTGTAGTAGACTAGGAAGCCAATAATTCTATATAAGGATAAAAAGTTTCAAGTAAGCAGTATAATTTAATTCCATAATTTAATACCATTGACCAAACATGTAAGTCATACTTAAGCCATATGAGTTCTCTCTAGCCTAATATAAACATACAAAAAATAGCAATAAATGACCCTAAGTAAATAGTACTTTAAACTTTACAAAGCATCCTGCACATAAACCCTAACTAAATATACATTGAATTAAATTGTCTTATTTGGTCTCATTTAAAAATATACTGGCCAGGTGTGGTGGATCACACCTGTAATCCCAGCCTGAACAACACAGTGAGACCTTATCTCATTTAAGAAAAATTTTTTTTAACAAAATCATTTTTGTTTTTAATATAGGGTCTCACTCTGTCACTCAGGCTGGAGTGCAGTGCTGCAATCATGGCTCACTGTAGCTGTGAACTATTGGCTCAAGAGATCCTCCCACCTCAGCCTCCCGAGTAGCTGAAACTACAGGCACATGCCATTATACCTGGCTAATTTTTTTTTGTTGTTTGTTGTTGTTGTTGTTTGTAGAGATGGGGTTTCACCATGTTGCCCAGGCTGGTCTTAAACTCCTAGGCTCAAGAGAT
Source organism: Homo sapiens (assembly GCF_000001405.40). NCBI lineage: Eukaryota > Metazoa > Chordata > Mammalia > Primates > Hominidae > Homo > Homo sapiens. The sequence continues at coordinate 45,420,498 of NC_000001.11, forward strand.
CCACCCACCTTGGCCTCCCAAAGTACTGAGATTACAGGCATGAGCCATCATGCCTGGCCAAATAAAATTTTTTTTTTTTTTTTTTTTTGAGACGGAGTCTTGCTCTGTCACCCTGGCTGGAGTGCAGTAGTGCAATCTCAGCTCACTGCACTAGGTTCCCAGGGGGAACCTCCACTTCCCGGGTTCAAGCAATTCTCCTGCCTCAGCCTCCCAAGTGGCTGGGACTATAGGCACGTGCCACCACGCCCGGCTAACTGTTTTTTTGTATTTTTAGTAGAGATGGGGTTTCACCATGTTAGCCAGGATGGTCTCAATCTCCTGACCTCATGATCCGCCTGCCTCGGCCTCCCAAAGTGCTGGGATTACAGGCGTGAGCCATCGCGCCCAGCCAAATTTTTTTTAAAAAGAAAATATACTTGCCTGACTAAAATATCAAAATAATTAAAGCAAGAAAGATTCAGATACGGATTATTAAAAAGTGACAATTACATAAACTTATAAAAATAATTGTCCACTTTGGGAGGCCAAGGAGGGTGAATTGCTTGAGCCCAGGAACTTGAGACCAGCCTGGGCAAATGGTGGAACTCTGACTTTACGAAAAATGTGAAAATTAGCTGGATGTGGTGGTGCGCCTGTAGTTCCAGCTGCTCAGGAGTCTGAGGTGGGGAAGCTCAACTGGGCCCTGGAGGTCAAGGCTGCAGTGAACCATGATCATGCCACTATACTCCAGCCTGGGTGACAGAGTGAGACCCTATCTCAAAAAAATAACAATTCTCAAAGGCAAAATGTGTCTCCTCAAGTGAGTGCTAAAAGTTAAGGATAGATAACTTGAGGGTGTAATTTTACATTTATTGCCACTCATTGATTTAATTACAATTTCCCAAAAAGTAATCAGGAAAAGTAAATAACCACATAAAGACCAATCTCTCCTCTTTGATAAATTACCAGTCAGCAATAGAAAACAATTGTTCTAATGAGCTGCTACTAATGTTCTAATGAGAGTAAAGCAACTTAAGAGATAAAGGAAGTTGCTTTATTAAATGCAGTTAATTACCAATAAATTAAGTCTCAATGGGTAGAAAACGACCTAGAGTACCACTAAACCCCAGCAAGATAGATTCAGCATGATAAATCCTGAATCCCTCCTTTTTTTCCTATTAGTGCTATTCTAGCAAGCCTCCAATGTTTCAGTTTTCTCATTGATCAGAAGGAAGGAAAAGCCATTACCTAAGGATGTTGGGATGGGAGAGTCTATTCATGAGCTGTACTTCTTTCAGCATGTTTGCCCGGTTACTGCTCAATGTGTTCATCTTAAGAGCCATCACCTGACCAGAAGCTCGGTGTCGTACCTAGAATATTAAATAGAACAAGAAAAGAGGGTCAAGGGCAATAGTTATATGTGAGGTCAACATCTCCAAATGTACAATATGCCAAGATATTTTTGTGCCACTTTAGATAAAATATACATCTAATTACATTAAAGTATCACTTCCATGAATGAAGATGAATTATTCTACCCAAGAACAGTATTATTTCACATTGAGTTGGCCAGAAAAACACTGTTACTAACATCTCAAGAAAACATGTCTGATATACACCATGGAATACTATGCAGTCATAAAAAGGAATGAGGTCATGTCCTTTGCAGGGACATAAATGAAGCTGGAAGCCATCATCCTCAGCAAATTAACACAGGAACAGAAAACCAACACTGCATGTTTTGAACATTGAGAACACATGGACACAGAGAGGGAAACAACACGCACCAGGGCCTGTTAGCGGGTGGGGGGTGAAGGAAGGGAACTTAGAACTTAGTCAACAGGTGCAGCAAACCACCATGGCACAAACCTGCATGTTCTGCACATGTATCCCATGTTTTCTTTTTTTTAGAAGAAATAAAGAAAAAAATGAAGAAATAAATAAAAGAAATCATGTCTGGTTTGTTGCTGTTGTTGTTTTTGTTTGAGACAGGGTCTCACTGTGTCACCCAGACTGGAGTGTAGTGGCACAATCTCGGCTCACTGCAACCTCCACCTCCCAGGTTCAAGTGATTCTCCTGCCTCAGCCTCCTGAGTAGCTGGGATTACAGGCATGTGCCAACACACCCGGCTAATTTTTGTATTTTTAGTAGAGACAGGTTTTCACCATGTTGGCCAGGCTGGTCTCAAACTCTTGACCTCAGGTGATCTGCCTGCCTCGGCCTCCCAAAATGCTGGGATTACAGGTGTGAGCCACCATGCCCAGCCAATCATGTCTGGTTTTTTGTTGTTGTTGTTGTTGTTTTTGTTTTGAGACAGAGTCTTGCTCTGTCACCCAGGCTAGAGTGCAGTGGCGTGATCTCGGCTCACTGAAACCTCCACCTTCCGGGTTCAAGCAATTCTCCTGCCTAAGCCTCCCGAGTAGCTGCGATTACAAGCGCCTGCCACCGCGCCCAGCTAATTTTTGTATTTTTAGTAGAGACGGGGTTTCACCATGTTGGCCAGGCTGGTCTCGAACTCCTGACCTTGTGATCCACCAGCCTTGGCCTCCCAGCCACCGTGCCTGGCCTGTTTTTAATACCTTAGAAAAAAAAAATGAGGGAAAATTTTTAAGCTGATTCCTCATGGCTGACCTTGGTGAGTCTTAAGACACCAACAGAAAAGAGTCCCTTCTGTGGCATTCTAAGTGTGCAAAACGAAGATATATGCATGAGCCTTATGTAACACTTAATGAAACTGTCTTTATAAGATGCTAAACCCACATACTCAAAGTCTCCCCCAAGTACCATAAAAATCCATAGGCCGGGCACAGTGGCTCACGCCTGTAATCCCAGGACTTTGGGAGACCAAGGGGGACAGATCACGAGGTCACAAAATCGAGACCAGCCTGGCTAACATGGTGAAATCCCGTCTCTACTAAAAACACAAAAAATTAGCTGGGCGTGGTGGCGGGCACCTGTAGTCCCAGCTACTCGGGAGGCTGAGCCAGGAGAATGGCATGAGCCTGGGAGGCGGGGCCCGCAGTGAGTGGAGATTGTGCCACTGCACTCCAGCCTGGGTGACAGAGCGAGATTCCGTCTCGCGAAAAAAAAAAAAAAATCTATAAAAAAAAAAAATTTCATGCTAAATATAGAAAGAAGTCCGTGAACCTTTTAGAGCTAATATTGTAGTAACTCTACCCAAAGCACCTTATAATCATTTAAACACACTCAAGTTAAATACAACAAACATGGGCCACACCACTCACACTATTACCCATATGCACAGAGGAAAGTCTACTTCTAAAAGTATTCGCCCTCTATAGAACTCAATCTATTGTGCATGTGTAAATATTATTTATCATTTCAATGCACACTCCACAGGTTTCATAAACCATAACACTTTACTTGAGAAAGATTGTTTTCACCCTGTAAATGTGGTCTCATTGGTAGCAAAATAAGACCACCAGACAAAACATTTTGTGTGATTCAAAGAAGCTAAACTGAGATATGTGTGTTTCCTGCTTAGGAATTATGAATGAGGCAGTAGAAAAATCATGAAGTCACAAAGATCTTTCTCGTTAAAAAAATTTCATTTCATATCTTGCACAACAGGGACTTTACTATGCAAAAATGTCATCATCCTACGGACTTCAGGAGTATCATTTCAGTATGCTATACTCAACCAAATGGGAATTCCAAAAGAAAACATGACAACTTACTTAAACTCTTCAATATCCAAAAACTCCTTGAAATGACAATAGCTCCACAAGTTTATCATAGCTATTAATACAGGTCAGACATCACAGCTTATCTTAGAATTCAAACAGTGTTTCAGAGAGGCCAGGCAGAAGAGGGAAGGCTGTTGAGGGGGAGGCCGGGCCAAAACACAAAGAGCCACAGGAACCCTGATCGGAAAAACTAAGGCAGGCAGAACACTGGCTGCCTCTCCTCTCCTAGATCACTGAGTGAGATTTGGAACCCAGCTCTCTTCTCAGTGCATCAAGGATTCTGTTGTAATGTACCTCTTGACTGATGAAAGAGAAGTAGCTTTCCATTTCAGATCCTGCATGGATAAGTTAAAAGAAACATTTATAAACAAAGAGCTCACTGGTAGTATTTTTCCAACTCTATTTACAGAAGACATCTGTGTTTTAATAAGGACTCTCCAGCTGAAAGTCACTCTTCTTATTTTTCCATCATCTGAAAACTGTCACACTAAGATTTTAACAAAATGGCAAAACCCATGAAAAGATCATTCATCCTGACCAACCGGGATTTATCCCTGGGATGTAAGGATAGTTCAACATACGTAAATCAATCAATGTGATACATTATATCAACAGAATGAGGGACAAAAACCATATGATCATTTCAATTAATGCTGAAAAAGCATTTGATAAAATTCAACATCTCTTCATAATAAAAACCCTCAAAAAACTAGGTATAGAAGGAACATAGCTCAAAAAGCCATATATGACAGACCCAAAGCTAGTATCATACTTAATGAAGAAAAACTGAAAGCCTTTCCTCTGGGATATGGAACACAAAAAGGATCCCCACTTTTACCACTGTTATTTAACATAGTACTGGACACCCTAGCTAGAGCAATCAGACAAGAGAAAGAAATAAAGGGCATCCAAATTGGAAAGGAAGAAGCCAAATTATTCTTGTCTGCAGATGATTATGATCTTGTATTTGGAAAAACCTAAGACTACACTAAAAAAACTATTAGAACTGATAAATTCAGAAAAGTTACAGCATACAAAATCAACATACAAAAATCAGTAGCATTTCTATATGCCAACAGTGAACAATCTGAAAAAGAAACCAAAAAGTAATCCAATTTATAGTAGCTCCAAATAAAATTAAATACCTAGAAATTAAGTTAGCCAATGAATTAAAAGAGCTCTAAAAGGCCAGGCACAGTGGTTCACGCCTGTAATCCCAATACTTTGGGAGGCCAAGACAAAAGGATTGCTTGAGTCCAGGAGTTCGAGACCAGCCTGGGCAACATAGTGAGACACTATCTCTACAAAAAATACAAAAAAATTAACTGGGCTTGGTGGTTCAAGCCTGTGGTCCCAGCTAGTCGGGAAGCTGAGGTGGGAGGATTGCTTGAGCCCAGGAGGTCAAGGCTGCAGTGAGCTGTGATCGTGCCACTATACTCCAGCCTGGGTGACAGAGCAAGACTGTCTCAAAAACAAACAAAAAAGTTCTCTACAATGAAAGTTATAAAACATTGATGTAAGAAACTAAAGATACAAAAAAATGGAAAGATATTCCATGTTCATGAATTGCAACAATCGGTATTTTTAAAATTCCCATACTACTCAGATACTAAACTTTCTATGGAATCACAAAGACCCAGAATCGCCAAAGCCATCCTGAGGAAAAGAAAAAAAGCTGGGCCGGGTGCAGTAGCTTATGCCTGTAATCCCAGCACTTTGGGAGGCCGAGGTGGGTGGATCACCTGAAGTCAGGAGTTTGAGATCAGCCTGGCCAACATGGTGAAACCCTGTCTCTACTAAAAAAAAAAAATACAAAAACTAGCTGAGCGTGATGGCATGCCCCTGTAATCCCAGCTACTCGGGAGGCTGAGCAGGAGAATGGCTTGAACCCGGGAGGCAGAGGTTGCAGTGAGCCAAGATTGCACCACTGCACTCCAGCCTAGGTGACAGAGCTGAGACTTTGTCTCAAAAGAAAAAAAGAAAGAAACTGGAGGAATCACATTACCTGATTCAAATTATACCACAGAGCTATTGTAACCAAAATAACATGGTATTGGCATAAAAACAGAAACATAGACCAATGGAACAGAATAGAGAATCCAATAACAAATCCATAAATCTACAATAAACTCTCATTTTCAACAAAAGTACCAAGAACATACATTGGGGAAAGGACAGTCTCTTCAACAAATAGTGCTGGGAAAACTGTATAGTTACATGCAGAAGAATGAAACTAGACTCCTATCTCTAGCCATATGCAAAAATCTAATCAAAATGGATTAAAGATTTCGATCTAGGACCTCAAACTATGAAACTACTACAAGAAAACATCGGGGGAAACTCTCCCATTGGTCTGCAAAGATTGCTCGAGTAATACTCCAAAAGCACAGGCAACTAAAGCAAAAATGGACAAATGGGATCACATCCGGTTAAAAAGCTTCTGCACAGCAAATGAAACAAAGTGAAGAGTCAATCCATGGAATGGGAGAAAATATTTGCAAAATATCCATCTGACAAAGGATTAATAACCAGAATATATAAGAAGTTCAAACAACTCTATAGGAAAAAAAAATCTAACAATCAGATTTTTTAAATGGGCAAAAGATCTGAACAGACATTTCTCAAAAGAAGACATACGAACAGCAAACAGGTATATGTAAAGGTATTCAACATCACTGATCATCACAGAAATGCAAATCCAAACTACAATGAGATATCATCTCACCCTAGTTAAAATGGTTTTTATCCAAAAGAAGGGCAATAAAGAATTCTTGCAGGCTGGGCACGGTGGCTCACGCCTGTAATCCTAGCACTTTTGAGAGGCCGAGGTGGAGGATTACCTGAGGTCGGGAGTTGGAGACCAGCCTGGCCAACATGGTAAAACCCCGTCTCCACTAAAAATACAAAAATTAGCTGGGCATGGTAGTGCACGTCTGTAATTCCAGCTACTTGGGAGGCTGAGGCATGAGAATCACTTGAACCTGGGAGGCAGAGGTTGCAGTGAGCCAAGATCACGCCACTGCACTTCAGCCTCAGCAAGACTCTGTCTCAAAAAAAAAAAAAAAAAAAAAAAAAGAATTCTTGCAAAGATGTAGAGAAAGGGGTAAGCCTCGTGCACTGTTGGTAGGAATGTAAATTGGTATAGCCACTATGGAGAACAGTTTGGAGGTTCCTCAAAAAACTAAGAATAGAGCTACCATATGATCCAGCAATCCCACTGCTGGGTATATACCAAAAGAAGGGAAATCGGTATGTCAAATACATATCTGCACTTCCATGTTTATTGTAGCACTATTCACAATAGCCAAGATTTGGATGCAACCTAAGTGTCCATCAACAAACAAATGGATAAAGAAAATGTGGTACATACACACAATGGAGTACTATTCAGCCATAAGAAAGGATTAGAACCTGTCATTTGCAACAACATGGGTGGAACTTGAGGACATTATGTTCAGTTAAATAAGCCAGACATAGAAAGACAAACTTCACATGTTCTCATTTATTTGTGGGAGCTCAAATAAAACAATTGAACTCATAGAGACAGAGTAGAATGATGATGGTTAACAGAGGCTGGGAAGGGTAGTGTGGGGTGTGGGGGAGTGGGGGCAGTTAATGGGTACAAAAATATAGCTTGATAGAATGAAGAAGATTTAGTACAACAGGGTGATTACACTCAACAATAATTTAATTGTATATTTTAAAATAACAGAGTATAATTGGAATGTTTGCAACACAAAGAAATGATAAATGCTTGAGGTGATGGATATCCCATTTATCCCAATGTGATTATTACACATTGTATGGCTGTATCAAAATATCTCATGTACCCCATAAATATTATCTACTATGTACCCATAAAAATAAAAGTTTAAAAAAGATGCCCCAACCATCATACACAGTTATAAAACAGCAATAACATAGCTAACATTTACAGCATTTGCTACATACTAGGTACTGCTGTATAACTTCTTTATACATATTAACTTATTTAATCTTGAAGATAATCCTGTGAGACAAGTATCACTAATAACCTCATTTTACAGCCATGGAAACTGAGGCACAGAGAAATTAAATCTTTCTCAAGATCGTACATCTATTAAATGGCAGAGACACAATTTGAATACAAACTATGCAAAGAATATTGAGCCTGATACAGTCAGACCAACTGATTCAAGAAAAAAAGCACTGTGTGAACATTGCATAAATATTCTACCAAGGGATAATAATCATGATCTTGTATGTATCTCACAACATGGTCTTGTAATATAGAAAACAAAAACTGACAATGTAAGGCAAATGTGACAAATCTATGATCTTTATTTTTATTTTTTTTTAAACAGGGTCTCACTCTGTCACCCATGTTTGAATGCAGTGGCATGACCTCAGCTCACTGCAGCCTCCCCCTCCTGAGATCAAGCAATCCTCCCACCTCAGCCACTTGAGAAGCTGGGACCACAGCTGTGCACCACCATGCCCAGCTAATTTTTATATATTTTTTTAGAGACAGGGTTTCGCCATGTTGTCCAGGCTGGTCTCAAACTCCTGGGCTCAAGCAGTCTGCCTGCCTCGGCCTCCCAAAGTGCTGGGATTACAAACATGAGCCACTGCGCCCAGCTCTTAAATTCCTGATTTTTTTTTTTTTTTTTTTTTTTGAGACGGAGTCTCGCTCTGTCACCCAGGCTGGAGTGCAGTGGCGTGATCTTGGCTCGCTGCAAGCTCCGCCTCCCGGGTTCACGCCATTCTCCTGCCTCAGCCTCCCAAGTATCTGGGACTACAGGCACGTGCCACCATGCCCGACTAATTTTTTGTATTTTTAGTAGAGACGGGGTTTCACCATGTTAGCCAGGATGGTCTCGATCTCCTGACCTCGTGATCTGCCTGCCTTGGCCTCCCAAAATGCTGGGATTACAGGCGTGAGCCACCGCGCCCGGCCCCTAAATATTATGAGACATTTTAACACATCTCTCAAAAACTGAAAGCTCGCCAGGTGCGGTAGAGATCAGGAGTTCGAGACCAGCCTGGCCAATATGGGGAAAACCCATCTCTTAAAAATACAAAATTAGCCAGGCGTGATGGTGCGTGTCTGTAGTCCCAGCTACCTGGGAGGCTGAGGCAGAAGAATCGCTTGAACCCGAGAGGCAGAGGTTGCAGTGAGCCGAGATTGTGCCATTGCACTCCAGCCTGGGTGACAGAGCGCAACTCCATCTAAAAAACAGATTAAAAAAAAATTTTTTTTTTAAACCTGAAAGCTCAAGAAGACAAGAAATTAGTAAGGATATGGAACATTTCAATAACAAAAGTGGCATCTTTGATCTAATCCTTCCTCAAAGACAGGCATTTTTTTTAAAGTATATATGACAAAATTTATCAAAATGCTACTAAACAAAAATTACAGGAGGCATAACAGTTTTGGATTGAGTTCCTGCACTAGGCTTTAACAGACGAGACTAAAAATGAAAACGGAGTTACCCGTGCTAAAGTTCTACTAAGTTGTTCCACTAAGTTGTTATCTGACTTTCCAAGAAATCAGGAAAGAGAGATAACAGCCAATCACCCAAACTGACCAGCTTCAATCTTCAATTGGCATAACTAAAGTCCCTCCGCTTTAACTCTTACACAAAAGAAGTAGCCTGAAGTTAGTTGATACTAACAAATCAGTTACTTTTCTGTTGTTTGATATCCCTGCCTTTGCATTATAAGAACTTTGAAAGGGCTAATAATACACTCTCAGGTCTTTGCTTCTGCTTTTTTAAGCCCTTCTCTGACTATAAAGCCAAATTCTTCCACTCAGCTCATTGGTACACTTATTCTATTTTAGGAAATGAAGAGTTGCTGGACTCTAGAATAGCAATAAAGACTATTGAAGTCTTTAAACTATATTTATTCTAATTTTGTCCTTTAACAGATGTGGCTACCACAAAGGGACCTGAAGGAGACTGCTGAAGACCCTGAGACCCTAAGCTCTGCTAACCCCTTTTTGGATGAGAATCTGTCTTCTCATGGAGCCTAAAGAGTTGTGAAGATGGGTATGGTGGCTCACAGCTGTAATCCCAACACTTCGGAAGGCTGAGGCAGGTAGGCTGCTTGAGCCCAGGAGTTCGAGATAGCCTGGGCAACATGGTAAAACACATCTCTACAAAAAAAAATACAAAAATTAGCTGGTTGTGGTGGTGTGCACCTGTGGTCCCAGCTACTCAGGAGGCTGAGGTGGGAGGATCGCTTGAGCCCAGGAGATCAAGGCTACAGTGAGCCATGATCAAGACATTGCACTCCAGCCTGGGCAACACAGTGAGACCCTATCTAAAACAAACAAACAAACAGAAAAAATAGAGTCGTGAGTAAACCTCTCTCAGGTCTGAGCTCTGCTCTTTTGCCTTTGATCTCTCTGATCTCTTTGCCTTTTGGGATACCAAGGGTTAGTTTGTGTTGTGAGAGAGCACTTGATGATGAGACAGCTAGGGTTAGTTTGTACTGTAGCATGGCACATGACTTTTGGGTTTGTGGTGGCTGACAAGTCACTGGCAAGGGTTGCATCTTTTTGCTTCCTCTTTGGCGACATTTCATGTGTGGTTCTATAAAAGTCTTGAGCCAAGCCCCCAAGAATATGGCTGGACAGAAATGTGGGTTACACCTCACTTGCTACTAATATATGGACGGACAGAAATAGAGGTTGCGTTATATTTGTAGTTAGCGTAAAGAGCTACAGTTTTATAAGGCAGAATCACCCAAAAAATTCTGGAGATAATCCTCCAGTGACTTACACTTCCTGGACAAAAATTGAGCTTATGGCCTAGAACCCATCTACTGAAAAGTAAGCAGATTAAACAATACGAATTATTTACTCAACACCAATTTTCTTCTTTTTTGTGACTGAAAGAAACCCAACCTGGCAATCTTCCTTGCAACTAGGAGAGTCTATGTTACACAGTGCTAGTAAGAAGATGCAAGAGGCCGGGCACAGTGGCTCACGCCTGCAATCCCAGCACTTTGGGAGGCCGAGGTCGGCGGATCACGAGGTCAGGAGATCGAGACCATCCTGGCTAATATGGTGAAACTCTGTCTCTACTAAAAATACAAAAAATTGGCCGGGCATGTTGGCACGTGCCTGTAGTCCCAGCTACTCAGGAGGCTGAGGCAGAAGAATCGCTTGAACCCGGGAGACGGAGGTTGCAGTGAGCCAAGATTGTGCCACTGCACTCCAGCCTGGGCAATAGAGCGAGAACCTATCTAAAAGAAAAAAAAAAAGATGCAAGTGGAAATTGCTGCATGGAATTTCTGGGGATGCTATTGCTTTCTTGATGAAATTGTACTTTTTACTTCCCCCTTATTATAGCCTGGAACAAAGACATGATGCGCACATAAAGAGTAGTTATTAGGGATGCTCAACCAGTAAGTATAATGCAAATATTCAAAAAAATTTTCCAAAATCCAAAACACCTCTGGTTCCCAGCTTGTGGATAAGGGATACTCAACCTTTTACTGGCCACCAGTAAAAACCTTGCTTGAAGGGGTCAGAGAAGGATTCCCAGAGGAAGTCATCCTTCAGTTTTCTTCAAGAATAAGAAAGAGCTTGTCAAATAGAACAAGCAAGGAAAGGGCATACTGAGCAGGTGTAAAAGCATGTGCAGAGTCTCAGAGGAATAAGAGCATGGGATATTCTAAGGAATGGTGAGAAACTGGGTTTGGCTCAAGGCCTGGTGGGTACATGTTAAGGAATTGCAAGCTTGTGATGAGCCTAGCATGGAAAGCAAGAACCAGAAAATAAAAAATTTTTAGGGCAAGGCACAGTAGCTCATGCCTGTAATCCCAGCACTCTGGGAGGCTGAGACAGGAGGATCACTTAAACCCAAGAGTTCAAGGCCAGCCTGGGAAACATGGTGAAACCCCATCTCTACAAAAAATACAAAAAACGTTACCCAGGCATGGTGGTGCATGTCTGTGGTCCCAGATACTTGGGAGGCTGAGATGGGAGGATCACTTGAGCCTGGGCAACAAAGCAATACCCTGTCTCTACAGAAATAAAAATAGTCAGGCATAGTGGTCCCAGCTACTTAGGAAGTAGGTCTTGAACACCTGGCATTAAGGGATCCTCCTGCCTCGGCCTTCCAAAGTGCTAGGATTACAGGTGTGAGCCACTACACTAGGCCGAGTATTTATCATTTATATGTATTGGGAACATTTCAAGTCCGCTCTTCTACCTACTTAGAAATATACAATACATTGTCCAGGCACGGTGGCTCACGCCTGTAATCCCAGCACTTTTGGAGGCCGAGGCGGGCAGATCACAAGGTCAGGAGATCAAGACCATCCTGGCTAACACGGTGAAACCCCATCTCTACTAAAAATACAAAAAATTAGCCGGGCATGGTGGCAGGCGCCTGTAGTCCCAGCTACTCGGGAGGCTGAGGCAGGAGAATGGCGTGAACTGGGGAGGCGGAGCTTGCAGTGAGCCGAGATCAAGCCACTGCACTCCAGCCTGGGCAAAAGAGCCAGACTCCGTCTCAAAAAAAAAAGATATATACAATACATTATTAATGATAGTCACCATACTCTCCTATTGAATATTATAACTTTTTTTTTTTTTTTTTTTTTTGGAGATGGAGTTTCGCTCTGTCACCCAGGCTGGAGTGCAGTGGCATGATCTCGCCTCACTGCAATCTCCGCCTCCCAGGTTCAAGCAATTCTTCTGCCTCAGCATCCTGAGTAGCTGGGACAACAGGCACATGCCGCCACACCCAGCTAATTTTTTGTATTTTAGTAGAGATGGAGTTTCACTGTGTTGCCCAGGCTGGTCTCAAACTCCTGAGCTTGGGCAATCTGCCCACCTTGGCCTCCCAAAGTGCTAGGATTACAAGCATGAGCCACCGCGCCCAGCCGCTTTTTTTTTTTTTTTTTTTTTTTTTTTTGAGACCGAGTCTCACTCTGTCACTCAGGCTGGTTGCAGTGGTGCAATCTCGGCTCACTGCAACCTCCACCTCCTGGGTTCAAGCGATTCTTGTACCTCAGCCTCCCAAGTAGCTGGGACTACAGGCACGTACCCACCATGCCCAGCTAATTTTTTTTGTAATTTCAGTAGAGACAGGGTTTTGCCATGTTGGCCAGGCTGGTCTTGAACTCCTGGCCTCAAGTGATCTGCCCTCCTTGGCCTCCCAAAGTGCTGAGATTACAGGCATGAGACACTATGCCCAGCCTATAACTTACACTTTCTATCCAACTATATGTTTGTACCTATTAACCAACTTTCTCTATCCCACGCACCCTTCCCAGCCTCTGGTAACTATCATTCTACTCTTTACCTCTATGAGATCAACTATTTCAGCTCTCACATATAAGTGAGAACTTGCAATATTAGTCTCTCTGTGCTTGGCTTATTTCACTTAACATAATGACTTCCAGTTCCATCTGCGTTGCTGAAAATGACAGGATTTCATACATTTTTATGTCCAAATAGTGATCCATTTTTTATATATACCACATTTTCTTTTTCCACTTATCCATCAATGAATGCTTAGGTTGGTTCCATATATTTGCTACTGTGAATAGTGCTGCAATAAACATGGAGATGCAAGTATCCCTTTGGTATATTGATTTCCCTTCCTTTGGATAAATACCCACTAATGAGATTGCTGGATCATATGGTAGTTCTATTTTTTACTTTTTTGAGACATCTCCATACTGTTTTCCATAGTGACCATACTAATTTACATTCCCCCCAAGAATATAAGAGTTCCCTTTACGCTGTATCTTCATCAGATCTGGTTTGTTTTTTGTTTGTTCATTTTTGGGGTTTTGGGGTTTGTTGTTGTTGTTATTGTTGTTGTTTTTGAGATGGGATCTCACTCTGTCTCCCAGGCTGGAGTGCAGTGGCATGATCATAGCTTACTGCAGCCTCAACCTCCTGGCTCTAGGGATCCTCCTGCCTCAGCCTCCTGAATAGCTGGGACTACAGGCATGTGCCAGCACACCCAGTTAATTTTTGTATTTTTGGTAGAGACGAGGTTTCACCATGCTGCCCAGGCTGGTCTCGAACTCCGGAGCTCAAGCAATCGCACCTGCCTCCATCTTCCAAAGTGTTGAGATCACAGGCACTGGCCACCGTGCCTGGCCTGTTTTTGTTTGTTTGTCTAAGACAGGGTCCTGCTCTATTGCCAGGCTGGGGTGCAGTGGCATGATCACAGCTCACTCTAGTGTCAATCTGGGCTCAAGCGATCCTCCCACCTAAGCCTCTCGAGTAGCTTAAACTACAGGTGTGCACCACTACATCCAGCTATTTTTTTTTTTTTTTGTAGAGATGGGGTCTTTTTGTCTTTTTGATGGTAGCCATTCTAAATGAGATAAGATAATACCTCATTGTATTGATTTGCATTTCCCTGATTAGCAAATTTTTTATGATGTTGAGCATTTTTCGTATACCTGTTGACCATTCCTATGTTTTCTTTCAAGAAATTTCTGTTCATGTCCTTTGCCCATTTTTAAATGGGATTTTCGGGGTAGGGAGAGATGGTTTTTTATTTTTTACTGTTGAGTTGTTTGAGTTCCTTGTATATTCCAAATATTAGCCCCTTTTTGGATAAATAGTTTACGAGTATTTCCTCCCATTCAAAAGGTTGTCTCTTCACTCTATTGTTTCCTTTGCTGTGCAGAAGATTTTTAGTCTAATATAGTCCCATTTGTCGATTTTTGGTTTTGCTGCCTATACTTTTGAGGTCTTTGCCATAAAATCTTTGCCTAGACCAATGTCTTGAAGTGTTTCCTCTGTTTACTTTTCTTTCTTTTTTTTTTTTTTCTTTTTTTGAGACAAGGTCTCTCTCTCTTACCAAGGCTGGAGTGCAGTGGCTTGATCATAATTCACTGCAATCTTGAACTCCTAGGCTCAAGAAATCCTCCCACTTCAGCCTCCCAAGTAGCTGGGACTACAGGTGTGCACCACCATGGCTGGCTAATTTTTTATTTTTTTGAGTCAGGGTATCACTCTGTTACCCAGGCTGGAGTGCAGTGGTGTGATCACAGCTCACTGCAGCCTCAACTTCCTAGGCTCAACCAATCCTCTCACCTCAGTCTCCCAGGTAGTTGGGACTACAGGCACACGCCACCACACCCAGCTAATTTTTTTGTATTGTTTGCAGAGACAGGGTTTCACCACGTTGGCCAGGCTAGTTTCAAGCTCTTGAGCTCAGGCAATCTGCCTGGCTTGGCCTCCCAAAGTGCTGGGATTACAGGCATGGGCTACTGCACCCAGCCATTTTTTTTTTTTTTTCTAAAGACAGGGTCTCACTATATTACCCAGACTCATCTCGAACTCCTGGGCTCATGTGATCCTCCTGCCTTAGCCTCCCAAAGTACTGGGATTATAGGTGTAAGCCACTGTGGTCTAATTTTTTTTTTTTTTTTTTTTTTTTTTGTAGAGACAAGGTCTCACTATGTTGCTCAGTATTCTTTTTTTTTTTTTTTTTAAGACCCAGAATAACATGCTGAAACCCCTATGTTTTCTTCTAGTAGTTTTGTAGTTTGGGGTTTTACATTTAAGTCTTTAAATTATCTTTATTTTATTTTATTTTATTATTTGAGACAGAGTCTCACTCTTTTGCCCAGGCTGGAGTGTACTGGTGTGACTGGATTTGACTTTTGTATATAGTAAGAGATGGAGATCCAGTTTCATTCTTCTGCATATATAATATACCATGTTCTCAGCACCATTTATTCAAGAAAGTGTCTTGTCCCCAGTGTACGTTCTTGGTACCTTTGTTGAAAATCAGTTGGCTGTAAACACGTGGATTTATTCTGTTCCATTGGTCTATGTGTCTGATTTATACAAATATCATGCTGTTGTGCTCAGTATAGCCTTGTAATATATATTGAAGTCAGGTAGTATGATGCCTCCAGCTTTGTTCTTTTTGCTCAGGACTGCTTTGGCTATTTGGTCTCTTTTTTGTTTCCATACAAAATTTTAGGACTGCTTTTTCTATTTCTGTGAAAAATGACATTGGTATCTTCTTTTTTTTTTTTTTTTTTTTTGAGATGGAGACTCACTCTGTCACCCAGGCTGGAGTGCAGTGGCGTGATCTCGGTTCACTGCAACCTCCACCTCCCAGGCTCAAGCGATTCTCCTGCCTCAGCCTCCTGAGTAGCTGGGATTACAGGCACACACCACCACACCTGGATAATTTTTGTATTTTTAGTAGAGATGGGGTTTCACCATGTTGGCCAGGCTGGTCGCAAACTCCTGACCTCAGAAGATCCGCCTACTTCGGCCTCCCAAAGTGCTGGGATCATGAGCCACCGTGCCTGGCCTTTTTTTTTTTTTTTTTTTTTTTTTTTTGAGACGGAGTTTCACTCTTGTTGCCCAGGCTGGAGTGCAATGGCCCGATCTTGGCTCACCGCAACCTCCACCTTCCGGGTTCAAGCGATTCTCCTACCTCCCCTCCCGAGTAGCTGGGATTACAGGCATGTGCCACCACACACAGCTAATTTTGTATTTTTAGTAGAGACAGGTTTTCTCCATGTTGGGCAGGCTGGTCTCGAACTCCTGACCTCAGGTGATCCTCCTGCCTTGGCCTCCCAAAGTGCTGGGATTACAGGCATGAGCCACTGTGCCCAGCCAACATTAGTATCTTTTTTTTTTTTTTTTTAGACAGAGTCTCACTCTGTCACCCAGGCTGGAGTGCAGTGGCACAATCTCGGCTCACTGCAACCTCTGCCTCCCAGGCTCAAGCGATCCTCCCGCCTCAGCTTCCCAAGTACTTGGAACTACAGGCATGTGCCATCATGCCTGGCTAATATTTGTATTTTTAGTAGAGATAGGGTTTCACCATTGTTGGCAAGGCTGGTCTTCAACTCCTGGCCTCAATCCACCCACCTTGGCCTCCCAAAGTGCTGGGATTACAGGAGTGAGCCGCTGCGCCTGACCCAACATTGGTATCTTGATAGGGATTTCACTGAATCTGTAGATTGTTTTTGGGTAGCATGGTCGTTTTAACAATATTAATTCTTCCAATCCATGAGCATAAGATATCTTTCTATTTTTTTGTGTCCTCTTCAATTTCTTTCATTAGCGTTTTGCAGTTCTTCTTGTAGGGTCTTTCACTTTCTTGGTTACATTTATTCATAGGTATTTTATTATAATTTTTGTAGCTGTACTGTAATTGGGATTGCCTTCTAGATTTTTTTCAGCTAATTAGTGGTGTATAGAAATGCTGATTTTTGTGCATTGATTTTTGAATCCTGTAACTTTACTGAATTTATCAGATCTAAAAGATTTTGGTGGAATCTTTAGGTTTTTCTAGATATAAGATCATTTTATCTCCAAAGAGGAACAATTTGACTTCCTCTTTTCCAATTTGGATGCCTTTTCTTTCTTTCTCTTACCTCACTGTTGCAGCTAGGACTTCCAGTACTATGCTGAATAGGAGTGGTGAAAGTGAGCATCCTTGTTCCAGTTTTCAGAGAAAAGGCTTTCACAGCTTTTCCCTATCAGTATGCTATTAGGTGTGGGTTTGTCATATATGGCCTTTATTATGTTGAGGTATGTTCTGTCTATGACTAGTTTGTTGAGAGTTTTTATCATAAAGGGATGTTGAATTTTATAAAATACTTTTTCTAGATTTTGAAGGTTACCTTAACTCTGACTACCTGGAACAGTTAAATTCTGAAATGGCTGGTTTGATATGAGACAGACAAGCAAAGCTTCTTGGTTACAGACACACATAAGTGTTGCTCATAGATGTTGGGGTTTGGGGATGGTTCTGAATACTTCCAAGTAGTCTTTTTGGGAGCATTTAATTTTTGTTCCCCAAACAGTATTGGTATATACTGACATCTCAGTCACCCAATGACTCTGAAAACTGGTATGTCAGAAATACCTAATAGGCTTTCTCCTAACTTTTACCTTTAAGTAGAACATCTACTATCTCACATCATCCTTACTGCCCAGTTCTTAGCCATCTTAACAAAAGTTACTTCATATAATTCCATGACTATAGAGCTAAACTCTTTTCTGATAGAGTAGTTATTAAAACATAGAAGCACTGGCTGGGCACGGTGGCTCACGCCTGTAATCCCAGCACTTTGGGAGGCTGAGGCAGGTGGATCACCTGAGGTCAGGAGTTCGAGACCAACCTGGCCAACATGGTGAAACCCCATCTCTACTAAAAATATAAAAACTAGCCAGGCATGGTGGTAGGCACCTGTAATCCCAGCTACTTGGGAGGCTGAGACAGCAGAATTGCTTGAACCCAGGAGATGGAGGTTGCAGTGAGCTGACACGGTGCCACTGTACTCCAGCCTCAGCGACAGAGTAAGACTCTGTTAAAATAATATCACATACCACTGATGAAGACACTTTTTTAAGTTTTTAACTTTTAATAAAAGTTTTAAGTTCAGGAGTACACATGCAGATTTGTTACATAGGTAAACTTGTATCATGAGGGTTTGTTGTTCAGATTATTTCATCACCTAGGTATTAAGCCTAGTACCCATTAGTTATTTTCCCTGATCCTCTCCCTCCACTCTATGATAGGCCCCATTGTGTGTTCTTCCCCTCTATGTGTCCATGTGTTCTCACCATTTAGCCCCCACTTATAAGTGAGAATATGCAGTATTTGGTTTGATGAAAACTTTTACAGTGAGATCTCAGAAAGGCATACAGAGAAATAAACACAACCATGAAATAAGATACTGATAATCTGAGGAAAAACCTTAAGTATTTTAGATTCAGACTACAACAATAATCAACATTTAAAAGAGAAAAGATTCACTCTCTAGACAATTTCATAAGTTACTGTTTGGAAAGTTAAAAAATTAGTCAGTTTTTAGTACAGTTGTGACACTGAGGCCACCGTAGAAGCACCAGCATTTTGAGATCCAGTATCTAAGTTTTCAGACAAAGCTCCCAAACAGAAAATATAAAAACCTTTACCTATTCAAGCACAAAAATAAAATATCCCAAAATAACATAACATTCACTTACTAAAATGTTCCTCTTACTTTCCTTAAACCACAACTGTTACAACACTGCAAGAAATTTACAGTTTGCATGACAAACTGCATATGCACTAAATAATAAATGTATAACCATGAATGCGAATGAATCAATTTTTCAGTATCAAG
Source organism: Homo sapiens (assembly GCF_000001405.40). Lineage (NCBI taxonomy): Eukaryota > Metazoa > Chordata > Mammalia > Primates > Hominidae > Homo > Homo sapiens. The sequence goes on from NC_000001.11 coordinate 45,439,293, forward strand.
CAGATGGCAGATACTAGCTCTTTTAGTTTCTACATCTTTGAAGCTCAGTTTTCTCATTTATGAAATGAAAGTGTAACTACTTACAAGATTGTTATAGATACTATGCAATAAAATATATACATGTTCTTAATACAGTACCTAGCTCAAAGAAATAGCTCCATAGATATCAGCTACCTATATAACAGAAATAATAACTAGCCCTTAAATAGGGTGAATTATTTATAACATTATTCTAATGCTTTACGCATAATAGTTCATTATATTTTCTCAACAACTCTAAAGGTAGATATTATTACAATCCTCATTTTGCAGATGAGGAAACGGAGGCACAGAAGTCAAGGTCAGAAAGTTTGTAAGTGGTACAGCCAAGACTCAAACCCAGCTAGGCATGGTAGCAAACACCTGTAGTCCCAGCTACGCAGGAAGCTGAGACAGGAGAATTGCTTGAGCCCGGGAGTTCAAGACAAGGCTGGGCAGCATAGCAAGACCCCATCTCTCAAAAAAATTTAAAAATTAGCCAGGCATGCTGGTGGTACATGCCTGTAGTCCTAGCCATTCAAGAGGCTGAGGCAGGAGGATCACTTGAGCCCAGCAGTTCCAGGTTACAGTGAGCTAAAGTTGTGCCACTGCACTCCAGCCTGGGCAACAAAGCAAGCGCCCCCCCACTGCCACTTTTTTTTTTTTTGAGACAGAGTATCGCTAGGTCACCTGGGCTGGAGTGCAGTGGCATGATCTTGGCTCACTGCAATCTCTGCCTCAAGCGATTCCCATTCCTCAACCTCCGGAGTAGCTGGAATTACAGACATGCACCAGTACACCTGGCTAACTTTTGTACTTTTTGTAGAGACGGGGATTCACCAAGTTGACCAGGCTGATCTCAGACTCTTGGCCTCATGTGATCTGTCCGCCTCTGCCTCCCAAAGTGCTGGGATTAAGGTGTGAGCCACCACACTTTGCCAAGGCCCCCCCAAAAAAAGGTATCATTGCTCCAATAAAAGCCTGTATAAAACATACAGAACGGACAAAGGAGGGAATGATCAATCATGCTATGAAAACTATGATAATGGTAAGAAAACAAGGCATCTCATTTCACATAATCATCAAAAATAAAATCACACCTAAAAAATAGTGGGGCCAGGGGCTGGGCGCGGTGGCTCATGCCCGTAATCCCAGCACTTTGGGAGGTCAAGGCAGGTGGATCACTTGAGGCCAGGAGTTCAAGACCAGCCTGGCCAACATGGCAAAACCCCGCCTCTACTAAAAATATAAAAAAATTAGCTGGGCATGGTGGTGTGTGCTTGTATTCCCAGCTACCCAGGAGGCTGAGGCAGAAGAATCACTTAAACCGGGGAGGCAGAGGCTGCAGTGAGCCAAGATCGCACTACTGTACTCCAGCCTGGGTGACAGAGCAAGACTCGGTCTCAAAAAAAAAAAACAAACAAACAAACAAACAAAATATATATATATTTGTACCACTGCAGGTGACAGAGTGAGATCCTGACACTCTCGTTTGCTGACTTTAATGAATCAGGCAGCCACACTGTGTGCTGTCATAGAGAAAAGGCCACAATGGCAAGGAACTGAAGGCAGCCTTCAGCAAGAACTTGAGGCCCTCAGTTCAGTGACCTGCAAGGAACTGAATGCTTCCAACAACCACATAAAGTTAGTAGCAGATCCTTCCCCAGCTGAACTTCACATAAGAGAGCAGCTCTGACTGACACCTTCACTGTAGCTTTCAGAGACCTTGAAGAAGGCAATCCAGTAATCCAGTTGAGTCAGACTTGGACTCTTAAACTACAGAAAAAGATATAATAAATATATGCTCTTTTAAATCACTACATTTGTGGTAATATTGCTTTGTTGTTGTAATTTTGTTTTTTTGTTTGTTTGTTTTTTGAGACAGAGTCTCGCTACATCGCCCAGGCTGGAGTGCAATGGCATGATCTTGGCTCACTGCAACCTCTGCCTCCCGGGTTCAAGCAATTCTCCTGCCTCAGCATCCTGAGTAGCTGGGATTACAGGTGCCTACCATCACGCCCAGCTAATTTTGTATTTTTAATAGAGATGGGGTTTTGCCATTCGCCATGTTGGTCAGACTGGTCTCGAACTCCTGACCTCAGGTGATCCGCCTGCCTCGTCCTCCCAGTGTGCTGAGATTACAGGCGTGAGCCACCGCACCCAGCCTGTTGTTTTTTAATAGAGACAGACTCTTGCTATGTTGCCTAGGCTGGTCTTGAACTCCTGGCCTCAAGCAATCCTTCTGCCTCAGCGTCCCAAAGTGCTGAGATTACAAGCATGAACCACTGCACCCAGCCAAAATTATTCTTTTTTTTTTTTTTTTTTTGAGACAGAGTCTCACTCTGTTGCCCAGGCTGGAGTACAGTGGTGCGATCTCAGCTCATTGCAGCCTCCGCCTCTCAGGTTCAAGTGATTCTCCTGCCTCAGCCTCCGAGTAGTGAGATTACAGGTACGTGCCACCACGCCCAGCTAATTTTTGTATTTTTAGTAGAGACGGGGTTTCACCATGTTGGCCACGCTGCTCTCGAACTCGTGACCTCAAGTGATCCACCTGCACTGGCCTCCCAAAGTGCTGTGCTGGGATTACAGGCATAAGCCACTGTGCCCAGCAAAATTGTTTTTGTTTTGTTTTGTTTTGTTTTTGAGACAAGGTTCTGCTCTTGTTGCCCAAGCTGGATTGCAATGGTGCTATCTCGGCTCACCGCAACCTCCACCTCCCAGGTTCAAATGATTCTCCTGCCCCACCCTCCCGAGTAGCTGGGATTACACGCATGCACCACCATGCCTGGCTAATTCTGTATTTTTAGTAGAGATGAGGTTTCTCCATGTTGGTCAGGCTGGTCTCAAACTCCCAACCTCAGGTGATCCACCCACCTCAGCCTCCCAAAGTGCTAGGATTATAGGCGTGAGCCACCTCGCCTGGCCAAAATTGTTCATTTTTAAAGAGAGACTTTTATGGTATGTGAATTATTTCTCACTAAAGCTTTTTTTTTTTTAAATTTACATTGATACTTTGCTGTGGGATGGGATTCCAGGTTTTATAGTTTTCACAATACATACCAACAGACTTACATCATGGGTAATGACGTGTACTTGAATTATCTCATGAGACTAGAACAATCATTTTCTTACAAGATTTCAAGGAAGGAGACTTTCTAGGAAGTTTCCAATTATACTCCCAAACAAAACTAGGACTATTATAAAAAGAAAGCAAGAGCCTTTTACTGTATCCCAACAGAACCACTCTTTTTTCTTTTTGACATCCTCAACAGAAGCACTCTTAATTTGAAACATTAAACAGGTTGTCGGCCACTGCTACGCTGCAGCTGAAAAGCTTTTCCACTTACTAGAGGGTAGAAGCTGGCACAATTATTCCATTTGCTTTTATTTTCACAACTGCACACACATGTGCCACTTCCACTTCCACATACTTCAGTTCTTCCCTAAATAAATTTCACTAACATCCAAATCGTTCCAATTTTCTTTTTTCTTTTTGAGACAGTCTCTCTCTATCACCCAGGCTGGAGTGCAGTGGCGTGATCTCGGCTTACTGCAACCTCCACCTCCTGGGTTCAAGCAATTCTCCTGCCTCAGCCTCCCAAGTAGCTGGGACTACAGGCATGTGCCATCGCACCTGGCTAATTTTAGTATTTTTAGTAATGACGGGGTTTCAGTATGTTGGCCAGGCTGGTCTTGAACTCCTGAGCGCAGGTGATCTGCCTTTCTTGGCAAAGTTCTGGGATTACAGGAGTAAGCCAACATATCCGGCCTACTTTCATTATTTCTAAGAAGCTAAACACACTTAAAAGAGGAGATTTTCTGTAATCTCAGCACTTTGTGTGGCCAAGGTGGGGGGATCACTTGAGACCTGGCGTGAACCACTGTGCCCGGCCAACTAAGGTCTATTTTTAAGGATGACCAGATGATCCTAAATTCCAAAACTAAATTATTTTAAAGGAAGACAAATAAACTGGCCGGGCATGGTGGTTCATGCCTGTAATCCCAACACTTTGGGAGACCAAGGCAGGAGGATCGCTTGAGGTCAAGAGTTTGAGACCAGCCTGGCCAACATGGCAAAACCCCATCTCTACTAAAAAATACAAAAAAAAAATTAGCCGAACATGTGGTGCATGCCTGTGGTCCCAGCTACTCGAGAGGCTGAGGCAGGATAATCGCTTGAACCCGGAAGGTGGAGTTTGCAGTGAGTTAAGATCACGCCACTGTACTCCAGCCTGGGTGGCAGAGCGAGATCCATCGCAAAAAAAAAAAAAAAAAAAAAAAAAAAGGCATACAAATAAACTACATAAATCCACACTCTAATTGTAAAGTAATCCATCAACCAATCTTTATTTTGCTATCTAGGACAACTAAAAGTCCTTAAGTTACCTGCACTAGAAGTCAAATATTTCCTTTTATCACCACTGATATACTTTTTATTTAACCTGACCTTTAAAGCTCGATAATCATCTGTACTTTGTAATCAAAGATAAAACTAAACATCACCTACCGGTGCACTACAGCTATTAGATCAGGAGTCGGCAATTTTTTCTGTAAAGGGTAAAACAGTAAATATCTTAGGCTTTGAAGGCCAGGTACAGTGGCTCATGCCCGTAATCTCAATGCTTTGAGAGGCCAAGGTGGGAGGATTGCTTGAGGCAGGAGTTTGACACCAGCCTAGGCAACATAGCGATACACTATCTCTACAAAAAAATTTAAAAATTAGCCGGGTGTGGTGGCACATGCCTGCAGTCCTATCTACTTGTGAAGCTAAGATGGGAGGATCCCTTGAGCTCAGGAGTTCAAAGTTACAGTGAGTTATGATCATGCTACTGCACTCCAGCCTGTGTGACAAAATGAGACTCTATTAAAAAAAAAAAAAAAAGGCTTTGAGGGCCATATGGTCTCTGTTACAAAGTACTCGATGAGTACAGATGTGTTCCAATAAAACTTTATTTCTAAAACTTTGGTCCAAGGGCTGTAGTTTACCAAATACTGTATCAGACTATATTATATGCAACCAAAAATAAACAGACCTATTCCCCCCTTTCCCATTGATAATGTTTTCACCATAAAATTAAACAATTACTTTCTAAAATACCACAAAATACATTTAACTAGCTTTCTTCTATTTTGTAATAGGCATTCATAGTGGGATAATGCTATCCCTATTGCCTCAAATGAGGAATAACAGCCAACTATGAGATTCAGGTTTAGGATTCAGATTTGAACCACACACACTGTACAGAAAGACTGAGCCAATAAATAAAAATAAAGCATTTAGGTTCACATCCAGAATCTATTTGACCCCAGCAGAGGCAAAAGTTAGTTCACCATATTGGAACATATCCACAACCTAGAATAAAATAACTCCCAGGGAAAATGAAACCGCTTTTGCAAAATTGTAACAGTAAGAGAAATCTAACATCGCTGACTCCATCTTGCTTCTAACCACATAAGCTAAACTGTCCCTGTCCATATCCGGGCATAAGCCAAGCTAACTATGGGAGGAATTTAGCTCATGGTTTAACTTTAAAACAAAGATGATAACAGTCCCTTCAGGAAACTAACCCCCTGCTTGCTTGGGGATGAAACTGCCTTTATAAAACTAACAGACTGGCCACACAGTTAGAATTATGGTTCAGGGGTCATGCAGCCAGAGGTCACAAGATTTGTAACTTCCCCAATTGCTCCTACAGATAACATCACTATTGCAAAACCTAAGACTGGTGTTTGAGTATTTTTCGGACCTTGCATTCTGATGCATCAGATGGCACCACCTGGATTGGCAACCTATAACGAGAAACCAGCTTGACTGGTCTTGTGACACCCCCAACCACCACCATCTAGTAACTAACTCAGTGAAAGAAGGCAGTTTCAACCCACTATGATCTCAACCTTGACCCAACCAATCAGCACTCCCCAATCCCTAGCCCCCTGCCTGCCAAACTATCCTCGAAAAACCCTAGCCTCTAAATTCTTGGGGAGATAGACTTGAGAAATAGCTCTCATTCTCATTGCTTGGCTTGCTCTGTGATTATTAAATTATTTCTCTGCTGCAACTCCTGCTGTTCTCAATTTATTGGCTTTTCTGGGAAATGGGTAAGAAGAACCAGTTGGACAATTACAAAAACATCTACCCTTGAAGATGGGCTTTCAATAAAAAATTAAAACTCAAAGTAGAAACAAAAAGCCACGACCAGGTGCAGTGGCTCACACTTGTAATCCCAACACTTTGGGAGGCTGAGGTGGGAGGATCACTTGAGGCCAGGAATTCAAGACCAGCCTGGGCAACATAATGAGACCCTGTCTCTACCAAAAAAAAAAAAAAAAAAAAAATCAGTGGGCATGGCAGCATGCACCTGTGATCCCAGATACTTGGGAGGCTGAGGCAGGAAGGTCACCTGAGCCCAGGAAGTCAAGGCCACACTAAGCCATGATCACATCACCACACTGCAAACTAGGTGACAGAGCAAGACCCTGTCTCCAAGAAATAAATAAACCATGAAGAAGTACCAGTAAACACAATTAATAGCAGGACTTATGATCTACACTCTAAGAGTTGCAACTAATCTGAAAAGTATATAACAAAAAAAATTTTAAAGGTCAAATTTTACTCAGCTCTTTGCAAGTATATTAGAAAAGTTGTAAGAAATTATAATTTTCTAGTAAAATATAATTTACAAAAATTGTCCTCAGGAGAAACAAAAACTTAAGTAGACCAATTATCCTAGAAGAATAGGAAAAGTTTTCCAAGTACTTGGCACAGAATTTCACAGTGGAATTCTACCAAATATTTAAGAAATAAATCATTTTAATACCACTTAAGCTGTTTCAAAGCATAGAAGAAAAAAAACTTCCTTTTTTTTTTTTTTAGACAGGGTCTCACTATTCTGCCCAGGATAGCTCAAGATATCCAAGGTAGGCGGATCACTTGAGGCCAGGAGTTTGAACCAGCATGGGCAACATAGTGAGACTCCATCTCTACAAAAAAGTCAAAAAAATTAGCTGGGTATATTGTTGCACATCTGTAGGCCTAGCTACTCAGGAGGCTGAGGCAGGAGGATCCCTTGAGCCAAGGAGCTGGAAGCACCAGGGAGCTATGATCGTACTACTGCACTCCAGCCTGGGCAACAGAAAGAGACCCTGTCGTCTCTAAAAAAATTTTAAATAAAAATAAAAAAGAGGAAACATTAAAGCTTAAATGCATATATTAGAAAATATGAAATATTAGGAAAAACTGAGATAAGAATAACATTCCAGATCCTAGAGAAAGAACAAAAAAATAGGACCAAGAAAGTAGGCAAAAGAAAGTAACCGAAGATAGAATTAGAAAACAATGAACTATAAAATGCATACAAACAGTAGGTAATCAGTACAATCAAAGAGTAATTATTTGACTGTCAGGTTCTGCCCAGGGTAAAGCTATCAGCAGGCTTGGCAAATATACAAAGTCAAACTTCCCTAAGGCAGGTACAGGGCAAAACCAAATACCCCTGCCTCCATAATCCATTTTTTAAGCTTTCCATTTATCAGTAAACAACAGCTAGTTTAAAAAAGAAAGAAGGGGTATCCTTTGAAAGAAAACATAAATTTGTGTTAAGTGTGATTTTTTAAAATGGGGCCTCAGCCAGGTACAGTTGTTCACACCTATAATCCCAGTACTTTGGGAAGCCAAGGTAGGGGGATCATGTAAGCCCAGGAGTTAGAGACCAGCCTGGGCAACATAGTGAGACCTCAACTCTACAAATAATTTTAAAAATTAGCCAGGCACGGTAATATGCTAGTAGTCCCAGATACTCAGGAGGCTGAAGCAAGAAGATCTCCTGAGCCCAGGAGTTCAAGGCTGCAGTGAGCCAAGATAGTGCCACTGCACTCCAGACTAGGTGACTGAGTGAGGTCTATCTCAAAAACAACAAAAAATGAAATTTAAAAATATAATTGCTTCTTTCACAGTAACACTTAGCTTAAAACACAAACACATTTACCAAGCTGTACAAAAATATTTTCTTTCTTTATAAGCTTTTTCTATTAAATTTTTTTTTTTTACTCTTTAAACATTTATGTTAAAAACTAAGACACAAACACACACATTAGCCTAGGCCTACAGAGGTCAGGATCATAATATCACTGTCACCCATCTCCACATCTTGTCTCAACAGAAGGTCTTCAGGGACAATAACACACATGGAGCTATCATATCCTATGATAACAGTGCCTTATTCTGGAATATCTCCTAAAGGGCCTGCCTGAGATGGTTTTGCAGTTAACTTTTTTTTTTAATAAATAGGAGTACACTCTAAAATAACAATTAAAAGTATAATGTAGTATATATATAAACCATTAACATAGTCAATTATTATCTTTATCAAGTATTACATTCTGTACATAATTATATGTGCTATACTTTATACAATTGGCACTGTGGTAGGATTATTAGCACCTGCAATACCACCGTCACGGGTAATACATTGCACTATGATATTACAACAGGTACACAATGTCACTAGGCCACAGGAATTTTCCATCTCTATTATAACCTTATAGGACCACCATTTTATATGCAGTCCATCATTGTCTGAAATGTCATTATGACTGTATATACAGGATCTATATGAGAAAAACCACAAAACTCTGATGAAAGACATCAAAGAAGAACTAAATAAAATGGAGAGATATTTCACATTCACAGATAGGAAGACTCAATGTGTGTGTGTGTGTGTGTGTATTTTGTTTTTTTTTTTTGGTAGAGACCTTGTGTCTACAAAAAAAATACAAAAATTAGCCAAGCATGCTAATGCACACTTGTACTCTCAGCTACTCAGGAGGCTGAGGTGGGAGGATCACTTGAGCTTGGTAATTCAAGGCTTCTGTGAGCCATGACCACACCACCGCACTCCAGCCTGGGAGACAGAGTGAGACCCTGTCTCAAAAAAAAAAAAAAAAAAGAAAAAAGAAAAAGAAAACAACCTGATTAAAAAATTGAACAGATACCTCACCAAATAAGATATACAGATGGCAAGTAAGTATTTGAAAAATACTCAACATCATATGTTGTGTTAGGCCATACTTGCACTGCTATAAAGAAATACCTGAGATCAAGTAATTTATAAAGAAAAGAGGTTTAATTGGCTCACAGTTCTGGAAGCTGTATATGAAACACAGTGCCAGCATCTACTTCTGGTGAGGGCCTCTGGAAGCTTACAACCATGGAGGAAGGTGACGGGGTGGGGGCAGCATGTCACATGGGGAGAGTGAGATCAAGAGACAGAGAGGAGGGGGAGGTCCCAGATTCTTTTAAACAGCCAGATGTCACATGAACAAACTGAGCAAGAACTCACTTATCACCGACGGGATGGTACTAAACCATTCATGAGGGATCCACTACCATGATCCAATCACTTCCCACTAGGCCCCACCTTCAACATTGGGAATCACATTTCAACATGAGATTTGGAGGGAACAAACATCCAAACTATATCTTATGCCATTAGATATTTGAAAATTAAAATAACAATGAGATACTACTATATACCACTTAGAATGGCCAAAATCCAAAACACTGACATCAAATACTGACAAGGATATGGACCAACAGGAACTCTTTATTCATTCCTGGTTGAAATGCAAAATGGGGCAGGGTGCAGTGGCTCACGCCTGCAATCCTAGCACGGTGGAAGGCTGAGGCAGGTGGATCACAAGGTCAGGAGTTCAAGACCAGCCTGGCCAAGATGGTGAAACCCCACCTCTACTAAAAACACAAAAATTAGCTGGGCGTGGTAGTGGACATCTGTAATCCCAGCTACTCAGGAAGCTGAGGGAGGGTATTGCTTGAACCCGGAAGGCACAGGTTGCAGTGAGCCAAGATCACACCACTGCACCCGAGCCTGGGTGACAGAGCGAGACTCTGTCTCAAAAAAAAAAAAAAGAAAAAAAAAAAGGAATGCAAAATGGCACTGCCACTTTGGAAGAGTTTGGCAGTTTTTTATAAAACTAAACATATTTTTACCATACAGTCCACCAATTGCACTCTGTGATATTTATCCAAATGAACTGAAAACTTATGTCCACAAAAAAACCCCACACATGCGTGTTGACAGCAGCTTTATTCATAATTGTCAACATATTGAAGCAACCAAGATGTCCTTCAATAGGTGAGCAGATAAGCTGTGGTAGATTGAGACAATGGGATATTATTCAGTGCTAAACAGGAATGAGCTATTAAGCCATGAAAAAGCATGGAGGATAGATTAATTAATTAATTAATTAATTTCATGCTATCAAGAGTGTGGTGATGCATAATTTCTTGAGATTGCTACATTATTATATCCAGGTGTTTCTTTAACCACTGACACCCATTTTACAAGTTTTGATGCACACGTACAAGTGCCTGGAAGTAATTTTAAGACATCTCAATTTCAAAATAGTGAAAGTGTTAGAAATGATGAAATGTAGTAGACAGTTTTTTATGCTTAACTCATCTCGAGTTTATTTCAGTGTTTGAAATTAGGTATAAACATTTAATTTTATCTTTTTTCAGATAGTTAATTGTCTAAATACAATTTTTTAATTAGTCTACTCTCCCCCCAGTGGGTTGAAATTTCATTTTTATCCTTGAATTCTGGTGTGATTGACATTTGAATAGACAGAACAATGGAATAAAACAGAAAATCCAGAAGTAGGCTGAAATATATATGCTAATTTAGTGTATGATAGAGATATTTTCTTAAACTAGTAAGGAAAAGATGAACTAGTCAAAAGATGTTAACATAACTAGGTAGTCATCTGAAAAGCAAATAGAATTGGATCAATGTTTTATACCTTACACTAGGATAAATTCCGAATGGATCAAAAATTTAAATATTAAAATTATAAAAGTTCTATAGCAGAATATGGAAGAATTAATTTTTTTAAAATTAATAGGCTGGGCACAGTGGCTCACGCCTGTAATCCCAGCACTTTGGGAGGCCAAGGCAGGTGGATCACCTGAGGTCAGGAGTTCGAGACCAGCCTGACCAATATGGTGAAATCCCGTCTCTACTAAAAGTACAAAAATTACCTGGGCGTGGTGGCATGAGCCTGAAATCCCAGCTACTTGGGAGGCTGAGGCAGGAGAATTGCTTAAACCCGGGAGGTCGAGGCTGCAGTGAGCTGAGATCGCACCACTGCACTCTACCCTGGGCAACAAAACGAGACTCACAAAACCCACAACTATGCTGCATCAAGTCCATAAAGGCCTCTTAAATAAAAAATTAAACTTCTAAGTAATGGGAATTGTCATAGTTTAATTGGCAAGAAGTACATCTTATAATCAATGGCATCTTATATTCAACGAAATCTGTCATAAAAGCATGAGGAAAACAGTATTTTCAAAACCTCTTAGGCTATATGCAAAATCCACAAGTTGTAAATGAAAAGACTGATATGTTTATTTTGTATTTATTTATTTATTTCTTTTTCTTTTTTTTTAAATTTTATTATTATTATACTTTAAGTTTTAGGGTACATGTGCACAACGTGCAGGTTTGTTACATATGTATACATGTGCCATGTTGGTGTGCTGTTGCCTAGGCTGGTCTTGAACTCTTGGACTCAAGCAATCCTCCTGTCTTAGCTTCCCAAAGTGCTGGGGTTACAGGTGTAAGCCACCACTGCCAAACCAAGGTTTAACTACATAAAAACTAAAATGATAAAAGATGGGCAAGGAGAAAATACTTGCAACATACATAATAAAGAATTACTATCAGGCAGGCGTCAGATGTCCCCAGCACACTGGAGTCTGGGATTTGGTGCTGATGGTGCCTCATCAGCATGGACAAACACTGCCTTACAGCTGGACTTTAGTGTTGGGAGCTGTTAATTATTCTAAAGTTCCATAGATTCATGATTTTATAGTTAGAGTTTATATCTACTTGTGTTTTTAGAGGAAGAACCCAAGGCCAAATTATTTTGAAGTGGGAGTGGGCTGGACCAGAGTCTTCCTGTGCCCTTTTCATGCTGTGTTTGAGGATGTGTCCATTGCTACATCCATGTAACTCATCTGGGGCAGCAGATGTGTGACAGCAAACCATCTAACATTTTTCAGGGATAAAGTTAAGCAGAAGTATGTAGTAAATATGAGTGCAAAAGTGTGGCTGAGCCATATGTGCCCTTGATTTGATTTGGGAAGCCTGAGGGAGGCAGCATTCCTAGCCACATGCTGCCTGCCCAGCACAAGGTAGGGTGGTACCCGGGGTGGTGAAGGGGCAGCTCTGTAGAGCATGGTCTGCCTTAGGACCTGAATTGTCCTCAAAGCGCATGGACTGTGGAAATTGTTCACATGAACCAGAGATATCACTCTTTAGGATTCTATTGGCAGCACCTAAACTGGCTCGACATTTGTGGAGGTGGTGTTTCTTTGAAGCACGAACCTTTGTTTTATAATAATTAAAATCTTTATTTGGTGGCTGGGAGTGGTGGCTCACACCTGTAATCTCAACACTTTGGGAGGCCGAGGCAGGCAGATCACCTGAGGTCAGGAGTTCAAGACCAGCCTGGCCAGCATGGTGAAACCCTGTCTCTACAAAAATATAAAAATTAGCCAGGCATGATGGCAGGTGCCTGTAATCCCAGCTACTCAGAAGGCTGAAGCAGGAGAATCACTTGAATCCGGGAGGCAGAGGTTGTAGTGAGCCAAGATCACACCACTGCATTCCAGCCTGGGAGACAGAACAAGACTCCGTCTCAAAAAAAAAAAAAAATTTATTTGGTATAATTTAATATAGTTTAGAAGCTATCTAATCTGGTTTTTTTTTGGAGGGGCAAACTCTTTTGAAAATATAAGTTTTGCTTTTAATTAAAAATTAAGTCTTAGTTAAAACTCAGGCTGCACAAAATTCTTCAGTTACTTCCCATTACTTTATCAGTAATATTCACCACATCTTCCTAGATGTTTATTGATTACAGTGTTGGGATCAAATTCTGCATTAAATGTATGCAAATACATTGGACAGGCTTTGTGTTTTTCACTGTGAAATGCAATGGTGGCTTGAATAAGAAAGTATCTAGAAGCCAAATTAACATAATAATGACTTCAAAAAAGAATTACTATCAGGATATGTAAAGAACTACAAAAAAAATCAACACAACAGAAGAAGGCAGGTAAGAACATAAGTGAACAAGTTTTATAAATGACCAATAAACAAAAGGACTTCACTAACAATCAGAGTACAAAAATTAAAATGAATTAACAAGTCAGGAAGTTGAAGCAGGAAGATTGCTTGCGGCCAGGAGTTTGACCAGCCTAGGCAACACAGAGAGGGACCCCATCTTAAGAAAAAGCCTGGGCACGGTGGCTAACGCCTATAACCCAGCATTTTGGACTTTGGGAGGCAGGTGCAGGAGGACTGACCAGGCCCAGGAGTTCAAGACAAGCCTGGGCAACATAGCAAGACCCTGTCTCAAAAAAAGAAGAAAAAAAAAAAGCTGAGTGCAGTGGCTCATGCCTATAATGCCAGCACTTTGGGAGACTGAAGCAGGAGGATCATTTGAGTCCAGAAATTCAAGATCAGCCTGGGCAACAGAGCAAGACTCCATCTGTACAAAACACTTTAAAATTACCTGACGTGACAGTAACATGCCTGTAATCCCAGCTACTTGGGAGGCTGGGATGGGAGAGTCACTTGAGTCCAGGAGGATGCAGTCAGCTATGATCACGCCACTGCACTGCCGCCTGGATGACAAAGTGAGATCCTGTCTCTAAGAAAAGAAAAAAAAGAGGCTGGACATGGTGGTGCACACCTGTAATCCCAGCACTTTGGGAGGCAGAGGCAGGCTGATCACCTGAGCCCAGGAGTTCAACACCAGCCTTAACATGGTGAAACCACAACTCTACAAAAAAAAATACAAAAATTAGCCAGGTATGATGCTGTGTGTCTGTAGTCCCAGCTACTCGGGAGGCTGAAGTGGGAGGATCACTTGAGTCTGGGAGGTCAAGGCTGCAGTGAGATAGCACCACTGTACTCCAGCCTAGGTAACAGAATGAGACCCTGTCTCAAAAAAAAAAAAAAAAAAAAAAGAGAGAGAGAGAGATAAACCCTCTCTAACATGGTTAATTGACTGTGACATGAAGGGTGCCAAAACCATTCAATGGGGAAAGGACAGTCTTTTCAACAAATGGTGCTTGTAAAATTTGGTATCCTCAAGCAAAAGAATGAAATTGGACCCTTACTTTATACGATATTGAAAAATTAACTTAAAATGATCAATAACCTAAATGTAAGAGCTAAAACTATAAAACTCTTAGAAGAAAACATTGTGGAAAATCTTCATGATATTGGATTTGGTGATGATTCCTTGGATTGACACAAAAAGCAAAAGGTAACAAAAGAAAAAATTAATTTGACTTAATCAGAATTTAAAATTTCTGTGCAAAAAAGGACACCATCATGGGAGTGAAAAGACAAACTACAAATTGTGAGAAAATATTTGCAAATCATATATCTGGTAAGGGATAAATATTCCCTATATATAAAATATATAAATACAATGCAATTCAAAAATGAGCAAAGGATTCAAATACACATTTCTCCAAGAAGATATACAAAAAAGGTCAACAAGTACATGAAAAGATGCTCAATATCACTAGTTGTTTAGAAAAATGCAAATCAAAACCACAATGAGATACCACTTTTCACACCAAATAGGATGATTACCATGAAAAAGAAAAATAAGTGTCAGTGAGCACATGGAGAAACTGGAACCCTTACATATTGCTGATAGAACTGTAAAATGGCACAACCACTACGGAAAACAGTCTGGTGGGTCCTCAAAAAGTTAAACATAGATTGACTAAGTGAAATAAGGCAGTCAAAAAAAGACAAATACTGTATGTTTTCACTTACATAAGATATCTAGGGTAGTCAAACTCTTAGAAATAAAGTAGGATAGTGGTTGCCAGGGGTTGGGGGGAATGGAGAAATGAGGAGTTGTTTAATGGGTACAGAGTTTCAGTTTTGCAAAATGAAAAAGTTCTGGAGTTTGGAGGCACAACCATGTGTACATACTTAACAGTTGTGTTAAGTATGTACTTAACATAATTAAATACTGTTAAGATAGTAAGAAAAAGATTTATTTTTTATTTTTTTATTATTTTATTTTATTTTATTTTTCCCCCAGAGACAGAGTTTCGTCATGTTGCCCAGGCTGGTCTCAAACTCCTGGGCTCAGGCAATTCTCCCGTCTTGGCCTCTCAAAGTGCTGGGATTACAGGCGTCAACCACAATGCCCAGCCAAAATGGTAAATTTTGTATGTATTTTACCATAA
Source organism: Homo sapiens (assembly GCF_000001405.40). Taxonomy (NCBI): domain Eukaryota; kingdom Metazoa; phylum Chordata; class Mammalia; order Primates; family Hominidae; genus Homo; species Homo sapiens. The sequence goes on from NC_000001.11 coordinate 45,454,612, forward strand.
TCTTTTCTTAAACATAGAATTACTCATATGACTCAGCAATTCTATTTACAGCTAAATACCCAAAAGAATTGCAAGCAAAGAACCAAATAGATACCTGTATATCAATATCCATAGCAGCATTAGTCACAATAGCCAAAAGGTGGAAACAGCCCCACCATCGACAGATAAAATATGACATATATACACAATGCAATATTAGCCATAAAAAGGAATGAAATTCTAATATATGCTACAACATGAATAACCCTGAAAACACTATGCTAAGTGAATTAACTCTAACACAAATGGATAAATATTATATTAACCCACTTATATAAGGTACCTAGAATAAGCAAATTCATAAAAACAGCAAGTAGAAGATATTAGTGGGTGGGAGTGAAACTGCCCCCACAGGGTTCACAAGAAGTGCATGCCAGGTTCTGGACAGAAATATAGTTATAATTAAGCATTAATCAGGCCGCACTTTGGCCCACTTCCTGGTTGCTAAAAGTCATATAGCACTAGATACTGACTATTTGCATTCCTATTGTTCCTACAGAATAGGATTTCTGACATTAGGGTCATAAAACTTTAAGATTTTATTTCTATCCCCATCTTTCCTATAACAGGATCTCTGACATTATAATCATAAGGCTTTTGTTTAAGGATTGCTTAATATGTTTTTCAGACCCCTGAATTCCAGCAACCAGTTTGAAGTCCCCCACAGAGGAACGGGATCTGCAAGAGAATACAGCTTCTTCATCTCCCTGTCCCATGACTTCATCCTGTACTCTTTAACAAATAAACAATTGCCACACTTCGGCCCACTTCAAAACCCTTAAAAAACCTTAGCCCCCATCTCTTACGGGAGATGAATTTGAGGTTTTCCTCCATCTCCTCATTTGGCGGCCCTATGATTAGACCTTTCTCTGCTGCAACCTGGAGTCTCAGCTTATTGACTTGCTGTGTGCATTGGGCAATGAACCCATTTACAGTTACAGAAGGGAGAATTAGTGAGTTAACGTTTCATGGGTACAGAGATTCTGTTTAGGTGATGAGAAAGTTCTGGAAAAGGATAATGGAGATGGTTGTACAACATTGTAAATGTAATTAATGACACTGAACTGTACACTTAAAAAATGGCTAAGATGGTAAATTTATGTTATATATATTTTACTGCAATAAAAAGTATTTTAGAGAAAGACACATTAGAAAGAAAGAAGCTGGAAATGGTACATAGAGACAACTCTATGGAGTTGTTTTGGTCCAAAAAAAAACAAGACATGGGAAAGTATACCTATTAATAAAAGAAACAATAGGGGCTGGGTGTGGTGGCTCTTACCTGTAATCCCAACACTTTGGGAGGCCGAGGCAGGCTGATCACTTGAGCCCAGGAGTTCAAGAACAGCCTGGGCAACAAGGTGAAACCCCAACTCTCCAAAAAATACAAAAATTAGCTGGGCATGGTGTCATGCACCTGTAGTCCCAGTTACTCTGGAGGCTGAGGTGGGGGGATCATCTGAGTCCAGGGAGGTCAAGACTGCAGTAAGCCATGATCACACCACACTGCACTCTAGCCTGGGTGACAGAGCGAAACCCTGTCTCAAAAAATAAAATAAAATAAAATAAAATAATAGAATAAAATAGGTTGGGCGCGGTGGCTCATGCCTATAATCCCAGCACTTTGGGAGGCTGAGGTAGGTGGATCACTTGAGGTCAGGAGTTCAAGACCAGCCTGGCCGAAATGGTGAAACTCTGTCTCTACTAAAAATACAAAAATTAGCCAGGTGTGGTGGCAGGCGCCTGTAATCCCAGCTACTAGGGAGGCTGAGGCAGGAGAATTGCTTGAACCCGGGAAGCAGAGGTTGCAGTGAGCCAAGATTATGCCACTGCACCCCAGCCTGGGCAACAGAGTGAGACTCCATCTCAAAAAAAATAAAAATAAAATAAAATAAAGGGGAAATAACAGAGCCAAAATATTTGGGTTTTTTTTTTCCTTAAAAGAATTTTTTTAACATGTTAATGGTAATACTTAGTAGTGAAAATACAATGTAGAAAAGAGAGGGGAGAATTTCTTAGGCAATGCCTATTAGTAGGCAAGTGGAAATGGAATGTACAATATAAACAGAAATAATGGACTTAGGAGCATGAGTAGTTGATCCATAGTACAAGGTATAAAGGCCAAGTAACTGGGTAAAGATGTGTGTTGATAGCTATTTGTAGTAATGGAAGTCTGCAGAAGTTCTCTTCTGCTTGCTTCAATTTTCTCAGTGAATTGGGAAGCAATTCATTAATTACTGACAATGAGGACTAGTGAGGAAATACTGGGATTTGATGAGAGAAGAAAAGGTACAAAATACTCTCTTGAGGGAGTGAGTGAAACAGGGAAATATGATTGCTTAGGAGCATTATGGGCTCATATTTTTTGAGACAGGGCCTTGCTATGTTGCCCAGGCTGCTCTCAAACTCACAGCCTCAAGCGAGCCTCCTGAGTAGCTCGGGCTACAGGTGCATGCCATTGTACCCAGCTATCAATTTTACTGAAGATAAGCAAACAAAAACTATATATGTGGGTGTGTGTATATATAATTTTAATATATGTATTTAAGGTGTGTGCATAATATATGTATATGCACAGAAAGAGTCCAGAAGTATACATACTGAATTGTTAATAGTGGTTATTACTGGAGAATGTATGTGTGGATACATACACACATGTGTGGCTGGGGGTAGAGGTGAGGTGGAAGAGAATCCTATGTTATTTGAATTTTTAACCAGCATATTATTTTTGGGATTCAAACAAAATATCTTAATATAAGTTAATAAATAGCTTGAAAGGAGAATTTAGAACAGTGTTCAAGATCCACAGCACCTTTATTAGGCAAATCCTACATCCTAATTAAACACAACTATCAACCTGCAGTAAATGTGACCACAGCAAGACAATATGAGAAAAGCTGAAGACTCACTCACCTTGAACACTTCAGAAAAGAAGCCAGACCCTATTTTTTCACAGGTGAAATCATCCAAACGCGTCAGTCTGGAAAAGGCACTTATAAGAGCTCGATACGAAGATGGCCAAACTCTTCCCACCTGGCTCACATTTCCTTCTCCTCCACCACCTCCTTCAAACTCTTCAAGACGCTCCACACGTGGAGGAAATCCTGCAATTGAATTCCGTTTGCTCCGATCCATAGTCTAAATAATCACTTTTTTCTTCTTTTAAGAAGGAACTCCACACATAAATTTTTGTTGAATTTTACTTCTCTTCTGGTTTGACACTAAAGAGATCAAAAAAATTTCCACTGAAATCTTTAATGAATAAATACATGTAAAGCAATAAATGCTCAATGCAAAAATATTTCCTTTCACATTCTAGTTCCTGGTTTTCAGATCTAAAAAATGTTTTATGTCTTTACCCTCAAATAACACTGATATATTTAAAGCCCAAGATATAGTCAGTCTTTACCATGAGTAGAATATCATGAAGATCACCAATTACATTCTAAGTAACAAAATAACAATGATAATATCTATCATTCATTGAGCACCTACTTTCTAGGAAACATAGTATAAGAGCTTGACATACATCATCTCGTTTGATTCTCAGATAATCCATGATATAAGGATTATTATGTTCATTTCACAGAGAGATCAAGAAATCAGTCACTAAAAGGCAGAGATAAAATGGAAGCTGGGTGCAGTGGCTCACGCCTGTAATCCCAGCACTTTGGGAGGCCAAGGCAGGCGGATCACTTGAGGTCAGGAGTTTGAGACCAGCCTGGCCAACATGGTGAAACCCCATCTCTACTAAAAATACAAAAATTAGCCAGGCGTGGTGGCAAGCACCTGTAATCTCAGCTACTCAGGAGGCTGAAGTAGGAGAATCACTTGAACCCAGGACGCAGGGGTTGCAGTGAGCCGAGATCGTGCCACTGCACTCCAGCCTGGGCAACAGAGTGAGACACTGTCTCAAAAAAAAAAAAAAAAATTGAAGTGCAAAGCCTGTCTGATTCAAAAGCCTGTGCTTCTTTCTACCAATCAATACCCTTTATAGCCTCATATAATATTTTATTTCAAAAATTAATTCCAAATATATAAAACAAACATTACAAGGAGACTTCAAAATTATATATTATATAATTTTTAAAAAAGAAAACTATATCCAAAAGCAATCTAAAAATTCACTGTTGATGAAAAAGCACAGTCCAGTAGAAGTAACTATAGAAGGCTCCATCCCATCTGGTACATAACTAAGAATAAAAGCACAAGCCTACTTTTTCTTTTAGCCTGTCTCTCCCTCTTTCTACTTTTTTCCATGAGACTCAATTGTAAGGGTTCTATGCAAAATACAACATTGTGACTCCTCAATTAGTGAAATGCTTTCATAAAGGAGGTGGATACCTACTCAGTTTACCACCACCACTTCTAACCAGCTCTGCAACTCAGAAAAGTGGCAGGAATCCCAGGGCCATCTTAGTAACATGAGTCTGCCTCCTTACCCATTGCCAGAAGTCAGCACCGTACCCAGTGTGTACAACCACAGTTTCTTTCCTGGCAATGTGCAATTGGAATTAAATAGTCCAGTCTCAATATGGCGGCTTTCTAAAATAGAAGCCATGTAAACTCAGAAGCTGCTGGCCAGGGGCATTTTCTATAATACTGCCTGGAAGGCAGAAGAAGTCAAGAGATTGAGGCCAATTTTCAAAGAAAAAAAAAGGAAGGGAACTTTTTGAATTCCCTATTCTGCTCTAATCCCCAATTCTTAAGGCCTAACTGCATCCTGAGGTTCCATGAGATCTACCTGAATCTAGTTAATCTAGTTCTACCACAGTCTTCAAAAAAGGAAGAATACTCTGAGTTCCCAAATAACAAAACATTTAAGTACCTCTATTGAACCTATGCCAAAAAGTGGCATCAGCACCACCAGACCAAATACTTACATCCACAAGAACAAAAATTTAGGGTTAGCTGGCCACAGTAGCTCATACCTATAATCCTAACACTTTGGGAGGCCAAGGCAAGAGGATCACTTGAGCTCAGGAGTTTGAAACCAGTAAGGGCAACATAGTGAGACCTCGTCTGTATGAAAAAATGTAAAAACTAGCCAGGCATGATGGTACACGCCTGTAGTCCCAGCTACACAGGTGGCTGAGGCAGGAGGATTGCCTGAGCCCAGGAGTTTGAGGCTGCAGTGAGCTGTGATAGCACCACTGCACTCCAGCCTGGGCAACAGGGCAAGACCTTGTCTCAAAAAAATTTAGGGTTATAAGACAAAAAATTTGCAGCCACAAAAAAGAATGAAATCATGTCCTTTGCAGCAACATGGATGCAGCTGGAAGCCATTATTCTAAGTGAACTAACACAGAAACAGAAAACCAAATATCGCATGTTCTCACTTATAACTAGGAGCTAAATCTTGAGTTCACATGAACATAAAGATGGGAACAACAGACACTGGAGGCCCCCAAATGGGAGACAGGCAGGGGCTGAAAAACTTCCTATTGGGTACTGTGTTCACTATCTCGGTGGTGGGATCAACAGAAGTCCAAACCTCAGCACCACACAATATACCCTTGTAACAAACCTGCACACATACCTCCTGAATCTAAAATATAAATGGAATTTTAAAAATAAAATAGAGGCTAGGCATGGTGACTCACGCCTGAAAAATCCCAGCACTTTGGGAGGCCAAGGCAGGCAGATCACCTGAGGTCATGAGTTTGAGACCAGCTTGGCCAACATGGCAAAACCCTCTCTCTACGAAAAACACAAAAAAATTAGCTGGGCGTGGTGGCAGTCACCTGTAATCCCAGCTACTCGGGAAGCTGAGGCAGGAGAATAGCTTGAACCTGGGAGGCAGAGGTTGCAGTGAGCCGAGATCATGCCATTGTACTCCAGCCTGGGCAACAAGAGTGAAATTCTGTCTCAAAGTAAATAAATTAAATAATAAAAATAAAATAAAATAGGGTCGGGTGCAGGGGCTCATTCCTTTAATCCAAGCCCAGGCTGAAGTGCAATGGTGCTATCACAGCTCACTGCAGCCTCAAACTCCTGGGTTCAGGCAATCTTCCTGCCTCAGCTACCTGTGTAGCTGGGACTACAAGCATGTGCCATCATGCCTGCCAGTTCAAGACCAGACTAGGCAACACAGCAAGACCCCTCATCACTAAAAAAATAATAATAATTTTAAAAACCAAATTTTCTTAATTTTAGAGCCAGTAGAAAACATCAACTTCAGTCATTCATTTTATATTTGAAGAAACATAAGGCCCAGAAAGTGCAAATGCTAAAAGTTAATGCTATAACCTATTTACTAGCAAAGCTAGACTTGAAACCAAAAAGCCAAGGGTAGTGTATTTCTCAAAGTATGTCTGTTGATAATGTGCTTCAAACTACCTGAGGAGCTTGTTTAAAACCCAGAGTCATGGGTCATAATAGCTTTTTTTTTGGAAACACAAGGTTTCACTGTATTGCCCAGGCTGGTCTTGAACTCCTGGCCTCAAGTGATCCTCCCACCTTAGCCTCACAAAGTGCTAAGATTACAGGTGTGAACTGCCCCTGGCCACTGTTTTTTTTTTTTAAACATCAGGAATTTTAAAAGCATTTCCTCATTTAATCTCAAAACGTGGCCAGGCACGGTGGCTCACACCTGTAATCCCAGCACTTTGAGAATCCCTTGAACCCAAGAGGCAGAGATTGCAGTGAGCTCAGATCACACCACTACACTCCAACCTGGGTGACAGAGCAAGACTCCGTCTCAAAACAACAACAACAAAAAAACCCAGCAAGGTAGGTCTGATCTCCATTTTACAGAAAAAGAAATACAGGCTCAGAAGATGAAGTAACTTGCTAAGGATACAGAGCTAGTAGAACCAGAACTGGAACCAAGTTCTATCCAGCACCAAAGCTCAAACTTCTTCCATTTCATTATTACTTAGCTCAGTATTTTTCCACTATGAGAGCTGTAGAAAGAACAGAGACTTAAGTGCAGAGGAAGGCTAGGCTGATTATAATTTGAACAGAGACAGAAAAGAAAAAAGAAACTTTAGAAAAATAAAAGATATTGAAGTAATATACAAAACATATGTAAAGTACATAAAACATCGTTGACTATATAAAACATAGTTGTCTGCTAAACTGAACAATTCGATGTTTGCCATCAACTGACTTTTTCATTTTTGAGATATAAACTCTTTAATTTTTATGTGTACATAGTAGGTATATATATTTACAGGGTACATGAGATATTTTGATACAGGCATACAATGTGTAATAATCACATCAGGGTAAATGAGGTATCCATCACCTCAAGCATTCATCATTTCTTTGTGTTACAAACATTCCAATCGTACTCTCCCAGTTATTCTAAAATATACAATGAATTATTGCCGACCGTAGTCATTCTGTTGTGCTATCAAATACTAAATCTTATTCATTCTATCTAACTATATTATTGTACCTATTAACCATCCCATTTCCCACTCAACACCCCCAACACACTACCCTTCCCACCCTCTGGTAACCATCATTCTATTCTCTATCTCCATGAGTTCAATTGTCTTAATATTTAGCTTCAGCAATGCGTAAGAACATGCAAAGTTTGTCCTTCTGTGCCTGACTTATTTCACTTAACATGATGTCCTCAAGTTCCATCCATGCTGTTGCAAAAAAAGGGATCTCTTTTTTTTTTTATTTTTTAGATGGGGTCTCGCTCTGTCGCCCAGGATGGAGTGCAGTGGCGTGATCTCCGCTCACTGCAAGCTCCACCTCCCAGGTTCATGCCATTCTCCTGCCTCAGCCTCCCGAGTAGCTGGGACTACAGGCGCCTGACACCACACCCGGCTAATTTTTTGTATTTTTAGTAGAGACGAGGTTTCACCGTGTTAGCCAGGATGGTCTCGATCTCCTGACATTGTGATCCGCCCACCTCGGCCTCCCAAAGTGCTGAGATTACAGGCGTGAGCCACCGCGCCCGGCAGAGGATCTCATTTTTTTATGGCTGAATAATCCATTTGTGTAGGTGCCACATTTTCTTTATCCATTCATTTGTTGAACATTTAGGTTGCTTCCAAATCTTGGCTATTGTAAACAGTGCTGTAATAAACATGGGAGTGCAAACGTCTCTTCGCTATACTGATATCCTTTCTTTTGGGTATATATTCAGCAGTGGGATTGCTATATCACATTGTAGCTCTACTTTTACTATTTTGAGGGACCTCCATAGTGTTCTCCATAGTGGCTGTACTAATTTACATTTCTATCAATAGTGAACGAGGGTTCCCTCTTCTCCACATCTTGGTTAGCATTATTTGCCCATCTTTTGAATAAAAGCCATTTTAAGGGTGAGATGATAACTCATTGTAGTTTTGATGTGCATTTCTCTGATGATCAATATGTTTAGGAACTTTACATAGATCTGTTTGCCATTTGTATGCCTCCTTTTGAGAAATGTCTGTTCAGATCTTTTGCCCATTTTTTAATCAGATTGTTAGATTTTTTCCTATAGAGTTGTCTGAACTCCTTATATTTTCTGGTTATTAATTCTTTGTCAGACGGGTAGTTTGAAATATTTTCTCCCATTCTGTGAGTTGTCTCTTCACTTTGTTGACTGCTTCATTTTCTGTGCAGAAGCTTTTTAACTTCATGTGATCACATGTGTCCATTTTTGCTTTGGTTACCTGTACTTTGGGGATATTACTCAAGAAATCTTTGCCCAAACCAATGTCCTGGAAAGTTTTCCCAATGTTTCCTTGTAGTACTTTCACAGTTTGAGGTCTTAGATTTAAGTCTTTAATCCATTTTGATCAGATTTTTGATTAGGTTTTTCTTCTGCATATGGATATCCTGTTTTCCCAGCACCATTCATTGAAGAGATTGTCCTTTCCCCAGTGTATGGTCTTGGCACCTTTGTTGAAAATGAGTTCACTGTAGGTATATGGATTTATTTCTGGGTTCTCTATTCTGTTCCATCAGTCTGTGTGTCTGGTTTTTTGTTTTTGTTTTGTTTTGAGACAGGGTCTCACTCTGTTGCCCAGGCTGGAATGGAGTGGCGTGATCACAGCTCACTGCAGCCTCGATCTCCTAGGGCTCAGGTGATCCTCCCAACTTAGCCTCCCAAGTAGCTGGGACTACAGGTGCATACAACCACACCCAGCTAATTTTTGTACTTTTTTTTTGTAGAGACAAGGTTTTGCCAAGTTGCCCAGGATCATCTCAAACTCCTAGGCTCAAGCGATCCACCCTCCTCAGCCTCCTAAAGTGCTGGGATTATAGGCATGAGCCACCATGCCCAGCCTATGTGTCGGTTTTTATGCCAGTATTCTCGTGTTGTTTTGGTTACAATAGCTCTGTGGTATAATTTGAAGTCAAGTAATGTGATTCCTCCAGTTTTGTTCTTTTTGCTCAGGAGGCTTTTGGCTGTTCTAGGTCTTTTGTGGTTCTAAAATTTGAGGATTTTTTTTCTATTTCTGTGAAGAGTGTCACTGGTATTTTGATGCAGACTGCACTGAATCTGTAGATCGTTTTAGGTAGTATGGACATTTTAACAATATCGATTCTTTCAATTCATGAACATTAAATATCTTTCCATTTTTTGGTGTCCTCTTCAATTTCTTTCATCAATATTTTATAGTTTATAGCCTGGCCAACATGGTGAAACCCCGTCTCTACTAAAAATACAAAAATTAGCCAGGCATGGTGGCACACCTGTAGTCCCAGCTACTCAGGAGGCTGAGGCACAAAAATTGCTTGAAGCCGGGAGGCAGAGGTTGCGATGAGCCAAGATCACATCACTGCACTCCAGCCTTGGCGACAGAGCAAGACACTGGATAAAAAAAAAAAAAAAAAGTCTTATAGTTTTCATTGTAAAGATCTTTCACTTATTTGGTTAAGATTGTTCCTAGGTATTTTATCCTATTTGAAGCTGTTGTAAATGGGATTACCTTCCTGATTTCTTTTTCAGATTGTTTGCTGTTGGCACACAGAAATGCTACTGATTTTTGTATACTGATTTTGTATCCTACAACTTTACTGAATTGTTATCAAGATATGTTTCATTCGTAACAAAATACCTTACTAACCTCCTCAGTGCCCTCAGGGTTCCCTGAGAGTGGCAAATCCTAGTTTTCCATATTACAGCACAGAAGACAGAATTGCTCATTGCAGCTCAATGGGTCTGGTTTTACATTCTCAGCTAGCTAGGAAGAGGTAAGAAACTGCTAACTGTGGCAGGGCACAGTGGCTAACTCCTGTCATCCTAGCACTTTGGGAGGCCAAGGCAGGTGGATCACTTGAGGTCAGGAGTTCCAGACTGGTCTGGTCAACATGGCAAAACCTTGTCTCTACTAAAAATACAAAAATTAGGCCAGACACGGTGGCTCACATCTGTAATCCCAGCACTTTGGGAGGCCAAGGCAGGTAGATCACCTGAGGTCAGGAGTTCGAGACCGGCCTGGCCAACATGGTGAAACCCCGTCTCTACTAAAAATACAAAACTTAGCCAGCATGGTGACACACATCTGTAATCCCAGCCACTCAGGAGGCTGAGGCATGAGAATCACTTGAACACAGGAGGCGAAGGTTGCAATGAGCCAAGATCACGCCACTGCACTCCAGCCTGGGAGATAGAGCAAGACTCCATCTCAAAAAAAAAAGAAAAAGAAAAGAAAATTAACCAGGCATGGTGGTGTGCACCTGTAGTCCCACCTACTCAGGAGGCTAAGGCAAGAGAATCACTTGAACCCATGAGGCAGAGGTTGAAGTGAGCTGAGATGGCACCACTGTACTCCAGCCTGGGTGACAGAGTGAGACTCCAAAAAAGAAAGAGAGAGAGAGAGAGAGAGAGAAAGAGAAAAGAGATGGAAGGAAGGAAGGAAGGAAGGAAGGAAAAAAGGAAAGGAAGAAGAAAGAGAGAGACAAAGAAAGAAAGAAAAAGAGAAAAAGAAAGAAAGAAAGAATGCTAATTGCAACTGAGCTGCTTTGGTAGGAGTCTTGTTAGAAGTTTTACAATAGCACAATAGACTAAATTTTGGTATTTGTATCTTGGTTCACAGCACTTTTCAAGAGGGGTAAATGTATTTCTTAAATGTTATATGCTTAGAGATACTCTTGCACATAAACACAAGAGGCCTGAATAAAGATATTCATTTCATTTTACCAGTGTGTGTAATCAGCGGAAAGAAAGGAAACAACCTAAAGTTCATCTGTAGGAGTAATAGATAATAAACTGTGGCATATTACTCAATAAAACATACAGCACTTAGATGAACAAATTATAAGTAGCAATGTGAATGTATTTAAAAAGTAATGTAGAGTTGGGGAGAAAAGCAAGTTGTAGTTAGCGATATTATTAAAATTTAATTCAAGAAAAGGTTTTCAAAGAAGTTACTGAAAAAAAATTGCACAACCACCCCACAGTATACCATTTTTATAAAAATGTATTTTAAAAATACACAAAATAATATATACTAATCGGGCATGGTGCCTTACGTCTATAATCCCAACACTTTGAGAGGCCGAGGAGGTGGATAGCTTGAGCCCAGGAGTTCGAGGCCAGTCTGAGCAACATGGTTAAACCTAATCTCTACAAAAAATACAAAAATTGACCAGGCGCGGTGGCTCACACCTGTAATCCCAGCACTTTGGGAGGCCGAGGCAGGCAGATCACAAGGTCAAGAGATCGAGACCATCCTGGCCAACATGGTGAAACCCTGTATCTACTAAAAATGCAAAAAATATCTGGGCGTGGTGGTGTGCACCTGTAGTCCCAGCTACTCAGGAGGCTGAGGCAGGAGAATTGCTTGAACCCAGGAGGCAGAGGTTGAGTGAGCTGAGATCGTGCCACTGCACTCCAGCCTGGGCAACAGAGCAAGACTCCGTCTCAAAAAAAACAAAAACAAAAACAAAAATTACCCAGGCATGGTGGCATGCGCCTGTAGTCCCAGCTACTCAGGAGGCTGAGGCAGAAGCATTAGTTGGGTCCCAGGAGGTCAAGGCTGCAGTGAGCCATGACCACACCACTGCACTCCAGTCTGGGCAACAGAGCAAGACTCTATCTCAAATAATAATAATAATAATATATATTATATATTATATATTACAGAAAAGCAGAATAGCATAGTCATGAATGCTATGACATCTACAGCCAAACAATCTGGGTTCAAATCCTTGCTCCGTAACTTCTAGTTATATGAACTTAGATATGTTATTTAACCTCTCTACATCTCTAGTTCCCTATCTGAAAAATGAAAATAAAAACAGTGCCTACATTTTATATTTATTAACTCATTTAATCCTTACAATAACCACAAAGTTATTGATTAAATGGATAGTACCTAATAAACAATAAGCATTCAACTCCTGTTTGTTATTATAATTATTAAAGATATTACATATTTATAGTGAACATCTAAAAGCATGAACTAAAAATGAAGACACTAAATTCATAATAGTATTTGCCTCAGGGGAAAGAAAGTGAAATGACAAGAAAGGGAAACAAAAGAGACATCCACTATACTAATAAAATTTTGTTTCCTTAACGTGATGAAGTGGCCAAGTGGTTAAGGTGATGGACTGCCAATAATATTTTTGTTTCCTTCTATTGAAAAACAAACCTGTGGCAAATAACACAAAATGATATATCTGTTAATTTTATCATTTTTCATTAATTAATATTTGTTAATTCTGGGTGTTATTTATTATACTGTACTCTTTTCTGCATTTAAATTTTTTTAATTTCAAAAAAGTTTAACAGGTTTGTTGTTTTTTTTTTAAGATGCAGTCTCGCTCTGTCACCCAGACTGGAGTACAGTGGTGCGATCATGGCTCACCACAACCTCCGCCTCCCAGGTTCAAGGGATTCCCCTGCCTCAGCCTCCCTAGAGGCACGCGCCACCACACCCGGCTAATTTTTGTATTTTTAGTAGAAATGGGGTTTCACCATGTTGGTCAGGCTGGTCTCAAACTCCTGACCTCATGATCCGCCCGCCTTGGCCTCCCAAAGTTCTGAGATTACAGGCATGAGCCACTGTGCTCGGCCTTCACAGTTTTTTTTTTTTTTAAGTCTATTGCTAATGCAACAGCTATGTAGCATGCTTAAGCCAAAACATTGATAACAATTTGGCAAATAAACAGCATGCCAGTGTGCAAGCCAAGCCTCTAGACTCTCAAACTTTTATTCTGCTAAATTTCCACCGTAGTTTTTAGTCCTAGGAATATATATATCTTAGGCTAAAACTTCAAAATCATGGGTGAATTTTTGGATGGCCTAACTTATTTAAGTCCACAAACTTAAAATATTGGGTGGGATCACTGGCTCACGTCTGTAATCCCCCAACAATTTTAGAGGCTCAGGCAGGATGACTGCTTGAGCCCAGGAGTTCAAGATCAGCCTGGGCAACATAGTGAAATCCCCGTCTCTACAAAAAATACAAAAATTAGCCCGGCATGGTGGTGCACACCTGTAGTCCTAGCTACTCAGGAGGCCAAGGTGGGAGGATTGCTGGAGCCCAGGAGGTCAAAGCTGCAGTGAGCCGTGTTTGGGCTACTGCATTCCAGCCTGGGCAATAGAGCAAACGTCTGTCTCAAAAAAAAAAAAAAAATTAGAGAGCTCATAACAAACACTGATATTTAGTGTAGAGACCCTATCACATGCTAAAGTAATACTAATGATTAGATAGCTGAGATGAGTGGTAAGAAGTAGAGTCCTCTCCATGGGAGTAAGAACTGTATTAATCCATTTTAGAGAAGTGCTGAGCAAGAGAAAACTTCCAAACCATGCCTTCTGCTCCCTTGGCGAGCAAACTAAATGACTATATTTTAAATGAAATCAACCAAGCTATAAATGGCTGTCAATTTATTCTGACAAATTTTAATAACTAATAAAAGGCAGCAAAGATATACACGTACAAACCCTAAAACCAAGCCCAATTTTATAAAATGTGGGAATGATTACTTTTAAAATAAGAAAATACATTATTTCAAATATATGACATTTTATGATGGTTTCTGCCTCTGGATTACCTCTCTTGGTCTTATATATTGAGTATTATCTATTGATACTAATAGTGTCCCTCAAAGTATTAATATACTTTTTTTGGAACAGAGATAACTACAGTTACCATCACATTACCAGAAAAACATAAGGCGTTATTGTCACAATGATGGGGGTGTGGGATGAGCACTACTGGTATTTTAGTGGGCAGGTGCTAGGGAAGCTAAATGTCCTACAATGCACAAAACAAAGAATTGTCCTGCCCTAAATGCCAATAATGCCCTGGTTGAGAAACACTGTGTTAGAGAAGCTTAATCATTTTTGTTCTTAGACTAGGAAATAGCATTTAGCAGTCTTTCAAAAATGCCCAAATTATGTGGCTTATAAGGACACAAGTAATTTTTTAGTAACTATGTTCTCAACTTAAATATTATAAACTTGGAAGTTCAAAACTTTTTCTTTTCTACATAGGTAGGTTTGTTTTTTCAAATATTAATTTCATTTATATAGGAGTTGATTTGTTTTTCACAAAGAAAATACAACTAAAAGCTTTGATTGGGGAAAGTAATTTGAAAAGCTACCAATTAAAAAAAAGTTAGTGAACTAAATAGCCTATCTTCAATATTATATTTTTTAATCTTTCCAAAGTAAGAATTCCAAAAATCATTTTTCAGAAATATCAAGGAAATTTTTAGGACTCTCAGACCACACTCCTGTCTGAAATATGCTTCTGGAAATAATAACTGCAGCCACTATTTACTACAGACCACGCATTCTACCAAGGGTTTTGTATGTTATCTGTAATCTTTGTGACAACTCTGCAAAGCATGTATTATCATCTCTAATTTAAAGAAAAAGAAATCAAAATCCTGAGAGATTATGACTTCTCCAAATATAAACAACTAGTGAGACTCAGGATTCAAATCTAGTAGTTTCAAACCTAAGCACTTCCCATTATAACATGTCTCCTTCAGAAATACATCAAATTTCTGTGAAAAATGATTTGTGGGTTAGCTACGTAGAAAGCTACTACTATTCCCCAACTTCCCTCAACAGGGTGAGTAAAAAGTGTACAAATGATGGCTCTACCAGTCTCTGAGGCAAAAGCCTTCCTTCAGTCATTCAATCACATTCTACAGACAGAAAAATCAGTATTGATTTAAACAGGCTTTCTAAAGAATGGATGCCATGCTGACAGGGAAAATATGCCAAATCCCAATCATTCTCTATTTTCCATTCTAATGCACAGTATCTGCTGTTTCTCACCCCTTCATTTCAGCAAAACAAAGTAGATACAACTTCACAATAGTCCAGACACAAATTTAATCCTGCAATGCACTAGAAAGCTATCTACCAACAGGTAGCTGGATTTGGCAGTGTCAGCCAGCAATCAAAAATTGTCAATGTCCATCCAAATATGGAATCATATGTGCACAAAGTTGGTAATATTATCCCACAAAGTCATCAAAAAAGATTTCTGAGAATTCAGTGGACTTTCACACCCTAGATATAAAGAGTAGAAAAAGACTGCAAACATAATATACCAATATCCTCATCACATTGTTTTCTTTCTATAATCATAAAAAGTCCCCACCTAATCCAGAATAAATTAAGGATTCATTATGAGTAATATGTAGCCCCGAAAACTGGCCACTTATTTTCTAGAATGGGAATACTGACAAGTACATTAGCTGTGTATCAATACCAAACACATGGCAAATCTACATGACAAGTCTGCTCAGCTGTTATTCTTTCTATGGACCAACACAGCTAATACAGACACGTTTCAGGATGACTATCTAATTAAAAATAAAAGCAATACTGCTGAGCTTACCTTCCTGCTGTGAAATAATGAGTTGCAGTTTCCATTCAAACCAAAGGCAATCTAGCATAAAAACTGGCATCCCTTATCTAATTAACCACGAATATACACAATGGCATATATTAGTACCAGACAGATCAAAAGCCAGTTCTTAAAAGTGTATTAGCTCTTCTAAATAAGCATCATATTTGCTGTGTAACTTCAATCCACCAGGCCCTAAGCCATGACATAAAACAGAAACTTAGGGTGAAAGTTATAAAGGCAGTTAGAGATGAACTAGTTTAATCTTTAGACCAATTCAGGAATCCCCTCTATTAGCTGACTCAAATGTTAATTGGGTAGCCACTAGGTGCAAGGCTTTAGGACAGGTGCTATAGTATTTACTGAGCATTTACTATAATCCAGATGCTTTTCCAAGTGCTTTACATTTAATATCCATAACAGTCCTATAAAATAGATGCCATTATTACCCCCAATTTACAAATGTGTAAACGAAGGCATTAAGGAATTAACTTGCCCAATCTCACAACCAAGAAGTGGTAGAAGGCTGAGCACAGAGGCTCACACCTGTAATCCTAGCACTTTGGGAAGCTGAGGCAGGTGGATCACGAGGTCAGGAGGTCGAGACCATCCTGGCCAACATGGTGAAATCCCATCTCTACTAAAAATACAAAAATTAGTCAGGCATGGTGACGTGCACCTATAGTCCCAGCTACTCAGGAGGCTGAGGCAGAAGAATCACTTGAACCCAGGAGGCAGAGGTTGCAGTGAGCTATGATCACACCACTGCACTCCAGCCTGGTCGACAGAGCAAGACTCCGTCTCAAAAAAAAGAAGCGGAGGAGCCAGAATTCAAACCCAGAGGCTGTACTCTTAATCGCTATGTTAATATTGCCTCTCTGGTAGGAGGATGTACAAAATGGAATAAAACATGACTCCACCTTTCCAAGAACTCAGTCTCCTGAAAGATACATGTAAATCAATGAATATAATAGAGTACAATAAGATAATTTTTTTTTTGAGACAGTCTTGCTCTGTTGCCCAGGCTGGAGAACAGTGGTGCGATCTCGGCTCACTGCAACCTCTGCCTCCCGGGTTCAAGCGATTCTCCTGCCTCCACCTCCCGAGTGGCTGGGACTACAGGCACGCACCACTATGCCCAGATAATTTTTTTGTATTTTTAGTGGAGATGGGGTTTCACTATGTTGGCCAGGATGGTCTCAATCTCTTGACCTGGTGATCTGCCCAACTCAGCCTCCCAAAGTGCTGAGATTACAGGCATGAGCCACTGCACCCAAACAAGATAATTGTTAATGACAGATAAGAGGGAAGGCTTAATTAAGGTACTGGCAGTGAGGAAAAAGAAGTGAGAGAAGATAAGTGACCATTTTTTTAGAGATGGGGGTCTCACTATGTTGCCCAGGCTGGACTTTACAGGCATGATCACTGCACACTACAGCCTCGAACTCCTAAGCTCAAGGGATCCCCTTTGCCTCAGCCACCTCAGCCGCCTCAGCACTACCATGCTGAGCAGAGATAAGTGACATTTTTAAAAAGGTGTTCTGGCCAGGCGCAGTGGCTCACGCCTGTAATCCCAGCACTTTGGGAGGCCGAGGCGGGTGGATCATGAGGTCAGGAGATCGAGACCATCCTGGCTAACACGGTGAAACCCCGTCTCTACTAAAAATACAAAAAAATTAGCCGGGTATGGTGGCCGGCACCTGTAGTCCCAGCTACTCGGGAGGCTGAGGCAGGAGAATGGCATGAACCTGGGAGGCGGAGCTTGCAGTGAGCCGAGATAGTGCCACTGTACTCCAGCCTGGGCGACAGAGCAAGACTCCATCTCAAAAAAAAAAAAAAAGGTGTTCAAGTCCGGGCACCGTGGCTCACACCTGTAATCCCAGCACTTTGGGAGGCCAAGGCGGGCAGATCACCTGAGGTCAAGAGTTCGAGACCAGCCTGGCCAACATGGGGAAACCCCACCTCTACTAAAAATACAAAAATTAGCCAGGCATGGTGGCAGGCACCTGTGATCCCAGCTACTTGGGAGGCTAAGGCAGAAGAATCGCTTGAACCCAGGAGGCAGAAATTGCAGTGAACCAAGATTGCGCCATTGCACTCC
The DNA here is from genome assembly GCF_000001405.40 of Homo sapiens. Taxonomy (NCBI): domain Eukaryota; kingdom Metazoa; phylum Chordata; class Mammalia; order Primates; family Hominidae; genus Homo; species Homo sapiens. Next base: position 45,472,528 of record NC_000001.11, read on the forward strand.
AGCCTGGGGGACAAGAGCAAAACTCCATCTCAAAAAAAAAAAAAAAAAAGGTGATCAAGTAGACATATGAGGTACAAGAGGTACCCAGATGACTCCAAGTTTAACTAGAATCCCTCCCATGTTTCTGGTTTGGGTAACTGGGAGAATGGCTAGCCATTCACCTAAAGGATATGATGTGTAAGGAGACGCAAATTCTTCTCAGATCTTACTGAGTTTAAGTTGCCTGAAGGAACACCAGTTAACAATGTCCAGGAGGCTGTTGGAGACACCATACTGGAGCTTAGGAGAGAGGACTAGACTGAAGATGTACACTTAAAAGTTACTAGCATGCCGGGCGCGGTGGCTTACGCCTGTAATCCCAGCACTTTGGGAAGCCAAGGCAGGCGGATCACAAGGTCAGGAGATTGAGATCATCCTGGGTAATACGGTGAAACCCTGTCTCTACTAAAAAAAAAAAAAAAAAAAAATACAAAAAAATTAGCCAGGTGTGGTGGCGGGTGCCTGTAGTCCCAGCTAATCGGGAGACTGAGGCAGGAGAATGGTGTGAACCCGGGAGGCAGAGCTTGCAGTGAGCCGAGATCGTGCCACTGCACTCCCTGGCAAGACAGTAAGACTCCGTCTCAAAAAAAAAAAAAAAAAGTCACTAGCACTTACTAAAAAATTTCCCAAAGTACAGAATATGACTCTAGGTAATACCGAGTTCCTACCATGCACCAAAGCCCAGGCACCTTCTTTTTGTGCTTAGGTGAAAGCAGGTAAGTGGTCAAGGGAACATCAATATATACAGGACAAAAAAAGGAAGAGTATACAAATGAGACTAAAAAGGAAAAACGCAAGAATAAAACCAGAAGAAAGTATATTGCCATTGATAGTAATGACAAAAACCACAATTACTTTTGCACCAACCTAATATGTCACAGAAACCAAAAGTGGAAACAACACACATATCAAATACCACAAAGTAGTATATGGTATGAAGAAAACTGTCCACTGGATTGGACACTACAGAAGGCAGAGTCAGCCTGGCCTACTAAAACAACACCAGTAACAAAGAGCTCACTACAGTAGTCTGTTCTATTATTGCAAAGTTCTGGTTGTTAAAAAGCTTTTCTTCTTTCCAATGACATAACAAAAAGCAAACGCATTGGAGTACACACTACTATGTTCAAATTCTGACTCTGAAGAATTAACAGTTAAAATAACCAAATGCAATGATGATACTTGGCTAGATCCTGATTTGAACAAACCAGCTATAAAAGACAATTAGGGATTTTTTTTTTTTTTTTTAAGATAAGGTCTTGCTCTGTCACCCAGGGTGTAGTGCAGTGGCTCAACCATAGCTCATTTGCAGCCTCAAACGCCTAGGCTCAAACAATCCTCCCGCCTCAGCCCCCCAAAGTGCTAGGATTACAGGCATGAGCCATCATGCCCAGCCAATTGGGGAAGTTTTAATAAGCACGACTACCAGACAATAGTAGAAAATTACTGTTAATTTAGTTAAGTATAATAATGATATTAAGATCATATATGACATTTTTTGGCCAAGCGCAGTGGCTCACACTTTGGGAGGCTGAGGCAAGCAGATCACCTGACCTCAGGAGTTCGAGACCAGCCTGGCCAACATTATGAAACCCTATCTCTACCAAAAATACACAAAAAATTAGCCAGGTGTGGTGGTGCATGCCTGTAGTCCCAGCTACTCAGGAGGCTGAGGCATGAGAATCACTTGAACCCAGGAGGCGGAGCCTGCAGTGAGCCAAGATTGCACTCTAGCCTGGGTGATGGAGTGAGATTCGGTCTCAAAAAAAAATTTTCTGGGCCATGCACAGTTGCTCACTCCTGTAATCCCAGCACTTTGGGAGGCCAAGACAGGAGGACTGCTTGAGGCCAAGACTTTGAGACCAGCCTGGGCAACATAGCAAGACCCCATCTCTTTTTTTTTTATTGTATTTATTTATTTTTTGAGACGGAATGTCTCTCTGTCGTGCAGGCTCAAGTGCAATGGTATGATCTCAGCTCAGTGCAATCTCCACCTCCTGGGTTCGAGCGATTCTCCTGCCTCAGTCTCCTGAGTAGCTGGGATTACAGGTGCGTACCACCACGCTGGGCTAATTTTTGTATTTTTAGTATAAATGGGGTTTCACCATGTTGGTCAGGCTAGTCTCGAACTCCTGACCTTGGCCTGCCTTGGCCACCTGCCTTGGCCTCCCAAAGTGCTGGGATTACAGGTGTGAGCCACCACACCTGGCCTCCATCTCTTTTTTTTTTTTTAATGCAGTTTCTGATCTTCTGTGTATACTAAATGTATCTATAACTTTATATGCTGGAATATGAAATAACACAAAACTAATATTGGACCCGATGCAAATAATGTGAGATGGTAAAGCACTAGGTGAATTTATGAATTTCCAGGATAATATCTCCTTTGATCAATTTTCCTAGTTAAATATGAGAAGGCCTGAAAAGGACCACTTGGGGCAGAAAGGCAACTCATGGGCTGGGTGCACAGCATGGCAACAGAGCAAGACTCTATCTCAAAAAAAAAAAAAAAAAAAGAAAAGAAAAGAAAGGCAACTCACCTTTTCTTCTGATGTTAGAGGGCTATTTCAGAATTTCAGAGACTGTGGGAAAGAAAGTAATCAAGAGGAAAGAGGAAGTTAGGTTCCTTGTGTTAGCCTGGCCTTTTTTTTTTTTTTTTTTTTTGAGTCTCGTTCTGTTGCCCAGGATGGAGTGCAGTGACGCGATCTTGGTTCACTGCAACCTCCACCTCCTGGGTTCAAGCAATTCTCCTGCCTCAGCCTCCCAAGTAGCTGGGACTACAGGCATGTGCCACCACGCCTGGCTAATTTTTGTATTTTTAGTGGAGACGGGTTTTCATCATGCTAGCCAGACTGGTCTCGAACTCTTGACCTCAGGTGATCCACCTGCCTCAGCCTCCGAAAGTGCTGGGATTACAGGCGTGAGCCCCCACCACACCCGGCCAAGAGAATATTTTTATAGCCATGAAAAATGACAGTTGCTATCAGTACACAAAGATATATGTACAAGAATATTAAAGTATAAATTGTTGGTAACTGTGATGGTTAATACTGAGTGTCAACTTGATTGGACTGAAGGATGCAAAGTATTGTTCCTAGTGTGTCTGTGAGGGTGCGGCCAAGGGAGATTAACATTTGAGTCAGTGGAGTGGACGAGGAAGACCCACCCTCAATCTGGGTGGGCACCATCTAATCAGCTGCCAGTGTAGCTAGAATAAAGCAGGCAGAAGATGGAAAAGCAGACTTGCTGAGTCTTCCGGCCTTCATCTTTCTCCCATGCTGGATGCTTCCTGCCCAAGAATGTCAGACTCCAACTTCTTCAGCTTTTGGACTCTTGGACTTACACCAGTGATTTGCCAGGGGCTCTCAGGCCTTTGGCCACAGACTGAAGGCTGCACTGTCAGCTTCCCTACTTTTTGAGGTTTTAGAACTTGGACTGATTTGTCACTGGCTTCCTTGCTCCTCAACTTGCAGACGGCCTATCGTGGGACTTTACCTTGTGATCATGTGAGCCAATCTTCCTTAATAAACTCCCTTTCATATATACATATATCCTATTAGTTCTGTCCCTCTAGAGAACCCTGACTAATACAGTAACAGAAAAATGGAGACAATCCAAATATCCAAAAATAGAGATAGATTAAATAAATTACAGTACAGGCCAGGCACAATGGCTCACACCTGTAATCCCAGCACTTTGGGAGGCCCGAGGCAGGTGGATCATTTGAGCTTAGGAGTTTGAGACCAGCCTGAACAACATGAGGAGACTTTGTCTCTACAAAAAATACAAAAATTGGCTAAGCGTGGTGGCCCATGCCTGTAGTCCCAGCTACTTGGGAGGCTGAGGCAGGAGAATCGCTTGAGCCCAGGAGCGGAGGTTGCAATGAGTCAAGATGACACCACCGCACTCCGGCCTCGGCACTAGAGCAAGACCAATCAATCAATCCATGTGCATCCATACAACTTAATATTATGTAGTCATTAAAAGAATGAGGTAGCTAGCCAGGCGCGGTGGCTCACACCTGTAATCCCAGGACTTTGGGAGGCTAAGGTGGGAGAATCACAAGGTCAGGAGATCAAGGCCATCCTGGCTAACACGGTGAAACCCCATCTCTACTAAAAACACAAAAAATTAGACAGGCCTGGTGGCACACGCCTGTAGTCCCAGCTACTTGGGAAGCCGAGGCAGGAGAATTGCTTGAACATGGGAGGTGGAGGTTGCAGTGAGCCGAGATCACGCCACTGCACTCCAGCCTGGGAGATAGAGTGAGACTCCATCTCAAAAAAAAAGAATGAGGTAGCCAGGCACAGTCACTCATGCCTATAATCCTACCACTTTGAGAGGCCAAGGGGAGGATCCCTTGAGCCCAGGATTACAGACAGGAGCCACCGCACCTGGCCGATTTTTTAATTTTTTGAAGAGGTGGGTTCTTACTATGTTGACTAGATTGGTCTTGAATTCCTGGCCAACGTGGTGAAACCACGTCTCTACCAAAAAAAAAAAAATACAAAAATTAGCCAGGCGCGGTGGCACATGCCTGTAATTCCAGCTACTGAGGAGCCTAAGTGAGGCAGGAGAATTGCTTGAACCCAGAAGGCAGAGGTTGCGGTGAGCTGAAATCGCACCACTGCACTCCAGCCTGGGTGACAGAGTGAGACTCTGTCTCAAAAAAGAAAAAAAAAATCAAAAAAACAAATACAAAAGATATAGTCATTAAACTGAATTCATACTGATATATAATAGATGGAATTTCTTTAACTTTCTGATAGAGGTTTGCTTCCTTTAATATTTTTTCCTGATAAAAGTTCAGGAAAGTAAATTTCAGGCAGGTGGATCACCTGAGGTCAGGAATTCAAGACCAGCCTGGCCAACATGGCTAAACCCCGTCTCTACTAAAATACAAAAATTAGCCGGGCATGATGGCGGGTGCCTGTAATTCCAGCTACTCGGGAGGCTGAGACGGGAGAATCACTTGAACCTGGGAGACGGTGGTTGCAGTGAGCTGAGATCACACCACTGCACTCCAGCCTGGGCAGCTGAACGAGACTCCATCTCAAAAACAAAAAAAAAAAGAAAGATTTTAACCAAATTTCAGACTAGCCAGAAGGAAGCAACCTGTAACTGTTCAGACAATACAGGTGACAGTTAAAAATCTTCAATGATATCTGTTGCTTATAAAATTCTTTAGCCCGGCATTCGAAGACTCTGCTCCACTATAATTAGGCTAATCATTATTCCCTACTCTGCTCCACTATAATTAGGCTAATCATTATTCCCTACACTTAACGCACCCTTCTGATGTAGTGTTGACTTTCTGCCTCAGCTTATATGATGTTCATGTCATTCTAGCTCTTGTAGTAATCTGACTATACTACTTACTTGGCACTCAATTAATGTCTTTTTGGTCTTCCTAGCTCCACTCTCACACTTTTTTCAATCTGTTTCACCAGGCTAAGTAAACTTCTGAGAATCATTCATGTGTCATACAAAAGTTCTGCCTCATTTGACCCCTACCCACATCTCCAGCCTCATCTATGTCCATTCCTCTATCTGCAGTCACAATCTACTCCAAACATAGAGAATTGCTATATTTGTAGAGCCCTGCTCACACTTCAATATCTATGCATGTAATATTCTTTCTCCCTGGTGTGTTCTTCCCAGATTCTTCCACATGACTCTCTCAGTAATCATCTCATGTGGGAGGTGTTCTCTGACCCCTCAATCTCATTTTCTGTGCTTTGATATCACCCTGCACAAGTCTTAGTTATTATAGTCATCATATAGTATTTTAATTGTTGCTTATCATCTCTTTCACTGGACTATGAGCTTCCAGACTATGAGCTCTTTTAGTTCAAGCTAAGGGCTTGGACTCAAACTTACCTTCAAACTATGGCAATACAAAGTATAATACTACAATATTGAGTCAAAATGTACAGTGGAGAAAAAGCAAAATAAATAGGACATCGAGATTCCACATTTTCAATGTAAAAAACATACTCCTTCTTTCATTCACTCAGCCAACATATATTTATTTAGCACCTCTTACGGGCCAGGCACTATGCCAAATCCTGGAGAGATGGTGACGACAATATAGACATACACAGACAAATAATTCTGAGAGGATACAGTCCAAAATGTTAACAATGGTTTTTAACTTTTTTTTTTTTTTTTGAGACAGAGTCTCACTGTGTGGCCCGCTCAGGCTGGAGAGCAGTGGCACAATCTCAGCTCACTGCAACCTCTGCCTCCTGGGTTCAAGCAATTCTCCTGCCTCAGCCTCCTGAGTAGCTAGGATTACAGATGCACACCACCATGCCCAGCTAATTTTTGTATTTTTAGTAGAGACGGGGTTTCACCGTATTGGCCAGGCTGGTCTCAAACTCCTGACCTCACATAATCCGCCTGTCTCAGCCTCCCAAAGTGCTGGGATTACAGGGGTGAGCAACCATACCCAGCCTGTTTTTAACTTTTTGAATCATGGGCAAATTATGAATAATGTGTATCTTCTCCTTTAAAATCTCTATTTTCCAATTCTTCCTTAATGAATATGCATTACTTTTATAATCGCCAAAAAAATTTTTAACATCCTTCCAAAATACAAATTCCTAACAAACAGTAGCAATACAAAACCCAAAGTAAATACTATGTAATGTGAAAGTGAAACAAATGTTGAGAACTTTTAGTCAGATTCTAGTTACACCTAATACAAAGAATAATAGGACTAAGTATAAAAAATACTTTATGATTTCCATAGTGAAATCATTGTGGAAGTCATTGTGAAGAAGATTCCATGAAATTGTCCAAGGAAAACACTGACCACAAGATCAATACCACCCTAGTTTTCCATACTGCAGAAAGAAAAAAAAAATTTTTTTTTTTTGGAGACGGAGTTTTTGCTCTTGTTGCCCAGGTTGGAGTGCAATGGCTCAATCTCGACTCACTGCAACCTCTGCCTCCTGTGTTCAAGCAATTCTCCTGCCTTACCCTCCAAAGCAGCTGTTACAGGCATGCGCCACCACGCCCAGCCCCCCCAAAAAATTATATTATTCTATTTTATTTAATTCAGAGGAAGAGAGAATAGCCTCCACACTTGTTCCAAAGACAAATTAATAAATAACACCATATTTAATCTGTATAATGATTTACAGTTTACAGTTCACAGAGCATTTTGATCTTCACAATAATTGTTTTCTTGTTCCCATCGGATAGATTAAAAAAATAAAGGACTGAAATGCAGAAGGCCCTTCTTTTTTTTTTTTTTTTTTTTTTTGAGATGGAGTCTCACTCTGTTGCCCAGGCCAGAGTGCAGTGGCAAGATAGATCTCGGCTCACTGCAACCTCCATCTCCCTGGTTCAAGCCATTCTCCTGTCTCAGCCTCCCGAGTAGCTGGAACTACAGGCGCATGCCACCACACCCGGCTAATTTTTGTATTTTTAGTAGAGACGTGATTTCACCATGTTGGTCAGCTGGTCTCGAACTCCTGACCTCAGGTGATCCACCCGCCTCAGCCTCCCAAAAAGTGCTGGGATTATAGGCGTGAGCCACCACGCCCAGTCAGGCTCTTCTATCTTTTTTACTCAATATCCAAAAGCTATAAAAGAAAAGACTGAGGGCCGGGCATGGTGGCTCACACCTGTAATCCCAGCACTTTGGGAGGCCGAGGTGGGCGGATCACAAGGTCAGGAGTTCGAGATCAGCCTGGCCAATAGGGTGAAACCCCATCTCTATTAAAATATAAAAATTAGCTGGGCGTGGTGGCACACACCTGTAGTCCCAGCTACTCAGGAGGCTGAGGCAGAAGAATTGCTTGAACCTAGGAGGTGGAGGTTGCAGTGAGCCAAGATTGCGCCACTGCACTCCAGTGTGGGCAACAGAGCAAAACTCAGTCTCCAAAAAAAAAAAAAAAAGAAATCTCACTTCTGTGAATTTATCCCACAAATATCCTTGCACACATATAAAATGACACATTCAAAGGCCCTTTTTACAGCATTGTTTATAATATCAAAACACTGGAAACATAAATGTCCATTATAAGGAATTAGTTAAATAAATTATGATACATCCATTCAATGGAATACTATGCAGGTGATTAAAAAGAAAATAATAATAATAATAAATGAATAAATAAATAATATATATATAGGCCACAGTGGCTCACACTTGTAATCCCAGCACTTTGGGAGGCCAAGGTGGGTGGATCACCTGAGGTCAGGAGTTCGAGACTAGCCTGACCAACATGGTTAAACCCCGTCTTTACTAAAAATACAAAAATTAGCCAGGTGTGGTGGTGCACACCTGTAATCCCAGCTACTCAGGAGGCTGAGGCAGGAGAATCACTTGAACCCGGGAAATGGAGGTTGCAGTGAGCTGAGATCGCACCACTGCACTCCAGCCTGGGTGATGAAGTGAGATTCTGTCTCAAAAAAATAATAATATATATAACCAAAAAAAAAGAATGAGGAAGCTCTCTATGTACTGATCTGGAAAGGTCTCTAAGATATATAAAGTAAATAAGCGGCCGGGCCTGGTGGCTCACGCCTGTAATCCCAGCACTTTGGGAGGCCGAGGTGGGCGGATCACGAGGTCAGGAGATCGAGACCATCCTGGCTAATACGGTGAAACCCCATCTCCACTAAAAATACAAAAAATTAGCCAGGCGTGGTAGCAGGCGCCTGTAGTCCCAGCTACTCGGGAGGCTGAGGCAGGAGAATGGCGTGAACCCAGGAGGCGGAGTTTGCAGTGAGCCAAGATTGCGCCACTGCACTCCAGCCTGGGCGACAGAGCAACACTCCGTCTCAAAAAAAAAATAAGCAAGATTGGGGGTGGGAAGTGCAGAACAGTGGGGAACCATGGGCAACTGTACATGAAAAGTGGGAAAAACAGGACTATACAATTGACCCTTGAACAACACGGGTTTGAACTGTACAGGTCCACTCATGTGCTGTAGTTATTCACAAGTGTGATCATAGCACACTATGGCCTCAAACTCCAGGCCTCGAGTAATCCTCCCACATCAGCCTCTGGAGTAGCTGAAACTACAGGCAAAGCTGTATTACATACAGATTTTTTTCAACAAATATATTTTTTAAATTTTTGGAGATGTATAACATTTTGAAAAAAACTCAGAAACAAAACACCTAGCCTAGAAACATCAAAAAAATTAAGAAAAAGTTAGGTATGCCATGAATGCAGAAAATATATGTAGATACTAGTCTATTTTATTATTTACTATAAGATATATACAAATCTATTATAAAAAGTTAAAATGTATAAAAACTTATGCACACAAATACAAACCATACATGGTGCCATTCATAGTCAACAGTAAACAAATGGAAAGGTGCAGTATTAAATCACAACTGCATAAAATTGACTATAGTATATACTGTACTTCTGTAATAATTCTGGAGCCACCTCCTGTTGCTGTTTCAGTGAGCAAGTGTTGTGAGTAGCCCCTAAAATGCTGTGTGATGCTAATCGTCTCCACGTGAGCAGTTCCTTCCTCCAGTAAAAAGTGTCACAGTAAAAAGTGATCTCTCAAGGTTCGTGCATATTTTTCATCATGCTTAGTGCAATACTGTAAACCCTGAATAACACCATGAGATCCATACCAAGTGCCACTAATGCTGGAAGTGCTCTCAAGAAACAGAAAGGTCATGACATTATACGAAAAAGTTGGCCAGGCATGGTGGCTCACACTTGTGATCTCAGGACTTTGGGAGGCTGAAGGCAGGAGGATTGCTTGAGCCCAGGAGTTTGAGACCAGCCACGGTAACATAGTGAGACCATGCCTCTACAAAAAAATAAAAACTTATCCTGGAGTGGTGGCACACACCTGTAGTCCCAGCTACTCAGGAGACTGAGATGGGAGGATGGCTTGAGCCTGGGAGGTCGAGGCCATAGTGAGCTATGATCAGACCACTGCACTCCAGCCTGGGCAACTGCCCCTGTCTCAAAAAAATAAATAAATAAAAATTTGAATTGCTTGATATGTACCACAGATTGAGATCTGCAGCAGTAGTGGTCAGCCATTAAAAAAAAAAAAAAAAAAGTAAATTCATGAAGCCAGGCTATGCAATGCCAACAGCAACAGCAGTTAAGTTTTGCGGGAAGTCAAAAATTATACCTGGGGCCAGGCGTGGTTGCTCACACCTGTAATCCAGGCACCCTGGGAGGCCAAGGGGGGTGGATCACCTGAGGTCAGGAATTTGAAACCAGCCTGGCTAACATGGTGAAACCCTGTCTCTACTAAATATACAAAAATTAGCTGGGCGTGGTGGCAGGCCCCTGTAATCCCAGCTACTCGGGAGGCTGAGGCAGGAGAATTGCTTGAACCCAGGAGGTGGAGGTTGCAGTGAGCTGAGATGGCGCCATTGCACTCCAGTCTGGGTGACAAGAACAAAACTCCAATTCAAAAAAAAAAAAAAAATGTCCGGGCGCAGTAGCTGACGCCTGTAATCTCAGCACTTTGGGAGGCTGAGGCGGGCAGATCACAAGGTCAGGAGATCAAGACCATCCTGGCTAACACGGCGAAACCCCATCTCTACTAAAAATACAAAAAAAATTAGCCGGGCATGGTAGCGGGTACCTGTAATCCCAGCTACTCAGGAGGCTGAGGCAGGAGAATGGCGTGAACCCAGGAGGTGGAGCTTGCAATGAGCTGAGATCACACCACTGCACTCCAGCCTGGACAATAGAGAGAGACTTCGTCTCAAAAAAAAAAAAACAACAACAACAAAAAAGAGGAGCCGGGCGTGGTGGCTCACACCTGTAATCCCAGCACTTTGGGAGGCCGAGGCAGGCGGATGGCCTGAGGTCAAGAGTTCAAGACCAGCCTGGCCAACATGGTGAAACCCTGTCTCTACTAAAAATACAAAAAAATTAGTTGGGCATGGTGGCGCACACCTGTAAACCCAGCTACTCGGGAGGCTGAAGAGGGAGAACTGCTTGAACCCGGCAGGCAGAGGTTGCAGTGAGCTGTGCCATTGCACTACAGCCTGGGCAACAAGAACGAAACTCCGTCTCAGAAAAAAGAAAAAAAAAAAAAGGAAATTAATGAAGCCAGGTTATGCAACACCATCACCAACAGCAGTAGTTAAGTTTTGCCGCGAGGGGGCGGCGGAGGGGGGGTCAAAAATTATATTTGGGGCCAAGGCACAGTGGCTCATGCCAGTAATTCCAGCACTTCCGGAGGCTGAAATGGGAGGAGTGTTGATGCCCAGGAGTTTGAGACCAGCCTAGGCAACATAGGGAGGCCCTGTCTCTACAAAAAAAAAAAAATTAGCCAGGCATGGTGGCATGCACCTGTGGTCCCAGCTACTCATTCAGGAGGCTAAAAAGGGAGGATCACTTGAGTCTACAAAGTTGAGTCTACATCGAGCCATGATCCTGCTACTGCACTCCAACCTGCGCAACAGCAAGAGATTCTGTCTTAAAAAAAAAAAAAATTATACTTGGATTTTCTACCGCACAGGGGTTGGCTTCCCAACCCCTGTTTTGTTCAAGGGCCAACTGTATCATTTCATTTTTAATTCTTCTTTTTTTTTTTTTTTTTTTTTGAGATGGAGTCTCCCTCTTGTCGCCTAAGCTGGAGTACAGCGGCGCGATCTCGGCTCACTGCAACCTGCGCCTTCCTGGTTCAAGTGATTCTCCTACCTCGGCCTCCCGAGTAACTGAGATTACAGGCACCTGCCACCATGCCTGGCTAATTTTTGTATTTTTAGTAGAGACGGGGTTTCACCATGTTGGCCAGGCTGGTCTCAAACTCCTGACCTCAGGTGATCCACCGGCCTCTGCCGCCCAAAGTGCTGGAGTTACAGGCGTGAGCCACCACGCCCAGCCATATATTCTTATTTGTAAGCATTCGCCTAAAGAAAGTCTAAAAGAGGCCGAACGCGGTGGCTCATGCCTGTAATCCCAGCACTTTGGGAGGCTGAGGCGGGCAGATCACTTGAGGTCAGGAGTTCAAGTCTAGCCTGGCCAACACGGTGAAACCACGTGTCTACTAAAAATTAAAAAATTAGCCGGGCGTGGTGGTGCACGGCTACTCAGCTACTCAGGAGGCTGAGGCTGGAGAATCGCTTCAACCCGGAAGGCGGAAGTTGCAGAAAGCCGAGACTGCGCCACTGCACACCAGCCTGGGCGACAGAGTGAGACTCTTGTCTCAAAAATAAAAAATAAAGGGCCGGGCGCGGTGGCCCAAGTCTGTAATCCCAGCACTTTGGGAGGCCGAGGCGGGTAGATCACAAGGTCAGGAGATCGAGACCATCCTGGCTAACATAGTGAAACCCTGTCTCTACTAAAAATACAAAAAATTAGCCGGGCCTGGTGGCGGGCGCCTGTAGTCCCAGCTACTCGGGAGGCCGAGGCAGGAGAATGGCGTGAACCCGGGAGGCGGAGCTTGCAGTGAGCCGAGATCGCGCCACTGCACTCCAGCCTGGGCAACAGAGCGAGACTCCGTCTCAAAATAAATAAATTAATTAATTAAATCAAATTAAATTAAAAATAAAAAATAAAGTCTAAAAGAATATAAAGAGACTATTCAAAGTGTTTGGGAGAGGGCATGGAACCAGGTTAATAAAGAACAGAGATGGAAGTAAGATTTTTCACTGTTTTGTTTTTTGTTTTTTGTTTTTTTTTGAGATGGAGTCTCGCTCTGTCGCCCACGCTGGAGTGCAGTGGCGCGATCTCGGCTCACTGAAGCTCCACCTCCCGGGTTCACGCCCTTCTCCTGCCTCCGCCTCCTGAGTAGCTGGGACGACATACATGTGCCACCACGCCCTGCTAATTTTTTGTATTTTTAGTAGAGACGGGGTTTCACCGTGTTAGTCAGGATGGTCTAGATCTCCGGACCTCGTGATCCGCCCGCCTCGGCCTCCCAAAGTGCTGGGATTACAGGCATGAGCCACCGCGCCCAGCCGACTTTTCACTGTTATATAAATTTATTTTTTATTTTATTTTTTTTTTTTTGAGACGGAGTCTCACTCTGTCGCCTAAACTGCAGTACAGTGGCATGATCTCGGCTCACTGCAACCTCCACTTCCTGGGTAGAAGTGATTCTCCTGCCTCAGCCTCCCAAGTAGCTGAGATAGCAGGCGCAGGCCACCTCACCCAGCTAATGTTTCATATTTTTAGTAGAGAAGGGGGTTTCACCATCTTGGCCAGGCTGGTCTCGAACTCCTGACCTCAAGTGATCCACCTGCCTCAGCCTCCCAAAGTGCTGGGATTACAGGCATGAGCCACCGCACCCAGCCCTAAATTTATATATTAAAAAAGTTTACATTTAATAACCAGTTGAATGTATTATCTATTCAAAGATTAAATGTATCTTAAAAAAAAAAACTAAAGCTCACAAAAGATAAGTAATTTGCCTTTATATTAACCATCATATAGTTAATAACAACAGAGTTGAATACAACTAAGGTTTTCCTAATGTTCTTTTCCTTTTATCACACTGCCTTTTGGAAATTTTCAGGAATGGAAGACATAAAACTTATTACAACCAGGCTTTTCTCTGAAACAGCCACTGCCTGTGATTGTTCAGGGAAAATAACACTAGTGAGACTACACTGAAGTCATCTCCATATGATGACTTTGTAAATAGTATAATAGCCATTGTTGGGTCAAAACATTCACCATCACCCACACAATACAATGTAATAATTGGGCTTCATCTACTAGAAGGAGATGAAATTCCCATAAATGCCTTTACCATAGGTTTCAAATTCCAACACTACATTCTTTTTGCAAAACAAAATGAAATGTATGACACTAAGAATATATGTATAAATACTTTCATACAGGGAAGAAAGCATAAAAGCAAGTCAGTTTTCTCCTCAAAATAAGTCCGGGATGAGCATATTTAAATGTGTAATTTTCTTTTTACAATTAACTAAAACCTTTTGAGACCAGCCTGGCCAACATGGTGAAACCCCATCTCTACTAAAAATACAAAAATTAGCCCTGCATGGTGGCCCTCGCCTGTAATCCCAGCTACTCAGGAGGCTGAGGGGCAGGAGAATGGTGTGAACCTGGGAAGCGGAGCTTGCAGTGAGCCGAGATCTTGCCACTGCACTCCAGCCTGGGTGACAGAGCAAGACCCCATAAAAAAAAATTAATTAAAAAAAAAAACAAACGCACACACACACAATTAACTAAAACCATAAAAAAATGTTACTGAGGATCCTGAGGTGGAGAGTCCCTAGCCTCCCAGCATACACACACACACACACACACACACACACACACACACATATATACATTTTTTTTTTTTGAGACGGACTTTCGCTCTTGTTGCCCAGGCTGGAGTGCAGTGGCCCGATCTCGGCTAACCGCAACCTCCACCACCCGGGTTCAAGCGATTCTCCTGCCTCAGCCTCCCAAGTAGCTGGGATTACATGCATGCACCACCACGCCCAGCTAATTTTTGTATTTTTTTTTTCAGTAGAGACAGGGTTTCTCCATGTTGGTCAGGCTAGTCTCGAACTCCTGACCTCAAGTGATCCACCCGCCTTGGCCTCCCAAAGTGCTGGGATTACAGGTGTGAGCAACCGCACCCAGCCAGCACATATATTTTAAACAGAATCAAAGCCCATCATATGTCAAGCTTACAAAGGATTTTTTGTGTTTGAGGGTCTATCCCAAACATATATCTGTAAGAGAGAATAACACATCATACATCCAGGGCATCAAGTATCTGAGGATATCACCATTAATTCATATACAAACATCTGTACCATTTGGTACTACTTTTCAACAAGTGCCAAGGAACCACCAATCCAACTCTGGGTCCCTCCTTGGTGAGCAGGCCCACCTATAGGACTTACTATCTCCTCTGCTCAATCTCCTGCTATCATGCTGGACAACTGTGACATTCATATTGATGACATATTCAACACAGCCCCCTAATCTCCCACTACTTCAATAACCTACACCTCCATTCCCCTTCAACAGCATTGAGACAGTTAAGCCAGTTTTTGTCTTTACCTTGAAATAATGAACTCTGGGCTGTCCAATTATATATTTCTTACAAAATCTGGTCTTCAACCACATTTCTGATTGTCTTTTTATTCTCTAAGTACACCAGCCTCCCTCTAGATTTTGCTTCTTATAACTCCCAGCTTGGTCCCTTGGAATGAAACATATCTCCTACACTATCAATAGCAGTGTAAAGTTGCTTCCCATTTTATCTTTCTGTCCTGCAAGTTTCCATTTTGAATCAATCCAACCATCTTTTTTGTCCTACTATTCTTAGGCTGTTGAAGAAAGTGTAAAATCCATGCTCCTGGGCCCCATTACAAATATATTATTTCTAACTAGTAGGACCCTCAATGTGGTCAACAATCTTTTAGCTCCTGAGTTTTTTTTTGCTTTTTTTTTTTTCTTTCCCCCAGGCTGGAGTGCAGTGGTACAATCTTGACTCCCTGCAACCTCAGCCTCCCGGTTCAAGCAATCCTCCCACCTCAGCCTCTCCAGTAGCTGGGACAACAGGCATGCACCACCACACCCAGCTAATTTTTTAATTTTCTGTAGAGACGAGGTCTCACAATGTTGCCCATGCTGGTCGCAAACTCCTGGGCTCAAGCGATCCTCCCACTTCAGCCTCCCAAAGTGCTGGGATTAAAAAATCCAAAGTGAGCCACTACACCTGGCCAACAATTTTTTTTGTTAAATCTTTATTCTCTTTCATTTTCCATTTAAGATTCCCATGGCCATAATACTCAAGTCAGAAACTCACCATAGTGTCTTCAGTCTCCAAACTGACTTCTCCACAGATAAGTAATCACATCGATAAGGCCATCTGTTAAACTCCCTCACTTTCCTTCCCTTCTACCACATCATTATCCATTTTCACTACTATCCTTTTGGTGTCAAAGGGCAAAATGCCTGACTGACATATTTCCTAGATGAACCTTCCCCTCACTTACAGAACTGTTTCACCTGTACTGAAAAGAAAAACACACATGTGCCATAATGGAAAGAACACAGGTTTCAGAACTAGACATACCTGCTCAAATCCTTGTCCACAGTACTCTCCACTGTAAAAGAGGGATACTGACATGTTAACCACAAGGCTGTTGTGATCTATAAAGCATCTTTATGTACCTGGCATATAGTATATTCTCAATAAAGATGAGTTTCACTAGAACCAGCTCTCCTTCACAACCAAACTCTGGAGAATAATTTTACTCATTTCTCCTCATTTATTCCTCAATCCATCATGATCTCACTACTACCTTCTTTGCCATCCCCACCCTACCAAAACTGCATTTCAGAGGAAACAAGTGACCTCCTGATTGCTAAATATAGGGCAGGCCAGGCATGATGGCTCACCCCTGTAACCCCAGCTCTTTGGGAGGCCGGGGAAGGCAGATAGCTTTGAGCTCAGGAGTTCGAGACCAGCCTGGGCAACGCAGAGAAATCCCGTCTCTACAAAAAATACAAAAAATTATCTGGGTGTGGTGGCTCCTGCCTGTGATCCCAGCTACTCAGAAGGCTGAGGTGGGAGGATCCGAGACTGCACCACTGCACTCCAGCCTGGGCGACAGAGTGAGACCCTGACACCAAAGAAAAAAAAAAAAAAGCTTCTTAACTCTCATTCAGCTGGACCTCGAAAGCACGTGACATTGATAGTCACCGCCCCCCACTCCCTTCTTGAAATCCTTTCTTTGGCTCCTATTATAATGCTGTTATGTTCTAGTTCTTGTCCCGTTCCTTTAATCTCTCTTTTTCAGTGTCTATTACCTTTCAAACAATGATGCTCCTTCTGGTCCACAGCCCTTCTCATCTTTCAGTATTACCATTCCATACTAAGGCACACAAATATCCCCCATATATTCTCTTGACCCTCCAAATTTATGTATCCAGGTCCAAGCTTTCTCCCAATTTTCAGACCCAAATTTCCAGATACCCACAGTGATATTTCAAAACACCTCAAACTCGGCTGGGAGCAGTGGCTCACGCCTGTAATCCCAGCACTGTGGGAGGCCGAGGTGGGCGGATTGACTGAGGTCAGACGTTCGAAACCAGCCTGGCCAACGTGGGGAAACCCCGTCTCTACTAAAAGTACAAAAATTAGCCGGACGTGGTGGCGCATGCCTGTAATCCCAGCTACTCGGTAGTCTGAGGCAGGAGAATCGCTTGTACCTGGGAGGAGGAGGTGGCAGTGAGCTGAGATCGTGCCACTGCACTCCAGCCTGGGTGACAGAATGAGACTCCGTCAAAAAAAACAAAAACTAACAAACAAACCCTGAAACTTAACTTGTTCAAAACCAAATTTATTACCTTCTCTCAAAATTGCTTTTTTATGCTCCCTATTTCAGATGAGATCAGGAGCGTTGAGGGTGGTATAACCAGAGACTATGTTCCCTATTTCAATTAACACTACCGATTCACACCATCAGCCAAGTCAGAAACTTTCTACTATTCTTCTCAACTTTATTTTGAAACCTCTTGGAATTTCGGGCCATTCCCTCCCGCCTGGATGAGCACACTCGTTTTCTGCCTACCTGGCCTTTCCGCCTCCACGGTCTTCACTTTCAATCCTTCCTCTATATTTTCACCAAAGATAATGCAATCATACCAAGCTCCTGCTTACAAAACCTTCAACGGCTCCCCATGCATGCAGCATGAAGTCCAAATTCCTCAGCAAGTTCTTCTCAGAGGTATACAATTTAAAGACTTTTAAATTACGCAAACCTGGATTTCGCTTGTAGCGAAATCTGAACACTGGCTTAGTCCACTCTTCACAGCGAAGAGTAAAAAGCAGAGAGGGGAAAGGAAGGGAGACGATGACAAGCGAGGAAAGAAGAGGGGGAAGGCAGTAGGGTCTGAGGGGAGGGAATTGTTTTCCTGGGTAGAGGTGAACGTTTTCGAGGGAAGAGTGTATCGGAGGGAAGTCAAGTGAAGGAACCCAGATCTCTGAGGCAGGAGCGGGTATGCGAGCAGGGAGGCGCTCAGTGGGGAGCTGGAAGTCTCTGAAACAAGAGTTTTCCGAGAAAACGAAAGATCCCTAATGCGAGCGAGGTAACTTCTAATGGGTTCCCAGGTTCTAAGGGGGAGCAGACGTGGCGGGGAGCCTGAGGGAAGTGAGAAGGAAAGGGGAAAGCGGCCAGGAAGGGAGCGTCCGCCGCCGCTGAGAGGGGGACCTCTGGGAAGCCGAGGGGTCCCGTCGGGTGCGGAGGGACGCAGGCGCCTCTGCTCCGGGGCAGAGGAGGTGGAGCGGCAGCGCGCGCGGGCCAGGCAGGATGCCCGGGTTTGTGACCCCCGTCCTCTTTTCACGTTACCTGAGGCAGGACTGAGCAGCCAGAGGGGTGCCTGCGCGGGCAAGAGGAGGAGACGGCGGCAAAGAGGGAGCATAGTAACCCTCACAGCTCGTTGGTGGCAGCGGCTCCTTAGCCTGCGGAGGCGGTGGGAGCCCCTAGCGCAGAAGCCGGCGACTCAGCTAGGCTAGCGGCGGCGGCGAACGAGGAGACTACTGCCATGGCCCCACAGTCGGGGCCGCTCCCCCCGCCTGTTTGGCGGGGCCAGGAGGACGATCCGACCAGCGAAGCCAACAGGGCAGCTGGTAGCTCTGCTGAGCTCCCGGGCCGCGAAAGACTGAAACGCCTACCCGGCCCAGCAGGGGGGTTGGGGGCGGGGTCTCGGCTGGCCACGCCCCTCCCTCAAGCCCTCCCTCAGAGTAGCCAGTCAACCGTCAACTCCTGATAAACGAGGTAGTGGAATTGCCCAATTAGCGCTAGGAATGCCACGTGGTATGAGGGTGGGCACAATGGGCGTCCAGAAAAGCCAATCAACAGCCGTAGGTGCCAACTCCGGAGGACGAAGGGAACCAATAGGAAGGAAGTCGAGGTAAAAACAGAAGAAGCAGTGTGTGGGAAAGGCGGAACCGAGGAGGAGGGAATACACCTGGGGGAAACCCAAGTCCAGGAGCCTCTTAGAGGGCGGGGCAGTAAACACAAGATGGACCAATAAAAATGTTAAACACAGAAATGATTGGTAATTGATAAAGCCAATAGAAAATGGACTAGACTGGCGCGGCTTTCGGGTTGGTCAAGGTATAGCTGAGTAAGGAAAAGCGGTAAGAATGCTGCGTCCTGCAGGATTTCAGTATAGTGAGGAGGAAAAAATATATCAATAATACCGACTTGAAATAGTAAGAGCAATCAGTAGAGCTAAACAAAATGCTAGGGAAGCAATTAATCATGACTATGAGATTCGGTTAAGTGAAAGCTTAGAGGAGGTAACACTTCAGCTAGCTTGAAAACAGATTTTGAAAGAAAGCTGGTGGGGAATAAGTTGGGATTTTTTGTTGTTTTTGTTGGTTGTTTTTTTTTTAGAAGGGTCTCACTCTGTCGCCCAGGATGATGGAGTGCAATGGAGCGATCATGGCTCACTTGCAGCCTCAAACTCCTGGATTAAGATGATCCTCCCAACTCAGCCTCCCCGGATAGCTGGGACTACAGGCACACGCCAGCATGCCTGACTAATTTTTTGTATATTTTGTAGAGACGGGGTTTACCATGTTGCCCAGGCTGGTCTGTAACTCCTGGACTCAAGTGATCGGCCCACGTTGGCCTACGAAAGTGCCGGGATTACAGGCGTGAGCCACCGCTCCCAGCTAAGAATTCTGCCCAGCTGTTCAAGGCACATATTTCTTCACTTTTTGCATGTGCCTGGACATCAGGAGCTCATAATCTCATGACTGAAGAGACTAGAACAGGAGGAGGGCAAGAGCAAGCAGTATGGGCCTTACTGTATTAGCACTCCCAGGGGTTAGAGACCCCTTTTCAGACATCTTAAGACTTTCATCCTCCTGGAAGAGTATAAGTGGTATGCATTCCTGGTGGCCATAAAGTTTAAGAAATATGGCCAGGGCCGGGAGCAGTGGATCACGCCTGTAATCCCACCACTTTGGGAGGCCGAGGCAGGGGGATCACGAAGTCAGAAGATCGAGACCATCCTGGCAAACATGGTGAAACCTCGTCTCTACTAAAAATAGAAAAATTAGCTGGGTGTATTGGCGCGTGCCTGTAGTCCCAGCTACTCAGGAGGCTGAGGCAAGAGAATCGCTTGAGCCCGGGAAGCAGAAGTTGCAGTGAGCCAAGATCGCACCACTGCACTCCAGCCTGGGCGACACAGCAAGTCTCCGTCTCAAAAAAAAAAAAAAAAAAAAAATATGGCCAGACACAGTGATTCACTTCTGTAATCTCAGCACTTTGGGAGGCCAAGGTGGATCACTTGAAGCCAGGAGTTTGAGACCAGCCTGGGCAACATAGCGAGACCCTGTCTGTACAGAAAAAAAAAAAAAAATGAGCCCAAAATGGTGGCATGTACCTGTGGTCCTAGCTACTTGGGAGGCTAAAGCCAGAAGATCACCTGAGCCCAGAGGTCAAGGCTACAGTGAGCTGTGGATGGTGCCACTGCACTCCAGCCTGGACAACAGAGCAGGACCCTGTCCCAAAAAAATATAAAAAGAAAGAAAGAAGTGTGGTAGGAGATATTGGAGAGAGAAGAGGCTGCATGTGGGTTGGGCTTAAATGCCAATATTCAAATTTGTCTTTTGTTTTTTATGCTGTGAGAGCTATTCTTGAGCAGGACCATAAACTAAACAGGGCAGTGTTTTAGGAAGATTAATTGGTAGCTCACAGAATCTCTGAAGGGAGAAGAGAGATCACCCCAGCCCAGTCCCCCTGACCAAAGGCTTTTTGGTACCATTCTTCTGGCAACAAATCATGTGCTGCCACCTGGTGACAGCTCAAATAACAATTTTCCACATTGCTATTTAATATTTCTGTTGAGGTTGGGTGTGTGGGCTCAGACCTGTAATCCCAAGGGCTTTGGGAGACTGAGGTAGGAGGATCTCTTGAGCCCAAGGGTTTGAGACCAGCCTGGGCAACATAGTGAGACACATCTCTACAAACAAAAATCCTTTTATAATTAGCTGGGTGTGGCATCACATGCCTGTAGTACTAGCTACTAGGGAAGCTGAGGCAGGAGGATCACTTGAGCCCAGGAGTTCAAGACCAGCCTAGGCAAGATGGCGAAACCCTGTCTTTACAAAAAGTACAAAAAATTAGCTGGGTGTGGTGGCGCATGCCTCTGGTCCCAGCTACATGGTAGACTGAGGTGGGAGGATCGCTTAAGCCCAGGAAGTTGAGGCTGCAGTGAGCTGTGATCTCGCCACTGCACTCTGGCCTGGGTTACAGAGTGAAACTCCATCTCAAAAAAAAGAAAAAACAAAGTGGACCCATGCAGTTCATGTTCCGTGTTGTCCAAGTAGTGAAAAGGATCAGGATCATTAGTCACAAGGCATTTTTTAATGAAATATAATAGAAAATATCAGTGTATCACTCCCACTAAGGATAAAAATTAAATCATAACATTTTTATTTCAGTTAATAAATCTACACACATATTTACTAGGTCACAATGTAAATTGTATTTCTTACTGGAAGTCACAGCCAAAAAATTCTTAAAGCCACTGGATTAGAGGCAGAGAGACTGAAAGAAGAGACCAGGGAAGAGGCTGCTACAGAAATGCAGTCTGGGCTGCTAAGGATGATGTGTGGAGATGCCAAAGAGAGCCTCAAGCAGTAGAAGCTGGGGCTAGGCATGGTAGCAGCTCACACCTGTAATCTGAACACTTTGGGAGGCCAAAGTTGGTGGATCAGTTGAGCCCAGGAGTTCGAGACCAGCCTGGGCAACATGGTGAAAACCTGTCTCTACAAAAAATATTTAAAAATTAGCCAGGCATGATAGCGTGTGCCTGTAGTCCCATATATTATTACTTGGGGGGCTAAGGTGGGAGGATTGCTTTAGTACAGGAAGCGGAGGCTGCAGTGAGCCAAGATCATGCCACTGCACTCCAGCCTGGGCAACTGAGTAAGACCTTGCCTCAAAAAAAAAAAAAAAAAAGGCAGAAGCTGGAGATGAGGAAAGGTAGCCTCCTACTGTCCAGATCCAAGTCCCACCAGAATATCTCATCCTCCTTTGCATCCCCCAGCACTACTGCCCTAGAGCAGTGTCCTACCTCATTCTACTCACCAGAATGGGAACTCCCATTACTTTCCAAGTTCAACTGAGCTTGCACTCAGAAGGTACAGCTATAGGCTGGGCATGGTGGCTCACAACTGTAATCCCAGCACTTTGGGAGGGCGAGGCGGGCAGATCACTTGAGGTCAGAAGTTCAAGACCAGACTGGCCAACATGGTGAAACCCCATCTCTACTAAAAATACAAAAATTAGCGCACACCTGTAATCCCAGCTACTTGGGAGGCTGAGGCAGGACAATTGCTTGAACCTGGGAGGCGGAGGTTGCAGTGAGCTGAGATGGGGGGCAAGGATGGGCAGGCAGTGAAAAGCCTCAGTAGATAAGACAGATAATAGCTACTTCAAGAAGGTAGGGGCGGGCAGCCCAGAAACAGGGCCTTGGAGGGGAGGGTGGGCAAAGAAGCCTTCATCCTACTATTCTTAACGAGTCCTTACAGGTCATTCAGGAGCATTTTGGGGCCCCAAAGGAATAGGTCCTCTTGCTTAAGACTCTGGGCATGGAGCTGAAAGATGCTGGGCTCCAGGTTAGAAAGGGTGCTCCTCTGGGGATCTAAGAGGAAAGAAAAGGGAAGAGAAAACAAGTCATCAGCAAGCATTGTGATATGCATAGAACTAGGCCCTAGGCCTTTCTAATAGAGAGGGACATAGAGGACTGACAGGATAAACAGCAACAGAGGTCAGTGAGTTCACAGAAAGGCAGAGACTCCATTCTACCTAGTGTTAAATAATTAGGCAGCTGGCATTCAGGCACCATTCAGATTTAGCCTCCCCCAAAACGGGAATCCTTGTCCTTATCCTTACCTGGCTTCCATAAAAGTTCCCAGCTACTGTTACTGTCCAGAAGACTGAATTAAGAGCTGGATGAAGAAACAGACATGGTGAAGGTAGTGGGCAGAGGCAGCTTAGATTGGACAACATGAATGGAGATCCTGGAAAGGGGAACAGAACCAGAAACAGAGAAGATAATGATGTATCAAGGGGGCCCTTCCAACACAGAACTGTCCTCCTTCCTCAGGCTAGGACTCTGGTCTCCTCCCTCTTTTTTTTTTTTTTTTTTTTTTTTTTTTTGAGATGGAGTCTCACTCTGTCACCCAAGCTGGAGTGCAACGGCATGATCTCAGTTTACTGCAACCTCCACCTCCTGGGTTCAAGTGATTCTCCCACCTCAGCCTCTCGAGTAGCTGGGATTACAGGCACCCGCCATCATGCCCGGCTAATTTTTGTAGAGATGGGGTTTCACCATGTTAGCCAGGCTGGTCTTGAACTCCTGACCTCAGGTGATCCGCCCACCTCGGCCTCCCAAAGTGCTGGGATTATAGGCGTGAGCCACCGCGCCCTGCCAATCTCTCCTCCCTCTGTAACATCCAAACATACAAAGGTACCTCACTGACTCTCTATCAGGTAAAGAATGCCTTTATGGGATACAACCCAGATACTCATACTACCCCAAAAGCCCAAGTCAAATCTAGGATAGCTGAACTTTGGTCCCCAGTGCCCGACCTGTGAGACAATTTCCCTCCAATGGCACAGCACCCATACCCCCTGACCTAAGGAGGTTGTGCTCCCTCCAGGCATCTTGGTCCTCTGTCCTGGTAGCCTCCAGGGTATGACCCTTGCCTTCCTGGCCACTTTGCAACTGCTCTAACATCTGCCAGATCATGGGCTCAGGTGGAACCAAACCTCTCCCTCTCTCCCTCCCCATGACTGTCCTCTTCAGCACACTTGGAACCCTCATGTCGGCAAGGATAGTTTCTCATGGCCGGGAGCAGAAAGGTTAGAAAGAAGAGCTCTGGAGAGAGAGAGAGTCAGCACAGGGAAGAGAGGAATGAAGACAGGGGCAGGAGAGGGTATCCTGGCCTCCCTGCAGAACAGGATAGACAGAGAAAGGAAAGGTCCTCCATAGAGAAATATGCAGAGACAAGTCTGAACCTAGTCCTACCTTCCAACTGCCAACCTGAGCCTGTCGTCCCTCAGCCAGCTGTTTCAGCAGCAGCTCCTGGTGCTGGCCTGCAGATGAGAGAGAATGTAAGGGGGCTGTTCCCCAACTTCTTTCCTTCTCCCTCCCTGCCTGTGACCAGCCTGCTGCCAAAAACTGAGACAGAAACATTCTGGCTCAGCCATTGGGACGCTTCCAAGCTGACTGAAGAGATTAAACTCACACCATGAGAGACAAAGAGTGCAACAAAATACTTGGCCACACTTCTCAGTAGCTCAGGCAGTTGGAGCCATGGCCACTTAATGGGAGAGCAAGAAGACTTTCCAGGCCAGGCGCAGTGGCTCACACCTGTAATCCCAGCACTTTGGGAGGCCAAGGCAGGCGGATCATCTGAGGTCAGGAGTTCGAGACCAGCTCGGCCAACATGGTGAAACCCCATTTCTACTAAAAATACTAAAAATATGAAAAAAAGTGGCTGGGCATGGTGGCGGGCACCTGTAATCCCAGCTACTCAGGAGGCTGAGGCAGGAGAATCGCTTGGACTCGGGAGGCAGAGGTTGCAGTGAGCCAAGATTGCGCCATTGCAACACAGCCTTGGCAACAGGCAACAGAGCGAGGCTGGGCAACAGAGCAAGACTCCATCTCAAAAAGAATAAAAATAAATAAAAATAAATAAAAGAAGAAGATGACTTTCCAGAAAAGGGGACAAGGAAACGCATATTCGCCCCCAACCACCTTTTACTTACTCAACTGGTACTGCAGCAACTTCAATTCCTTCTGCATAATCTCTGACTCCTCCCACAGCACTGCAGGAGTGACAGCAGTGCTATTCTAAAGTCAATCAACAAATCCAGAGTAAGAAGGCAAGTAGAGTATCTAGGGTCTTGTGAAACTCTTAGAGAGGATGATCCCCAACTTGTCCCACTACAAATGCCAAAAGTTCAAAGGCCTCAAGAAGGCAAGGCCGCACTCAGTGCTCAATGGCGCCCAGGCTGGAGTGCAGTGGCGTGATCTCGGCTCGCTACAACCTCCACCTCCCAGCCGCCTGCCTTGGCCTCCCAAAGTGCCGAGACTGCAGCCTCTGCCCGGCCGCCACCCCGTCTGGGAAGTGAGGAGCGTCTCCGCCCGGCAGCCACCCCGTCCGGGAGGGAGGTGGAGGGGGTCAGCCCCCCGCCAGGCCAGCCGCCCCGTCTGGGAGGGAGGTGGGGGTGTCAGCCCCCCGCCCGGCCAGCCACCCCATCCGGGAGGTGAGGGGTGCCTCTGCCCGGCCACCCCTACTGGGAAGTGAGGAGCCCCTCTGCCCGGCCACCACCCCGTCTGGGAGGTGTGCCCAACAGCTCATTGAGAACGGGCCAGGATGACAATGGCGGCTTTGTGGAATAGAAAGGGGGGAAAGGTGGGGAAAAGATTGAGAAATCGGATGGTTGCCGTGTCTGTGTAGAAAGAAGTAGACATGGGAGACTTTTCATTTTGTTCTGTACTAAGAAAAATTCTTCTGCCTTGGGATCCTGTTGATCTGTGACCTTACCCCCAACCCTGTGCTCTCTGAAACATGTGCTGTGTCCACTCAGAGTTAAATGGATTAAGGGCGGTGCAAGATGTGCTTTGTTAAACAGATGCTTGAAGGCAGTATGCTCATTAAGAGTCATCACCACTCCCTAATCTCAAGTACCCAGGGACACAAACACTGCCGAAGGCCGCAGGGTCCTCTGCCTAGGAAAACCAGAGACCTTTGTTCACTTGTTTATCTGCTGACCTTCCCTCCACTATTGTCCTATGACCCTGCCAAATCCCCCTCTGTGAGAAACACCCAAGAATGATCAATAAAAGAAAAACAAACCCAAAAAAAAAAAAAAAAAAAAAGAAGGCAAGGTCTTGACTATCCCTTACTCAGTCTGCAGCTCCTGAGGAAGGCCATTGGTAGTACTGCATTCTCCTGGTCCTGTTTGCATCTGGGCTTGGGCTTGGGCTTGGGTTTGCTCCCACACCTGGCTCTGAAGGCCCTGCAGTTCCTTTCTCAGCTCCTCCAGGCATTGCTCCAGGAGAAAAGCACTCCCCTTTGGGGCCCCCTGCAGCAACCTTAGTGATGCTGTAGTGGGACAAGTTAGGGATCATCCTCTCTAAGAGTTTCACAAGACCCTAGATACTCTACTTGCAAAACAAGACACATGTGCACACACAACAGGTGTGTGGCAAAATTGTGTGCATACATATGAAGCTGTGTATATGAAGAAAATAACTGGCCAGATACCTTCCAGGACACTGATCTGGTACTTCTGCTGCTCTCGCTCTTCTAGCAGGCCCTGCACTGCCTGCCTTAGTGCCTGTCACCTCCCCAGGCAGAAAAAAGCACATGAACTACTGTATAACAGCTTTTCCCGACCCCTAGTATCCTCATCTTACACAAACATCACATATACACACCAAGGATTCCAAGCCTCACCTGAGCCTGACATTGAAATTAGGATCAGAGAATAGCAACCTCACCCCAGAGAGAGGATGGGCTCTAGGACTCAGGGCAGCTCAGCCTTTGTGGAACTATGGGAGTCTCTAAAGCCCAAGGCTGTTGAGCTTGGACTCCTGACTGCAGAGGCAAGTGATGAGAGGAAATCCAGGTCCCAGCCAGGTCCCCGGCTGAGGAAATAAGGAAGGGTTAAGTGCAGGGTCTGTGTGGGGAAACAGAGTTCAGGAAAGGACAGAGTTGGAATTTGGAAGGAATAATGGATGATACGGGCACTGGAGGAAGGCACAGAAAGAGAAAGGGCTTGGAAGTAGAAAGAGACATTACTTACCTGCGGTGGAGACCCCAAGAAGATACAGCCACTGCTACAGAAGAAACAGATGCACAGGCCAATGAGCTCTGTGGAGACCCCAAGAGGATACAGCCACTGCTACAAAAGAAACAGATGCACAGGCCAATGAACTCTGAGAGTCCCTTAGCCTCCCCACGCAAACTGGGGACCTCCACCAACCCCTCACCTTATTCCGGACCACATTTCCATCAGTAGCGTTGAGAAGCACATCCAGCTGCTCAAACCAGCTGAGGCTCGTATTCATATCCTGTGGCAGGGGAGCGGCAGGGGTCTGGCTCCCTGGTGTCTTGTGCTTGCTCTCCTAGCGGGGGATACCCAAGGTATCCCCAGGAAAGGCCACCACGTTAGATGGAAAGAGGGAAGTGGGGATGCAACACTGGGGTAGGTGGATGCACTATCAGACCAAAACTGCGATCCTGTGACTAGGGAAAGGAAGGACGCTCTTGGGGAACTGGGGGAAAAGCGGGATACCGTGATGATACGCAGATATCAGGTGGGGATTGAAGGTGCCAGAACCTGGTTGAGACCTCCCCAGAAGTAGTACACTGGCGCCACCACGCCAAACCTGTGCCAGTGACAACTGCCGCCGCCGGGTTCAAAACTTCGGGTTGGTTTTGAAAGTCCGACTTTGGACTGGCTGCCGCAGCGCCACCTGGGAAACTGAGGTCGCCTCTTGCGAACACAACCGGCGATGGAGGCGGTGGAACTACCTTTCTCTAGAAGAGACACGTACATGCACACCCCCACCGTGTAGCTTGCCGGGAAACTGAGTCTTCCTGATTTCGTGTGGCTGTCTCCAAGGAGGAAACGAACTACGCATCCCAAGATGCATCGCGCATAGGCAATATGGTCCCGCTACTGGACCCATTTCCTACCTGGGAAATGGAGTCGAAGCTGACTCAAAACGTAACGGCCCAATTGTCCTTGAGACTTCATTCCCCAGCAAGCTCAGCGTGTAACGTGCGCTATGGAGCCGAAAGTCGCAGAGCTGAAGCAGAAGATCGAGGACACGCTATGTCCTTTTGGCTTCGAGGTTTACCCCTTCCAGGTTAGTTTATCCCTCCTGCTGTTCTAGGGCGAAATATATGATTGGCTTCGTTGCAACTGGCGTGAGGCCTCGGGAGCCTCTGATCCTCCTGGGTTCCTGCAGCCCAGTGTCCATGTGACAACAGGGACAGAGTTTCAGTGGGGGCTTGGGTTAAAAAGGTAGTGGTCGAGGCCGGGCATGGTGGCTCACGCCTGTAATCCCAGCACTTTGGGAGGCCGAGGCGGGCGGATCACCTGAGGTGAGGAGTTCGAGACCAGCCTGGCCAACATGGTGAAACCCCATCTCTACTAAAAATATAAAATTAGCCGGGCGTGGTGGTGCATGCCTGTAATCCCAGCTACTCGGGAGGCTGAGGCAGGACAATTGCTTGAACCCATGAGACGGAGGTTGCAGTGAGCCGAGATTGCGCCATTGCAGTCCAGCCTGAGCAACAAAGAGCGAAACTCCGTGTCAAAAAAAAAAAAAAAAAAAAAAGTTGTCGCATGTTTAACCTTTTGCCACCATATAATGCCGGATTCGTTAACGGGAGACACCATATGACCTGTAGCGTGTGTGGCTCAGATTGTCACCTATATAATTTACAAGAAGAAAGGGACCTGTGAGGCAAAGTCACCTTGGAACTTCCTAAAGGATTTAGGAGAGGGCAAAGCCTAGAAGGTTTGCATAGCTATCATTTAGGTCAGCTGAGGAAGGAAGGGCATTCCTGGTGATGAACAGGCAAACAATTGGCTGGTTTGTTCCCTCTACCAACAGAAGGATAATTCATGATATTTCCAGTCATCAGTGCTGGGCTGGGTAATGAAACTTTGTACACTTGCCTGGCACAGCAGTCTCAGCACCGCACCCCGACCCCCATTTACACGGTTACATTTCCCCACATCAGTGCCCTGTGCACTGAGCAGTTAAGTTACAAAGCTAAATCAGCTCAGCTTGAGCCCTTTGCCTGATGCTTAAGAGACTACCCACTTCCCATTCCTTCTGCTGAGTGGCTCACAGCAGTCCTGGGAGAGGATATAGAGGGAGAAGTAGGTTGGGTCTAGCTTGAGACTGGTCTTGCCAGAAAAAATGGAATTGAGCTATATATGAAAAGATAGATTGGAAGGAAGGAGGGTTATGTACATCCCAAATATCAGAAAAAGCTTGAGTAAAGGTGTGGAGATAGTGGTGTGGTGTTACCAAGTAAAAGGGCTTGATGCCTGATGTGCTGGAAGCTAATATTATGACACTGGGTTTTTGAGAAAACAAAAGCTATTTGTTGCAGATCGACCTTTAACTCTTTGAGACACCGTTTCAGTGGATGGCAGGTGTGTGGGAGAGTGAGAATGCCTATCTGGCAAGTTGAGTAGACCTGGGTATTAGGAGCTTTTGTACTGAACAAAGCCAACTGCAGCCCTGCCAGTCACCCTAGGCTCCTACCTCTCACCTCCCTACCCCCACATCCAATCAGCCACCAAGACCTATAAGACTGTCTACTGAATCTCCCAAATCCATTCCCTTGTATTCCACCCATCTATGCTGTGGTCCAGGCCACCATTTCTCACTTGGATTACTGTAATAACCTCCTTGCTGTAATTTTACCTCCAGTCCCTCCTCCACACTGCAGCCAGTGTGATCTAAAAATGATCATGCTAGTTTACTCCTTAAATCTTCAGTGGCTCTTCACTGTCACCAAATTAAATCCATATTCCTTAAATTGGTATTCAAAGCCAATCAAAATCTCACTCCTATTGATCTCTCCAGCCTTCTCTCCCTCTGATTCCCTCTACAGACCCTTCACTTCCACCAAACTAGACAATTCTCAAATATACCCAGGAATTTTCTGCCAGTGTGTTTGCTTATGCTGTGACTTGTTTATTTTATTCTTTATTTATTTAGAGACAAAGTCTCACTCTGTCCTCCCGGCCGGAGTGCAGTGGTGCAATCATAGCTCACTGCAGCCTCAAACTCCTGGGCTCAAGTGATCCTCCCACTTTAGTCTCCCAAGTAGCTGACTCCAGGCATGCACCAACACTCAGGGTCTCACTTTGTTGCCCTGGCTGGTCTTGAACTCCTGGCCTCAAGTGATCCTCCTGCTTCGGCCAGCCACCCAAAGCACTGGGATTACAGGCATGAGTCACCGCACTCAGTCTGTGACCTCTTTTTAAAATACACACCAGTGAGTTTATGTGTTTTTTGGTGAAATATAAATAATAAATAAATGCACACCAGATTCTCCTCCCTACATCAACCTGACAGTTGACCAGTTGACTTTCTAGCCTTCAAGACTTAGCATCCAAGGAAGCCTTTTCTTTTCTTTTTTTTTTTTTTTGAGATGGAGTTTCGCTCTTGTTGCCCAGGCTGGAGTGCAATGGTGCGA
Organism: Homo sapiens; assembly: GCF_000001405.40. Classification (NCBI taxonomy): domain Eukaryota; kingdom Metazoa; phylum Chordata; class Mammalia; order Primates; family Hominidae; genus Homo; species Homo sapiens. The sequence continues at coordinate 45,502,770 of NC_000001.11, forward strand.
TCTCAGCTCACCACAACCTCTGCCTCCCGGGTTCAAGTGATTCTCCTGCCTCAGCCTCCAGAGTAGGTAGGATTACAGGCATGTGCCAACATACCCGGCTAATTTTGTATTTTTTTTAGTAGAGACAGTTTCTCCATGTTGGTCAGGCTGGTCTTGAACTCCCGACCTCAGGTGATCTGCCTGCGTTGGCCTCCCAAAGTGCTGGAATTACAGGCATGAGCCACCATGCCCGGCCACAAGGAAGCCTTTTCTAATTTCAGAGGACCCTTATCTGACCCTGTCATTGCACTAGCTATAGTACAGTCATTTCTATTGTTCTTAGTGGTTCTGCCTATTAGAACTTTCTGCAGCCAGGCGTGGTGGTTCTCACCTATATCCCAGCACTTTGGGAGGCCAAGGTGGGTAAATTACTGGAGGTCAGGGGTTCAAGACCAGCCTGGCTAACATGGTGAAATCCCGTCTCTACTAAAAATACAAAATTAGGTGGGCGTGGTGGTGTGCACCTGTAATCCCGGCTACTCGGGAGGCTGAAGCAGGAGAATCGCTTGAGCCCAGGAGGTGGAGGTTGTGGTGAGTCGAGATCGCGCCATTGCAGTCTAGCCTGGGCAAGAAGAAGAGCGAAACTCCATCTCAAAAATAATAATAACTCTCTAACTCTCTGCTTTTTTTTTTTTTTTTTTTTTTGAGATGGAGTCTCACTCTGTTGCCCCGGCTGGAGTGCAATGGCACCATCTTGGCTCACTGCAACCTCTGGCTCCCAGGTTCAAGCGATTCTCCCGCCTCAGCCTCCTGAGTAGCTGAGATTTCTGCCTCTCTATTCTAAGTTCCCTGCCATATAATACATGAACCTATAATAGACATGAGGGGGAACAGACCTAACCACAACAGTCACATTATTAGTTGAGCACCGACACAGACTTCACTTATCTGTTACAGCAGTAAAACCAGCTACAATCAAACAAGTAATGGTCATCCCACTCTGTCCCATTAATGCACAACCCCAGGTAGCCTGTGTAGACCTGTGTCAAGTGTTCTGCACTATGAGTCAGAAATCCCCAGTAAGTGATGCCGGTATATACATAGCACTTTGTGTGAACAGCAGAAACCTCCACAACTACGTGATTTAGCAAGTTCATTGCAGGTTATGTTATGGGTCTTCGGTTTGGGCTTCTTGTGACATCTCTTCTCCATGTTCAGTGTGTGAATGTGGGTGTAGACGGTGTTACAGGTGAATCCAATTTCTTGGATGTCCAGGCCAAGTGGACAAAAGCAAATATTGTGTGTCCTAAAACTGAAAATAAAGTTTGCATTAATCACATATTTGCTTTGCTGATTGGTCAACCTCAAAAACACAGGCTTGCTGGCCGGGCACGGAGACTCAAGCCTGTAATCCCAGCACTTTAGGGAGGCGGAGGCGGGTGGATCATCTGAGGTCAGGAGTTCAAGACCAGCCTCGCCAACATGATGAAACCCCATCTCAACTAAAAATACAGAAAATGAGCCAGGTTTGCTGGCAGGCACCTGTAATCCCAGCTCCTCGGGAGGCTGAGGCAGGAGAATCACTTGAACCCAGGAGGCAGAGGTTGCAGTGAGCCAAGATCGCGCCACAAACTCCAGCCTGGGGAACAAGAGCAAAATTCCATCTCAAAAAAAAGAAACCAAACACAAGATTCCTGTTAGGGGTTTGTAGACTAATATGGTGTTGACCGTGGTAACAAGAAAGTCTGTCAAAAGCAGGAAAATCCCATCCTGGGCAACATAGGGAGACCCTGTCTCTACAACAAATTATTTTTTTGTTTTAATTAGCCAGCCAGGTGTGGTGGCTCACACCTGTGGTCCCAGCCACTCGGGAAGCTGAGGAGGGATGATTGCTTGAGGGAGGGAGGTTGAGGCTGCAGTGAGCTGTGATCACCTCACTGCACTCTAGCCTAGGTGACAAAGCAAGACTATCTCAAAAAAAAGAAGCAGAAAAACCCCTGATGGGCTCAAGTCAGAGGTTAAGTACGTTTCTAGCCTCTTTGGTAGCATCAGTTCATCATTAACTGATAAAAATGGTTTTTTTGGCCTGGCACGGAAGCTCACGCCTGTAATCCTAGCACTTTGGGAGGCCAAGGTGGGCAGATCAGTTGAGGCCAGGTGTTCGAGACCAGCCTGGCCAACATGGCAAAACCCCATCTCTACTAAAAATACAAAAAATTAGCTAGGCCTGGTAGCACACGCCTGTTAATCCCTGCTACTTGGGGGACTGAGGCACAAGAATCACTTGGACCCAGGAGGCAGAGGTTGCAGTGAGCCAACATCATGCCACTGTACCCTAGCCCCTGGGCGACAGTGAGACTGTATACATTTAAAAAAAAAAAAAAAAAAAGGGCCGTTTTGTTTTTAAAGACAGGTTCTCGCCTGGCGCGGTGACTCACGCCTGTAATCCCAACACTTTGGGAGGCCGATGCAGGTGGATCATGAGGTCAAGAGATCGAGACCATCCTGGCCAACATGGTGAAACTCCGTCTCTACTAAAAAATACAAAAATTAGCTGGGCGTAGTGATGCACGCCTGTAGTCCCAGCAACTTGGGAGGCTGAGACAGGAAAATCACTTGAACCCGGGAGGTGGAGATTGCAATAAGCCGAGGCTGCGCCATTGCACTCCAGCCTGGCGACAGAGTGAGAATCCGTCTCAAAAAATAAAATAAAATAAAATAAAAAAACAAAGACAGGTTCTCACTCTGTTACCCAGGCTGGTCTAAAACTCTTGGCCCCAAGCAGTCCTCCTACCTCAGCCTCCCAAAGTGCTGGGATTGCAGGCATGAGCCACCGCGCCGAGCCTAAAAACAGTATTTTAAGAAACTGCCTGGGCTGGGCCCGGTGGCTCACGCCTGTAATCTCAGCACTTTGGGAGGCCAAGTCAGGTGGATCACGAGGTCAGGAGATCGAGACCACCCTGGCCAACATGGTGAAACCTCATCTCTACTAAAAATACAAAAATTAGCCGGGCGTGGTGGCACGTGCCTGTAGTCCCAGCTACTCAGGAGGCTGAGGCAGGGGAATCACTTGAACCCGGGAGGCGGAGGTTGCGGTGAGCCTAGATCACGCCACTGCACTCTAACCTGGGCAACAGAGTGAGACTCCGTCTCAAAAAAAAAAAAAAACAAAACTGCCTGTTCTCTCCAAATTCATCTCTAGAGTTAGGGTTATATAGCCTGGAACTATGATCTCGTCTTTTGATCTGTCTGTATGGAGATGCTCTGGATATAGTAAAATTTTAATCTATTATAACCCCTTGATCTTCAGTGAAGACATAGCTTGCTGCCACTGATAGTTTCCCCTGATGACATATCAAAAGGATAAAGAAGTGCTGGTTGGGAAGAGACTGGTGGAACCACATCGTTTTGTGTCATTTGAGGATGAGTTGGACTGTGGCATGAACGGCATTGAGGGTTCAGGTGGCTTTCTCCCTCTCAGGCTTGGCTGCAGCAACATGCTTCTCCAGATTAACAATATTTTTCTGAACAACTGTCATGGCATCATATGTTGATTCTGCTTTGAGAAATCTCCGATCTTGTTTTTGTCTTAAAATGCCTTCAAGGTGTTGGACTTGGAGGGCAAGTGCGTTGACAGCCACTTTGACTGTTCCTATGCCCTCATGCACCTCAGTCAGTTGTGGATTTAGGAACTCTGCTCTGTGGGTCCTCGTTCCTGGGTTTTTAATTTTCTTTTATTATTATTATTATTTTTTGAGGCGGGGGTCTCACTCTGTTGCCCAGGCTGGAGTGCAGTGGCACGATCTTGTCTCATTGCAACCTCTGCCTACCGGGTTCAAGCGATTCTCCTGCCTCAGCCTCCTGAGTAGCTGCGATTACAGGCGAGTGCCACCATGCTTGTCTAATTTTTGTATTTCTAGTACAGGCAGGGTTTCACCATGTTGGCCAGGCTGGTCTCAAACTCCAGACCTTAGGTGATCCACCTGCCTCGGCCTCCCAAAGTGCTGGGATTATAGCTGTGAGTCACCACACCTGGCGGGGTTTTTCATTTTCATTGGTTCATTTGTAGTTGGATGAGGCCTGAAATTATTTGCTGTCAGTCAGTCCTTCAATAAATAAAATAATTCCCTGGGCCAGGCTCGGTGGCTCACGCCTATATAATCCCAGCACTTTGGAAGGCCGAGGCAGGTGGGTCCTAGCTGAGGCCAGGAGTTCGGAGACCAGCCTGGCCAACATGGCGAAACCCTGTCTCTACTAAAAATACAAAAACTAGCCAGGCGTGGTAGTGCACATCGTAATCCCAGCTGCTCGGGAGGCTGAGGCATGAGAATCACTTGAATCTGGGAGGCCAAAGTTGCAGTGGGCCAAGATCATGCCACTGCACTCCAGCCTGGGTGACAGAGCAAGACTCTGTCTCAAAAAATAATGAATTCCCTGTCAAATTCAGTTGAGTTGCTTATAAAAATGCATCACATAGCGTCAGTGAAAATTCACTGAATGAGTGAGATGGAGGCTGGGGCAAAAGTGTGAGGCCTGAAGGTTAAGGTGTGGGCCAGGCTGAGGCCTAGACTGGCCCTCTCCAGCCTGGCCTGAACTTTCTGTTTCAGGTGGCATGGTACAATGAACTCTTGCCTCCAGCCTTCCACCTACCGCTGCCAGGACCTACCCTGGCCTTCCTGGTACTCAGCACGCCTGCCATGTTTGACCGGGCCCTCAAGCCCTTCTTGCAGAGCTGCCACCTCCGAATGCTGACTGACCCAGTGGACCAGTGTGTGGCCTACCATCTGGGCCGTGTTAGAGAGGTGAGGAAGGCTCAGTTTTCCCCCAGCTCCCAAACCTACAGCTGCCTCCAGTTCCTCCACACTCAATGCAGGATCTAGACCTAGGGCTAGGAGCCACTTCAAAGGTGAAATGATACCCTAAAGCCAGGCTTGACATTCTGTGATCTTTCCTCATTCTGCCTTCTCACACACCCAGGTTCCACCACCCTCATCTAGCAGTCCCCCAGTGTGAAATAGTCTCACTCACCCTACACTGATGGGCAACTATATGAACCTCAGACCAGGTTTTCCTTGGCCTCCAAGTGGAATAGGAATGAGTCCAACATTCCCCAGGCATTGCTTTGTCCTAGACCTGCAAGCTTTATGCTGTCCTTTTGAGGACAGAACAATATTCTCCCAACACACACTCACATATACACATAACTATGTACATACCCACTGGATCTCCCCAAAGCTGACCATGCCTTCCTTCACACCAGGTGTTATGTATTTCCCTTCAAACATGTGCCCTTCTGGAAATAACTATAACTATGTCCACACTGGAGCCTCCCAAGTTAAGGTCATGTTTTCCCTTCTGAGGACAGGACCATGTTCACACACACAAAACAAACTAGGGCTCCCTCGGACAAGGTCATAACTCCCCTCATGCTGACAGTACCCTCTATTTTGTCCACTGTTCCAGAGCCTCCCAGAGCTGCAGATAGAAATCATTGCTGACTACGAGGTGCACCCCAACCGACGCCCCAAGATCCTGGCCCAGACAGCAGCCCATGTAGCTGGGGCTGCTTACTACTACCAACGACAAGATGTGGAGGCTGACCCATGGGGGAACCAGGTGAGAGGGAAAATGTAAATAGAGGCTGAGATAGACTGGTAAAGGCCTCTCCCTACCAGGTCCCACATTCCTCAGCCTTCCCTGGATGGATGTGACACAACCCAGAACAAATTAGCTTTGTTCTGGATGGGAGGCAGTCCTGTCACATGCGGTTGTCTAACTGGGTACTCGTGAGATCAGAAAACTTAGTCTGCAGAACTGTCTTAGGATACAGGGGGCACAGCAGTGTTAAGACTAGTGGTGAGACTAGGAAGCCCAGCCCTTCCCTGTGCTCAGAATAGTTTATGAAAGGGTTTGCCAAGAAAAGGACAGAGGTTTATGTAGTCAGTGTACACTGAGTGGGAAGTGAACAGGCCTAGCTTGCAATGATGGCAGTTGACTTGGTGCCAAGGGGACCTCCATGACCTTGCTTTTCTTCACCCTCTCCCCAGCGCATATCAGGTGTGTGCATACACCCCCGATTTGGGGGCTGGTTTGCCATCCGAGGGGTAGTGCTGCTGCCAGGGATAGAGGTGCCAGATCTGCCACCCAGAAAACCTCATGACTGTGTACCTACAAGAGCTGACCGTATCGCCCTACTCGAAGGCTTCAATTTCCACTGGCGTGATTGGACTTACCGGGATGCTGTGACACCCCAGGAGCGCTACTCAGAAGAGCAGAAGGCCTACTTCTCCACTCCACCTGCCCAACGATTGGCCCTATTGGGCTTGGCTCAGCCCTCAGAGAAGCCTAGTTCTCCCTCCCCGGACCTTCCCTTTACCACACCCGCCCCCAAGAAGCCTGGGAATCCCAGCAGAGCCCGGAGCTGGCTCAGCCCCAGGGTCTCACCACCTGCATCCCCTGGCCCTTGATTTTCTCCCATGTGGACCCTGATTTATGGTGGTACTTGCTAGGACTTAATTGGCTTTGGCAAAGCAAAAGGTTTTGAGTACAAGATTACTATTTTTGATAATATAGTAGAGATCTTCCATGAAGATAACAAGGCTCAAGGAAGTTAGGTTTGGCCAAGATAAAGGCCAGGGAACCAGAATTCCCATCTGCCTTCAAATGAGTTTTTTTTTTTTTTTTAGACAGAGTCTTACTCTGTCACCTAGGCTGGAGTGCAGTGGCACAGTCTCTACTCACTGCAACCTCTGCCTCCTGGGTTCAAGCAATTATCTGCCTCAGCCTCCTGAGTAGCTGGGATGACAGGTGCCTGCCACTACACCTGGCTAATTTTTTGTATTTTTAGTAGAGATGGGGTTTCATCATATTGGCCAGGCTGGTCTTTAACTCCTGACCTCGTGATCCACCCATCTTGGCCTCCCAAAGTCCTGGGATTACAGGAATGAGCCACCGCACCCAGCCAAGACTCTATCTGTTCCCATTTCTAAGCAGTTCCCCAAGATGTTGTTACAGGGCCTAAGGGGCAAATATCCTCTAAAGAGTACCTACCAGCAGGGTGTGGTGGCTCCCGCCTGTAATCCCAGCACTCTGGGAGGCCGAGGCAGGTGGATCATGAGGTCGAGTTTGAGACCAGCCTGGCCAATACAGTGAAACCCCGTCTCTACTAAAAATGCAAAGTTAGCCGGGCATGGTAGCGCAGGCCTGTAGTCCCAGCTACTCAGGAGGCTGAGGCAGTAGAATCATTTGAACCAGGGAGGCAGAGATTGCAGTGAGCCGAGATTGCATGGCTGCACTCTAGCCTGGGTGACAGTGTGAGACTCTGTCTCAAAAAAAAAAAAAAAAGTACCTACCTCAGGTAGGGACTGAATAAACACGTGTAAGGCACTTTGGAAAAATACCTGGCATATATAGTAAGCAGTATGTTGGCCATTACCAAAGGCCCTGGGAATTCTGTACTGCTGCTCATGGGTGTAGTCGGTTCTAGAGGGGTGGGCAGGTGGGAGTAGCTGAGGAAGACAAGTGGCTGGAATGGTATCACATGATACACAGAAGTATCCTCAGTTCTGAATCTACCTTGGCCTCAAGGGCCCAGGAGAATAACTTTTCCCAGCTGACAGCCTCTCTGAGGACAATGACATATGAATGAGGATCAAAACGAGCTTTGGCCAGGCACTGTGGCGCTCACCTGTAATCCCACCATTTTGGGAGGCTGAGGCGGAGGACCGCCTGAGGCAAGGAATTCAGAACCACTCTGGGCAACATAATGACACTAAAAAAGACTATCTCTAATCAAGGCTAGAACCAAGGGAAGGCTAAGAATTGCCCAGTACTGTGCAACTACGAAAGCCCTACCCAAGGCCACCAGCCTTGTCTTCCTCTTTCCTCTGTCAGTTCAAAAAGAACAGAAACCTCCAGCTCTTTTACATAGCAGGTACCAGGCATTTATCAGAAGAGGCCAAGCTTCTGGTTCCCATGCAGCCCTTTGAATAGTGTGTCTAAACAAAAATAGGTGTCCAAGTAGTCACACTGAGACTTTAACTGGTAACCCAGCCTGTGGCGTCAGTCGCAGTGCTCTGGCCAACACTATAGCAGGGCTTATTCTTCTCCCTCATGTGTAGTGAAACAAAATGTAACACCTTGGGTTCATTCAGTTCCATTCCCTATATCTACCTGTGTCAATATAATTCCCTGATTTGGAGGCAGCTCTCCTCATTTTCCCCAAAACAGGGAAAGCAAGGAGTAAATTCCTCTTAAAATCAAAAGCTAATAATATGCTTCCTAAAATAAAGACTCATCAAGGTCTCAGTTCAAGTTTAATACAAACTACAAAAGATTAATGGGTTGCTCTACTAATACATCATACAAACCAGTAGCCTGCCCACAACGCCAACTCAGGCCATTCCTACCAAAGGAAGAAAGGCTGGTCTCTCCACCCCCTGTAGGAAAGGCCTGCCTTGTAAGACACCACAATTCGGCTGAATCTGAAGTCTTGTGTTTTACTAATGGAAAAAAAAAATACAGAAGAGGTTTTGTTCTCATGGCTGCCCACCGCAGCCTGGCACTAAAACAGCCCAGCGCTCACTTCTGCTTGGAGAAATATTCTTTGCTCTTTTGGACATCAGGCTTGATGGTATCACTGCCAGGTTTCCAGCCAGCTGGGCACACTGCAAGAGAAAGGCACCACTAATTAATAACCTTCTCAATGGTATGCACCACCATTCTCCTATGGACAAAACCAGTTCTGCACCTGAACACTCAGATACCAGGAAACCTACCCCTGCAATCAGTCTTAGATCATTCACCCTTTTAGTATGAGCTAACCATTTTACAAACATATAATCATCACCACAGCCTTAAGATACTATCATGCCTAATTTATTCATGTAGCACTTGAAATTTAAATTTTCCACAAAAAAAGGCAAAGTTTAAATAATTTGCCAACACTCTCTAATCCTTAAGGGGAAAAAAAAGCTAAATAAACGACACACATAGGACTATGTAAACCCTTAACACTAAACTGTTTCTGACAGCCCTTCAGAGCTCTGAAGACAGCAAACTCAGTCTGCCTTCTCAGCATTCTTCTAACTCTACCAAACTGGATAGCCTGAACCTTATAAAGGATCAAGAACTTAACAGAAGCCCCCGCTTGTTTCATTAAGTAACTGCCATCTACCCCTTGGTAAGCAAAAGGCAGAGTTTGAAATTTTTCATAGATTTATACAGAAAGCACAGCCTTCAACCTTTTCCTGACAATGCCTAAGAATGTGCCTCAGGCTAGCCTGAAGAAAATGAGGCAAGGGGACTAATCTCTTATTTTTCTTTTTTTTTTTTTTTTTTTTTTTTTTTGAGATGGAGTCTCCCTCTGTTGCCCAGGCTGGAGTACGGTGGCGCAATCTCCACCTCCGTCTCACTGCAACCTCGGTCTCCCGGGTTCAAGCGATTCTCCTGCATCAGCCTCCCAAATAGCTAGGATTACAGGCGCCCACCACCACACCTGGCTAATTTTTGAGACAGTCTCACATTGTCGCCCAGGCTGGAGTGCAGTGGCGCGATCTCAGCTCACTGCAAGCTCCACCTCCGGGGTTCATGCCATTCTCCTGCCTCAGCCTCCCGAGTAGCTGGGACTATACAAAAATAGTGGGGCGTGGTGGTGGACCCCTGTAGTCCTAGCTACTCAGGAGGCTGAGGCAAGAGAATCACTTGAACCCAGGAGGTGGAGGCTGCAGTGAGCTGAGATCACACCACTGCACTCCAGTCTGGGCGACAAAACAAGACTCTGTCTCAAAAAAAAAAAGTGTTTGGCATTCATTGGCTCTTAAATGGTACCTATTTAAGAGGCTGTACATGTTCCAGTGGGATGGGAAGCAGCAGAGACCAACAGAGTCTGAAGAAGCAAGCTTCTGAGTTATGAAAGCCTGGGTTCAGGAGACTAACCTATATGTAGGTTCCTAGGAAAGTCCAGTTAAAGGGCCTACTTTGCCACTGCTGCCTCCTTCTTAATGCTGAACCTCATCTCCCACAAGGGGGCAGTCTCAGCAGGTGTCAGCTGAGCCATGTGTCATCTGTCCAGGCTAACTGCCCACACATCCTTCTGCAAAGGGTACCTCTTGGTTATCAGTGCTCACTGATCCCTATATAATCAGACTCTAATCCCTGTAAAAAGATTACTTGGTGCTAGCCAAGCTAGCACCTTTGGGTCTTCCCAAACATACACCACTAATCCAGACTCTAATAACTTCATTTCCTTTAAATTACAAGATCAGAGCTGAAATAGGCCTTAGAAAGCTAGTCTGGGCTGGGCGCAATGGCTCAGGGGAGGCGGAGGTTGCAGTGAGCCAAGACTGCGCCACTGCACTCCAGCCTGGGCAACAGAGCAAGACTCCATCTTGCAAAAAATAAATAAATAAATAAAAATATGAACTATATGGATTAACCTCTTCTCTCAATAAAGTTATTTAAAAAATGGCATGCTTTATCTCTAGAGGTGATTCCCAACCATTTTGTTTTGCCCTAATACATCTGTGAGATCATCCTACATTCAGTAAGTTAGATCTTTGGGAGTGACTGATTCTAAATGAGCAGGACAGAAGAGAGGAGTATGTATACTTTGAATAAAAAGCCTTTATATTCTCCTTCCCAAGCTTTTCCATTACCCTCACCCTCACAACACACTGTAATCCAGGGGCTTCAATTTATGAAGAGAGATACCCATTTTCTTATTTGGTAGCTTCTGTTCCTACTATCTTTCCCATTCTACCACTGTGGGGAAAAGAGAGATCAGATTGTTACTGTCTCTGTGTAGAAAGAAGTAGACAGAGGAGACTCCATTTTGTTCTGTACTAAGAAAAATTCTTCTGCCTTGAGATGCTGTTAATCTGTAACCTTATCCCCAACCCTGTGCTCCCTGAAACATGTGCTGTGTCAACTCAGGGTTAAATGGATTAAGGGCTGTGCAAGATATGCTTTGTTAAAACAAATGCTTGAAGGCAGCATGCTCGTTTTAAGAGTCATCACCACTCCCTAATCTCAAGTATCCGGGGACACAAACACTGCGGAAGGCCACAGGGACCTCTGCCTAGGAAACCCAGGTATTGTCCAAGGTTTCTCCCCATGTGATAGTCTGAAATATGGCCTCGTGGGAAGGGAAAGACCTGACCGGGGTCCCCCAGCCTGACACCCTGTGCTAAGGAGGATTAGTAAAAGAGGAAGGAACGCCTCTTTGCAGTTGAGACAAGAGGAAGGCATCTGTCTCCAGCCAGTCCCTGGGCAATGGAATGTCTCAGTGTAAAACCCAATTGTATGTTCCATCTACTGAGACAGGGGAAAACCGCCTCAGGGGTGGAGGTGGGACATGCGGGCAGCAATACTGCTCTTTAAGGCATTGAGATGTTTATGTGTATGCACATCTAAAGCACAGCACTTAATTCTTTACCTTGTTCATGATGCAGAGACCTTTGTTCACGTGTTTATCTGCTGACCTTCTCTCCACTATTATCCTATGACCCTGCCACATCCCCCTCTCCGAGAAACACCCAAGAATGATCAATAAATACTAAGGGAACTCAGAGGCCGGCGGGATCCTCTGTATGCTGAACACTGGTCCCCTGGGCCCCCTTATTTCTTTCTCTATACTTTGTCTACGTGTCTTTTTCCAAGTCTCTCATTCCACCTAACGAGAAACACCCACAGGTGTGAAGGGGCAACCCACCCCTTCATACCACCACTCTGTTGTCCTGTTATCAGACAGATGGCTTACCTTCCCCATGTTTGTCAGTGAACTGGAAGGCCTGAACTAGTCTCAAAGTCTCATCCACAGAGCGGCCAACAGGGAGGTCATTTACAGTGATCTGCCGAAGAATACCCTTATCATCAATGATAAAAAGGCCCCTGGGAAAAGAGATGAAAGGAAAAGCAATACAGGTTTAGAGATGTGCTTTGTTAGAATACAGAGGCTTGAAGCCTGAAGGAAATGGACTGGTCTCCACACTCCTACTGGCCTGGCCTTAGTGAGGAGGCCCCTGCATAAAGGAATGAAATGACAAGGAGTCTCTACAGATCAGGGCTCTAGATCTCTCCAAATAAAAGGCTTTCAGCCAACTGGATACTTGTCCTGATGACATACCTGAACGAGATGCCTTCATCAGCCTTTAAGACCCCATAATCCTGAGCAATGGTGCGCTTCGGGTCTGATACCAAAGGAATGTTCATGGGTCCCAGTCCTCCTTGTTTCTTAGGTGTATTGACCCTATGGCAAAAGGCAAACATACAGTTACATTCAAACTCTTGACTTGACTGTACGCATTCCTCTTTCCCCTTTCCCATATTCCTAATCTAACTTTCCAAAAAGACTGTTTTTTTTCCGTTTTCCAGCAATAAAGTGAATGCTGAGAACAGTTAAGGTAGGTCACTAGGGTACACTCAACTGCAATTGAAGCTGCTTCTTCTCTGCTGCCAGGTCATGAGAGCAATAAGAGAAAGTCAGACTTTGCACTCCCTTCAATGAGAAGGCAATACTTGAAAGTCTATTGCCAAAGCTTCCCAGTTGCTGTTTTAAAAGTTCACATGCCAGCCAGGTGCAGTGGCTCACACCTGTAATCCCAGCACTTTGGGAGGCTGAGGTGGGCAGATCACGAGGTCAGGAGATCAAGAACATCCTGACTAACACGGTGAAACACCGTCTCTACTGAAAATACAAAAAATTAGCCAGGTATGGTGGCAGGCGCCTGTAGTCCCAGCTACTCAGGAGGCTGAGGCAGGAGAATGGCGTGAAACTGGGAGGCAGAGCTTGAAGTGAGCGGAGATCACACCACTGCACTCCAGCCTGGGCGACAAAGCAAGACTCCATCTCAAAAAAAAAAAAAAAAAAAAAAAAGTTCACATGCCAAATAGACCAAGAGATTTACCATGCTAGATGACAGAAGTGAGAATCCACAGAAGCACCAATCACTTGGCAGTTGAGTTTCTTAAATTCTTCTGCCCTATCACTGAAAGCAATGATCTCCGTGGGGCACACAAAGGTGAAGTCAAGAGGGTAAAAGAAGAACACAACATATTTTCCTGGGGGGAAAATCGGAGTCATGGTTAGCATTTGACACAGACTTCCTTGCTTTATATTTTCCTATACAAAAAGAAGCAAGTTGATGGCTGACACAATAACCACTAACTGCCAAGATGCTCAATACAGATGTCTCCTAGAAGCTACTTTTAGAACCTGGTGCATTAGGAATACCTGAATGAAAAAAACTTCCAATCCCATACTTTATTCTCCTGCCTCCATGTCATAGCTACCAATACAGAGTAAACACTGTTCAGTCTAATTTTGATCTTTTCTGAGTGGCTAAAATTAACATAAACACCAAGTTCTCCAAAGATAGCAAAAGCAAGGATGCACTTATAAGCATGGCCTAATGCCAATGCTTAACAATACCCAGAGAAAGCTGAATTGCAGTACTCCTCTGCTGTAGAGATAAGACACCAATAAGAAGTCACAGCCTTTGCACTTCTCCCGTGATGAACCATAGTAATGGAACAAGCATGGTTTAAGTGATCACATGTGTTCCTAACGTGCCTGACAGGACAGGAAAAATTTTAAGCCAGGCACAGTGGTGCGTGTCTGTAGTCCCAGCTACTTGGGAGGCTGAGGTGGGAGGATCCCTTGACCCCAGGAGTTTGAGGCCAGCCTGGGCAACACAGCAAGACTGTCTCAAAACAACAGAAATATATATATACATATACACAGAGAGAGAGAGAGAAAGAGGGAGACAGAGAGAGACAGAAAAGACAAAAGTACTAGTGAGTAACAGAACTTCTAGCTGCAATTTTAATGAAGTCACTGGGATTAACCACTGAAATAACAGATCTTCAAACTGGCCAGGCAGCCTTCTCGCCACACCCACCAGGCTTAAATACTAGAACAATTCCAAATATTCACTCATTTCCAGGTAGCAGCAATGTTTGAAAAGTCAAACAGGCTGGGTGTGGTGGCATGGTGGCTGACGTCTGTAATCCCAGCAGTTTGGGAGGCAGTTTGGGAGGCCGAGGCGGGTGGATCACCTGAGGTCAGGAGTTCAAGACCAGGCTGACCAACATGGTAAAACATGTCTCTACTAAAAATACAAAAATTAGCTGGGTGTGACAGCGGGGGCCTGAAATCTCAGCTACTGGGGAGGCTGAGCCAGGAGAATCACTTGAACCGGGGAGATGGAGGTCGCAGTGACCTGAGATCATGCCACTGCACTACAGCCTGTGCGACAAGATCAAAATTCCACCTCAAAAAAAAAAAAAAAAAGCCAAACAAGCAGCCCTTTTTGACATTTACCACTTTGCAGTATCACTGGAAACTAACTCATCTAAACAACCCTTCCAGCTTTGCCTAACAAGCACTTTGGGGCCTCAGCAGGTCAAGCTCTGGAGGGCAGAGAACAGCTCCTCCTAGACCTCCTGCTTATACCCCTGGGCCCAGGTCACCTCCCTATGGTGCAACTTACCTTGTTTGCTGGGAGAAGCCCCAAGAACAAAGTGTGATTATGTCAGGAAACCTAGTCAAATGTTCTACCAAAAACTAACTCCAGGGACTAATGCTACACCACTGAGAAAAGGACACTTGACACCTGAGTTTCAGGTTAGCATTCTAAGGAATCTATATCCTCAACTGTCCCAGGAGATCGAGCTGCTCTGGAACTACAAGGTAAAGAAAGGAGGAGCCTCAACAGAACTTGCCAAGTGTCTGCATGAAACTATGACAACAGAGGCCGGGCGCAGTGGCTCACGCCTGTAATCCCAGAACTTTGGGAGGCCAAGGCAGGCGGATCACAAGGTCAGGAGATCGAGACCATCCTGGCAAACATGGTGAAACCCCGTCTCTACTAAAAATACAAAAAAATTAGCCAAGCATGGTTGCGGGCGCCTGTAGTCCCAGCTACTCAAGAGGCTGAGGCCTGAGAATGGCATGAACCCAGAAGGCGGAGCTTGCAGTGAGCTGAGATCGCACCACTGCACTCTAGCCTGGGCGACAAAGCGAGACTCCGTCTCAAAAAAAAAAAAAAAAAAAAAAACTATGACAACAGAAAGGAGAGTTGTTCCATCTGTAATATCAACTCTCCTCCGGGGTCAAAACAGGCAAGGGAAAGTGCCTAGCCCTCAGCCTAATATTAACAGCTGTGATATATACGTGACCCAAACAAACTGAACGAGCAGTGTCACAGCTCCAGAGATTTGAGTGAGCTCTGAGACTTTAAATGTAGAATGTCTCTTATAACAAGAGATAATGAGTATTTCTCCAATAATAAAATAGAGGAGGGCCAGAGGCAGTGGCTCACACCTGTTATCCCAGCACTTTGAAAGGCTAGGGCAGGCAGAGGGCTTGAGCCCAGGAGTTGGAGACCAGCCTGGGCAACATGGCGCCCAGCTCTACAAAAAGTACAAAAATTAAGCCAGGCGTGGTGGCTCATGCCTGTAATCCCAGCATTTTGGGACGCCGAGGTGGGCGGATCATCTGAGGTCAGGAGTTCGAGACCAGCCTGACCACCATGGAGAAACCCCGTCTCTACTAAAAATACAAAAAAAAATTAGCCAGGCATGATGGCGCATGCCTGTAATCCCAGCTACTCGGGAGGCTGAGGCAGGAGAATTGCTTGAACCTGGGCAGTGGAGGTTGTGGTGAGCCGAGATCACGCCATTGCACTCTAGCCTGGGCAACAAGAGCAAAACTCCATCTCAAAAAAAAAAAAAAAAAAAAAAAGTACAAAAATTAGCCAGGCATGGCAGCATGCCCCTACAGTCCCAGCTACTTGGGAGGCTGAGGTAGGAGGACCACCTGAGCCCAGAGAGGTAGAGGCTGCAGTGAGCCATGACTGCGCCACTGCACTCCAGCCTGGGTGACAGAATGAGACCCTGTCTCAAAAATAAAAATAAAGAAAGAAAATAGACGAGGAATACTGAAAAGATAATTGAGCTAGTATGTCCAGACATAATGAAGCATGTGGTTTCTCCAGAAGTGGTTTGGTCCTAGGATATATACCCTGTAATCACTTGATAATCACCACTTCAACATGAAGGTAACAACCTAAATACTTCTTCCTAGGAGACAAAACATTTTACAGTCAAACAACATTGACACAAATCTAACAAGCCACCCCTAGAATATAAAATAACTCCATCTCAATGAGCCCAGTGTTAATTCTCTCACCTTTGTAGTCAGACAGGCTGATATCTTTAAACTGACCATCTGGCATAACAGCTGTGGCTTTGAAGTTGGGGGCAGGGTGCCCAATTTTAGCATTTCCTGAAGACATCTTCCTATCAGCTAGAAATAACAGAAATGAATTAGAAACAAGCCTTAATTTTCTACATAACCAGCAGCCTTCACCTACTTAAAGAGACTTAGCTGTAAACAATCAAGGCATTGTCCAGTGTCCCTGAATACATTAAATGTTGTTTTAGTAAGAAGCTCCAGCCAGCAGTCAAGGGTCACAGTCTGAGCTTTCCAACTTTTGGAACGAAACAAGTCTCTGAATCTCAGCCTTTGTTTTCATTTAAAAACAGCAAGGCAATTTCTTTATATACTGAGATAACCTCTCATTCTTTCTGAACCATAATTAGTGCAGTGGCATCTTATTCATTATACAGAAGCAGAGAGAGAGGCAGATGAAGACTCTCAAACCAGAATCCAAATGCACAATGCCACAAACACTTTTGTTTGGCTCCCCAAAAGTCACGTTGACCTTTCCCATCACTGTGCCTCCACCTGCCTTCATAACATCAGAAGCATATTTGACTTTTCTCCAGGTAGCTTTGTCCAAGACAGCACACAACCTATAACTAATTCAACTTGTTTTATTTGTTTTTGTTTTGTTTTGTTTTTTTGACGGAGTTTCGCTCTTGGGGCCCAGGCTGGAATGCAATGGCATTATCTCGGCTCACTGCAACCTCCACCTCTCAGGTTCAAGGGATTCTCCTGCCTCAGCCTCCATAGTAGCTGGGATTACAGGCGCAGGCCACCACACCCGGCTAATTTTTTTGTACTTCTATTAGAGACGGGATTTCTCCATGTTGGTCAGGCTAGTCTCAAACTCCTCACCTCAGATGATTGCCCAACTCAGTCTCCCAAAATGCTGGGATTACAGGCGTGAGCCACCGCGCCCTTCCAGTCAGTCCAACTTTTAAGAGGCAAGACCACTGGGCGCAGTGTCTCACACCTGTAATCCCAGCACTTTGAGAGGCTCAGGCGGGCGGATCACCGGGTCAGGAGTTCGAGACCAGTCTGGCCAACATGGTGAAACCCCGTCTCTACTAGAAACACAAAAATTAGTCGGGCGTGGTGGTGCATGCCTGTAATCGCAACTACTCAGGAGGCTGAAGCAGGAGAATCACTTGAACCCGGGAGGCAGAGGTTGCAGTAAGCTGAGATCGCGCCACTGCACTCCAGCCTGGGCAACAGAGTGAGACTCTGTCTCCAAAAAAAAAAAAAAAAAAAAGAGGCAAGACCAAGATATTGATTGGCATCTGCTTAATTTCAAATCTTTAGGTATTGTGTAAGCCCTAGAATTCCCTTCACCATTTGTGAAGGTGGGTTCCTGACTTTGGGGCTAATATCCCAGGGCGAAAACAAGTATAAGAATCAATTTACTGCTGAAAAGGAAGGTTGCACTGGATTCACCCAGATCAACACCAAGATTAGTATTGAGATCTTGGCCAAGCGCTGTGGCTCAAGCCTGTAATCCCAGCACTTTGGGAGGCCGAGGCAGGCAGATCACCTGAGGTCAGAAGTTCGAGACCAGCCTGGCCATCATAGTGAAACCCCGTCTCTAACAAAAATACAAAAAATTAGCCGGGGGTGGTGGCACGCGCCTGCAGTCCCAGCTACTCGGGAGGCTGAGGCAGGAGAATGGCGTGAACCCGGGAGGCGGAGGCTGCAGTGAGCCGAGATCCAGCCACTGCACTCCAGCCTGGGCGACAGAGCGAGACTCCGTCTCAAAAAAAAAAAAAAAAAAAAAATACAAAAATTAGCCGGGGCTTGGTGGCACAAGCCTGTAATCCCAGCTACTCCTAAGGCTGAGGCAGAAGAATTGCTTGAATTCGGGAGACAGGGGTTGCAGTAAGCCGAGACCGCGCCACTGCACTCCAGCCTGGCCGACAGAGCGAGACTCTAGCTCAAAAAACAGAGATTTAACCCACTAAGCCGCGGTCTGAAAGCTTTTCCAAGTCCCAAAGTTCTTAGTTCACAATACCACAAGCAAAAGAAATTTTGTAAGCATGGATCTTAGCAAACTTTTAACTGTTTTTTAAAAAGTCCTTAACACCTTTAACGACAAAAAACAAAAACCAAAAACTAAGGCATGCTGCAACTTGGTGCCCCCAAATGGCCTTCTCGTCCAATCCTTCTTTCCCAAGTGGCCCCCAAGTACAAAACCCAACCAATTCGGGGTAAAGGCTGCTGGGATTCAGGCCGCCACCGGGCCCCTTCAGGGGATCTGCCCAGCGTAGAGGGCCACATCCCTAAACCCCACTTCAGGTGCCCCCTGTCCCTCCCCAGCACTGGAGAAAGCACCAGCAGAGAGAGTGCTTCAGCGGGGACATTTGGGCTCATCGCTAACTCCATTCCACGTACAGGAAAATAAAGACGGGGAAAGGGTACCCGAAGCTCCGCAGCTAGTCAAGGCTCAGGACCCGGAACAGCCAAATACATAGAGGCTGTCTTCTACAGCCACGAGTCTGGATACAGGTCCATTCCAGAAGCTTCCCGAACCCACCCCGTCCGGCAGGAGGCTAGTCTCGGAGACCCCCACCACCAGCCCGCCCAGACGCCGCGCCACGTGCTCGAGTTGCCGGGGGAAGACTCGACTCGAGTCCACGCTTGCCTTGGGGTTCAACCAGGTTCCCGCACCTACGTGGGGGGCCCACGAGAGGGGTGTGCGCAGCGCTCAAGCAGTCTCGGACTCCGGGCCTCCCCCGGCTGCCTCACGCATCACAGCACCCCCACCCGAGCGCGGGCGGGCCCCGGACAGGAGGAGGAAGAGGCAACAGGCAAGAAGGGCGCGCCGCGCCTCACTCCGCAGGGGCCGCACTGCCCACACTCACCAGTCCCAACACAAGTCGCAGAAACTAACCACCGACACCAGGCAAGAACAAGACGCGCAAGAGCTCTCCGGGGCGCTGCCTTTATAGCCAGTAGGGATCTCGCGAGAGTCGGAACGGACGGGGGTGCCGGAGGAGGAGAGAGAGGAGGGGGATGTGGCCCGAGCCCCGCCCGGCGCGCCCCGCCGGAATGACTCGGCGCTTTCCCTCGTTGGGGCGGGTGCGGAAAAATACTAATACCCCACCCTGTTGCGGATGGCTGAGGTTGGAGTGAGGCGCCCTTGTGGCCGCTCCCGAACCCGAACGCTTAGGTTAATCCTAGATCTCTGCGGAAAACCAGGATTCTCTTTACTTCCAGGACCACTACGCACTGTGCCCTCAATGCCCAAACTGGAGTAAGCGTCTTAGCTGCTGCCCACGGAGGACCACGTCTAACCACACCAAGCCATGAGAACTGTCTATCCAAATATTTCTTAAGTTCGCAGCCTTAACCCCAGCGCAGATCCTCAGTAACCCTCATGGCTTAGATAGCTTCCTTCATTGTTCTCTTTAATTACAGGGTTGCTGCTTTCTGTTGTAAAGGAAAATAAAATATCAGGACTCCTAAACTTACGCCAGAGGGAAAGTTCATCTTGGGAGGCTGATTCAGTTACACGACCATCCTCTCCCCGGATGAATAATTTGACTTTACAATCTTGAGTCAAAACATTACACATTAGCCAGACCCACACGGTAAGGCAAAAGGCCTCAGACATTTCCTGATGACTACCCCCCACAAACACACATACACAAAATCATAATTAATTATTTGCTCCCCTGGAAACCTTTAAAGTATGTAGCCTCCCATAAAACAAGGACGTGTCAATTGCAACTAGATCTACAATATAAAGTCTAGTTCCTAAAACTAAAGTTTGTTCTATTCCACATTTTTTTGAGACGGAGTCTCACTCACCCTGTCGCCCAGGCTGTAGTGCAGTGGCACGGTGTTGGCTTACTGCAACCTCCACCTCCCGGGCTCAAGCGATTCTCCCGCCTCACCTCCGGAGTGTCTGGGACTACAAGCACGCACCACCACGCCCAGCTAATTTTTTGTATTTTTAGTAGAGACGAGGTTTCATCATGTTGGCTAGGCTGGTCTCCAACGCCTGACCTCAGGTGATCCGCCCGCCTTGGCCTCCCAAAGTGCTAGGAATGTAAGCGCGAGCCACCGCACCTGGCCTCTATTCCACAAATTCCATAAATGTTCACTACTAGATTACCTTTCTACTAGACTACTTTCTACCTTTCTAGTAGTACCTTACTACTAGATTACCCTGAGTCCACCACATAATTGTTTTCTTCCTCCATTCCCTTTTTCTTCAAACATTCACCTTATCTTATGTAAAAATGTAGATTTAGGCCACCTAGGAGGGCGGATCATAAGGTCAGGAGATCGAGACCATCCTGGCCAACATGGTGAAACCCTGTCTCTGCTAAAATACAAAAACTTAGCCGAGTGTGGTGGCGCGCCTGTAGTCCTAGCTACTTGGGAGGCTGAGGCAGGGGAATCGCTTGAACCCGGAGGCAGAGGTTGCAGTGAGCCGAGAGCACCACTGCACTCCAGCCTGGCAACAGAGCAAGACTCCGTCTCAAAAAACAAAACGTAGATTTCCTGAGCATTAGCTAAAGTCTTTGCCTCAATCTTTCCCACCCCCACTTTTCAAGGAAAATGTATAAATACTAAAAACCTCCTGAGAACCTCTTGGGAAGAAACAGCCACAAAAGTGTCTGTGACATGGTTTAGTCAGTTTAGTCACTCATTTCAATTAACACTATCTCTTATCCATCCCTTCCACTGCAGCTGAAGGAAATCTTTCTGAAGTCTGATCATGTCACTGTTATTCGTGGTTTAAAAGCTGGGGAAGAAACAGCCACAAAAGTGTCTGTGACATGGTTTAGTCAGTTTAGTCACTCATTTCAATTAACACTATCTCTTATCCATCCCTTCCACTGCAGCTGAAGGAAATCTTTCTGAAGTCTGATCATGTCACTGTTATTCGTGGTTTAAAAGCTGGGGCTAAAGAAAGAAAGAAAGTAAAATTTAAAAAGAAAAGAAAAATAAAAAATAAAATAAAAGCTGAGGCTCTGTAGTCAATTTACTGAGTTAAAACTCCTCACTGTCAGGGCCGGGCGCGGTGGTTCATGTCTGTAATCCCAGCACTTTGGGAGGCTGAGGAGGGCAGATCACCTGAGGTCAGGAGTTCGAGACCAGCCTAACGTGGAGAAACCCCATCTCTACTAAAAATACAAAATTAGCCACGTGTGGTGGCGCATGTCTGTAATCCCAGCTACTCTGGAGGCTGAGGCAGGTGAATCGCTTGAATCAGGGAGGCAGAGGTTGCAGTGAGCTGAGATAGCGCCATTGCACTCCAGCCTGGGCAACAAGAGCGAAACTCTGTCTCAAAAAAAAACACACACACACAAACACAAAAACTCCTCACTGTAATTTTAGGTGTGAACTTGGGCAAGTCTTAAACTCATTAAACCTTACTTTTCTCAACTGTAAAATGGGAATAATATTAATACTTTATTGTGATTATCTATGTAGTTCAGTACAGTACTTAGTTCTTATTATAAATTAGAAATGTTAGCTGCTATTAGTATAACTCTTCCATCCTTCACACTTATAACACCCAGAACACAGTGTAGTTGTTTCAAGCCTTCAGACTTTTTTTTTTAAGATGGAATTTCGCTTTTCTTGCCCAGGCAGGAGTGCAATGGCACGACTTCTGCTCACTGCACCCTCCACCTCCAGCGTTCAAGCAATTCTCCTGCCTCAGCCTCCCAAGTAGCTGGGATTACAGGCGCCCACCACCACGCCCGGCTAATTTTTTGTATTTTTAGTAGAGACGGGGTTTCAGTATGTCAGCCAGGCTGGTCTCAAACTCCTGACCTCAGTTGATCTACCTGCCTCAGCCTCCCAAAGTGCTGGGATTACAGGAGTGAGCCACTGAGCCCGGCCGCCTTCAGACTTTTGTTTGAACCTGGAAAACTCTTTCCCTGGAGAAAACATGTCTTTCAGCATTACTTTCTCTCCGGCTGTTTCTTACCTTTACTCATTCCCAGGATTTACAATTCCCCTCCTTTGTGTCCAAACAATAGCTTGTATAGCCAAAAAAATCTTTTAAGCAATTTTAGTTTTACATTTCTTCCTCTGCCTGCTAGAGTGACTTTCTGGAGAGTAGGATGTGGGTGACATCTGTCTCTGTGTCCCCAAAGTCACAACAAAGCATCTGATATAAAATAGGAGCTCAGTCAGTGAGCATTCAATCAATAGTATCATGTTTCTGTCTCTGTCCCCAGCTCCCTCACTAACTCCCTTGGCCCTTATAGTGGGATAATGAATGAGGAAGTGCTGTCTCATGCTCATTGAGCATCTCAATTTTTGTTATTTATCATACTACTTTGCATAGACGTGATTTATTTGCTTTTTCCTTCTTTGCCTGAGGCTGAATAGTTAGTTGGCATTATTCCTTTTTTTAATTTTTATGTAACTTTTATTCTTTTTTATCAGGCAGCCACCCGAGCCAGCAGCCAGCGTAGGCTCAGAGAGACTCCCCTTTCTTTCTTGCAGGAGCAAGGGCAGCATGAAAGTTCAGAGCTTAATAATGGATGGTTATTGGCTATGGGCAGGCTAAACCAATACACAGTACATACAGTCATACTTCAGCCCAAAGAAAATTGCCACCTATTGTATTCACCATATGCCAGGCATTGGGCTGGGCACTTGAGTTTATTTTTCTAATTCAAGAACAAGGCCAGGCACGGTGGCTCATGCCTGTAATCCCAGCACTTTGGGAGGCTAAGGCGGGCAGATCACAAGGTCAGGAGTTTGAGACCAGCCTGGCCAACATGGAGAAATCCCATCTCTACTAAAAATACAAAAATTAGCTGGGTTTCGTGGTGTGCACCTGTAGTCCCAGCTACTCAGGGGGCTGAGGCAGGAGAATCTCTTGAACCCAGGAGGCGGAGGTTGCAGTGAGCCGAGATCGCGCCACTGCACTCCAGCCTGAGTGACAGAGTGAGACTCCGTCTAAAAAAAAAGAACAAAAGCCGGGCATGGTGGCTCAAGCCTGTAATCCCAGCACTTTGGGAGGCCAAGGTGGGCAGATCATGAGGTCAGTAGTTCCAGACCAGCCTGACCAACATGGTGAAAACCTGTTTCTACTAAAAATACAAAAATTAGCTGGGCGTGGTGGCAGGCACTTGCAATCCCAGCTACTCAGGAGGCTGCAGCAGGAGAATCACTTGAACCCGGGAGGCAGAGGTTTTAGTGAGCTGAGATCCCGCCACTGCACTCCAACCTGGGCAACAGAGCAAGACTCTGTCTCAAAAAAAAAAAAAAAGAAAAAAGAAAAAAAGAAAAGAAAAAAGAACTAAAAGAGAGTGGAGCACATTTGGCATGTGACTATAGTCCCAGCTACTTGGTAGGCTGAGGTGAGAGGATCACTTGAGCCCTGGAGTTTGAGCCCAGCCTAGGCAGTGCTGCAAGAACCAGTCTCTAAACAAACAAAGAAAAAAAAACAGGAAAAAAAAAGAGTTATCCTAGCCTAGAGAAATGTTAACAGTCTATCCCCTTAAGATCATAAAAGTGAAATAACTGGACAGAGTACTGAAAAAAGAAGAAATCTGTTGAACAAGTCTAAGTGATTTGTAGAGTCTCTCCAAAGGACAGTAAAGATTTCAGAACCATGGGGAGGAGGCTTTCTTGCAGGGTCTGATGTATACCTCTAGTTCTATTTTTAGATATATTCCATTGTGCTCTCTTCATTTGCTCACCATTAGCATGGGAATTATTCCCCTTGTTTTATTTATATTTGTAGTAACAAGTCTAGCACAGTAACTGGCATAGAAGTACTTAATAAATGTTACAATGTGTTGAAGACTTTTGAGATGTAGAATTAAATTATTTGAACTACGTTTCAGGAAGTTGACTCTGGAAGCTGTGTGATGAATGAATTTAGTGACTAGGAGATTAGGCAAAGAGAGCAATTGGGAGGCCACGGCAATGATCCAGACAAGAGAAGTCTCAGAACTGTAATATGACATTAGCAGCAGGGTAGAAAGAAGGAAATACAAGGTATATTTCTTCAGGCTTTAGGATTAATTGGATTTAGGATGAAAGGAAAGAGTAAATTAAATCCAGTTTCTTGGTGACATGAGTGATGTCATTAACCTGTGACATAGGAAACACTGGAAGAAAAGCAGGTTTGAGGTTTAAAATAATGTTAAACAGGCCGGGAGCGGTGGCTCACGCCTGTAATCCCAACATTTTGGGAGGCCAAGGCAGGAGGATCATCTGAGGTCAGGAGTTCGATATCAGCCTGGCCAACATGGTGAAACCCCGTCTCCACTAAAAACACAAAAATCAGCTGGGCATGGTGGTGGGCACCTGTAGTCCCAGCTACTTGGGAGGCTGAGGCAGGACAAGTGATTGAACCCGGGAGGCGGAGGTTGCAGTGAGCCAAGATGGCACCACTGCACTCCAGCCTGGATGACAAGAGCGAGACTCCATCTCAAAAAAAAAAAAAAAAATGCCGGGTGTGGTGGCTCATGCCTGTAATCTCAGCACTTTGGGAGGCCGAGGCAGGTAGATTGTCTGAGCTCAGGAGTTCAAGACCAGCCTGGGCAACATGGTGAAACCCCGTCTCTGCTAAAATACAAAAAAAAAAAAAAAAATTAACCGGGTGTGGCAGTGTGCCCCTGTAATCCCAGCTACTTGGGAGGCTGAGGCAGGAGAATTGCTTGAACCCAGGAGCAGAGGTTGCAATGAGCCAAGATCGCACCACTACACTCCAGCCTGGGCAACAGAACAAGACTCCGTCTCAAAAAAAAAAAAAAGCAGTAGTTACATCACTGCACTAATTTGCTGTGGGAGACAGTTACCTGACTCATCAACAGCCATTGTCTCTTCTTCACAGCCAACTAAATGTAAAAGGTAAGGCAATTCAATGTAAGTATAAAGCCCATGTCCCAGGACAGCAATCATTTTAACAGTAGGACTTGCTAACCTGATAGCAGCCTGCTATAAACTTATAAACCATTAAAATTAAACCTATAAACCATGAAACTAAATGCTCTCAGATAATTGTAACAACAAATGCAAAATAAAATAATGGACGCCGGGCATGGTGGTGCATGCCTGTAAAGCCAGCACTTTGGGAGACCGAGGTGGGCAGATCACTTGAGCCCAGGAATTTGAGATCAACCTGGACAACATGGCGAAACTCCATCTGTGGGGGAAAAGCAAGAGAGATCAGATTGTTACTGTGTCTGTGTAGAAAGAAGTAGACATAGGAGACTCCATTTTGTTCTGTACTAAGAAAAATTCTTCTGCCTTGAGATTCTGTTAATCTATGACCTTACCCCTAACCCCGTGCTCTCTGGAACATGTGCTGTGTCAAACTCAGGGTTAAATGGATTAAGGGCTGTGCAAGATGTGCTTTGTTAAACAGATGCTTGAAGGCAGCATGCTCCTTAAGAGTCATCACCACTCCCTAATCTCAAGTACCCAGGGACACAAACACTGCGGAAGGCTGCAGGGACCTCTGCCTAGGAAAGCCAGGTATTGTCCAAGGTTTCTCCCCATGTGATAGTCTGAAATATGGCCTCGTGGGAAGGGAAAGACCTGACCGTCCCCCAGCCCGACACCCGTAAAGGGTCTGTGCTGAGGAGGATTAGTATAAGAGGAAGGCATGCCTCTTGCAGTTGAGACAAGAGGAAGGCATCTGTCTCCTGCCCGTCCCTGGGCGATGGAATGTCTCGGTATAAAACCCGATTGTACGTTCCATCTACTGAGATAGGGAAAAACCTCCTTAAGGCTGGAGGTGGGACATGCGGGCAGCAATGCTGCTTTGTAAAGCATTGAGATGTTTATGTGTATGCATATCTAAAAGCACAGCACTTGATTCTTTACCTTGTCTATGATGCAAAGACCTTTGTTCACGTGTTTGTCTGCTGACCCTCTCCCCACAATTGTCTTGTGACCCTGACACATCCCCCTCTCCGAGAAACACCCACAAATGATCAATAAATACTAAGGGAACTCAGAGGCTGGCGGGATCCTCCATATGCTGAACGCTGGTCCCCTGGGTCCCCTTATTTCTTTCTCTATACTTTGTCTCTGTGTCTTTTTCTTTTCCAAGTCTCTCGTTCCACCTAACAAGAAACACCCACAGGTGTGGAGGGGCAACCCACCCCTTCACCATCTCCACAAAAAATAAAAAATTAGCCCAGTGTGGTGGTGTGTGCCTGTGGTCCTAACTAGTCCAGAGGCTGAGGTGGGAGGATTGCTTGAGTCCCAGAGCTCGAGGCTGCAGTGAGCCGAGATGGCACCACTGTACTCCAGCCTGGGTGACAGAGTGAGCAGAGTGAGACCCTGTCTCAAAAAATAATAAAATAAAATAATGGGAACCCAAATCACAAGACAGCACTCATTTTTCTTTTATTTATTTTATTTTTTTTGAGACAGAGTCTTGCTCTGCTGCCCAGACTGGAGTGCAGCAGCATGGTTTCGGCTCACTGCAACCTCCACCTCCTGGGTTCAAGTGATTCTTGTGCCTCAGCCTCCCAAGTAGCTGGAATTACAGGTATGTGCCACCATGCCTGACTGATTTTTGTATTTTTAATAGAGACAGGGTTACGCCATGTTGTCCAGTCTGGTTTCGAACTCCTGGTCTCAAGGGATTCACCCATCTCGGCCTCTCAAAGTACTGGGATTACAGGCTGAGTCACCACTACCGGGCTTATTTTTCATACAGATGATTTAGAATATGTTTATGTTAAATTTTTTTAGATTATCACTAAAAGAAAACAGTTGAATTCTTCAATTTACAAGGATTCAATTTTTAAAATTATATTTGAATGTACAGAGGCCTACAAATACCAATTTCAGAAACACTGTTATCAAGGATATCTATTTGTTAAAATTGAATGCAACTGAAAGTAACAGATTAACTGCAAATAACAAGCTTAACCAAATAGGGGATTAATTTTTCCCATTTAACAAGGAGACAGGGCCGGGCACAGTGGCTCACGCCTGTAATCCCAGCACTTTGGGAGGTCGAGGCGGGTGGATCACTTGAGGTTGGGAGCTCAAGACCAGCCTGACCAACATGGAGAAACCCCGTGTCTACGAAAAATACAAAATTAGCCGGACGTGATGGTACATGCCTGTAATCTCAACTACTCGGGAGGCTGAGGCAGGAGAATGGCTTGAACCTGGGAGGTGGAGGTTGCAGTGAGCCAAGATCGCGCCATTTGCATTCCAGCCTGGGCAACAAGACGAGCTCCGTCTCAAAAAAAAAAAAAAAAAAAAAAAAGCAAGTAGACAGGGCCAGGTGGAGTGGCTCATGGTTGTAATCCCAGCATTTTGGGAGGCCGAGATGAGAGGATCATTTGAGCTCAGGAGTTGGAGACCAGCCTGGGCGACATAGGGGTACCCATCTCTACAAAAAATTAAACAAACAAACAAAAAATAGCCAAACATGATGACGCATGCCTGTAGTCCCAGCTACCCAGGAGGCTGAGATGAGAGAATTGATTGAATCTAGGGGGTTTAGGCCACAGTGAGCCATGAATGCACCACTGCACTCCAGCCTGAGCAACAGAGCAAGACCCTGCCTCAACAAAAAAAAAGCAAAACAAAATGATAAAAAGCAAGTAAGGCAGGGCACAGTGGCTCACGCCTGTAATCCTAGCACTTTGGGAGGCCGAGGCAGGCAGATTACTTGAGGTCAGGAGTTCTAAACCAGCGTGGCCAACATGGTGAAACTTCGTCTCTACTAAAAATACAAAAAAAATAGCCAGGCGTGGTGGTGGACACCTGTAATCCCAGCTACTCTGGAGGCTGAGGCAGGATAATCGCTTAAACCCGGGAGGCGATCATGCCACTGCACTCCAGACTGGGCTACAGAGCAAGGCTCTGTCTCAAAAAAAAAAAAAAAAAAAAGAAGTAGACAGCTGTTACAGTATGTTAAGCTCCATAGAGACAGCACCAGGGCAAGTGAGAGCCTGACAGGCACAGGGTGACTCTGTGCCTCACTGAGGAAAAATAACTAGACATGAGCAAAGGAGATCCTCAGAAACCTAGAGGCAAAATGTCATCATATGCATTTTTCGTGCAAAACTTGTCGGGAGGAACATAAGCACCCAGAGGCTTCAGTCAGCTTCTCAGAGTTTTTTTTTTTTTTTTTTTAGATGGAGTCTTGCTCCCATCGCGCAGGCTGAAGTGCAGTGGCGCGATCTTGGCTCACTGCAACCTCTGCCTCCCGGGTTCAAGTGATTCTCCTGCCTCAGCCTCCTGAGTAGCTGGGATTACAGGTGTGCGCCACCATGCCTGGCTAATTTTTGTATTTTTAGTAGAGACAGGGTTTTTGCCATGTTGGCCAGGCTGGTCTCGAACTCCTGACCTCAGGTGATCCACCCGACTCAGCCTCCCAAAGTGCTAGGATTATAGGCGTGAGCCACCACGCCCAGCCAGCATTTTCTAAGAGTGCTCAGAGAGGTAGAAAACTGTATCTGCTAAAGAGAAAGGAAAATTTGAAGACATGGCAAAGGTGGACAAGGCCCGTTATAAAAAAGAAATGAAAACCTATGTCCCCCGTAAAGGGGAGATAAAAAGAAGTTCAAAGATCCCAGTGCATCCAAAAGGCCTCCTGTAGCCTTTTTGTCTTTCTGTTCTGAGTATTGCCCAAAAATCAAAGAACACCCAGGCCTATTCATTGGTGATGTTGCAAAGAAATTGGGAGAGATGTGGAATAACACTGCTGCAGTCGGGCATGGTGTCTCACGCCTGTAATCCCAGTACTTTGGGAGGCCGAGGTGGGCAGATCACGAGGTCAGGAGTTCGAGACCATCCTGGCCAACATGGTGAAGCCCTGTCTGTACTAAAAATACAAAAATTGGCCACTCGTGGTGGTGCACGCCTGTAATCCCAACTACTCGGGAGGCTGAGGCAGGAGAATCGCTTGAACCCGAGAGGCGGAGGTTGCAGTGAGCAGAGATCGCACCATTGCACTCCAGCCTGGGCAATAGAGTGAGACTCTGTCTCAAAAAACAATGACCAAAAAAACACTGCTGTGGATGGCAAGTAGCCTTATGAAAAGAAGGCTGAGAAGCTAAAGGAAAAATAGGAAATGGAAATTGTTGCATATCAAGCTAAAGGAAAGCCTGATATAGCAAAAAAGGGAGTCGTCAAGGCTGAAAAAACGAAAGAGAAAGAAGGAAGAGGAGAAAGATGAGGAAGATGAGGAGGAGGAAGATGAAGATGATTAATAAGTTGGTTCTATCACATTTTTTTTTCTGTCTAAAAAGCATTTAACCCTTCTGTATACAAATTACTCCCTTTAAAGAAAAAATTGATGCCGGGCGCGGTGGCTCATGCCTGTCTGTAATCCCAACACTTTGGGAGGCCAAAGTGGGCAGATCACCTGAGGTCAGGAGTTCAAGACCAGCCTGGCCAAAATGGCGAAACCCCATCTCTACAAAAATACAAAAATTAGCTGGGCATGGTGGTGTGTGCCTGCAATCCCAGGTACTCGGGAGGCTGAGTCATGAGAATCACTTGAATCCGGGAGGCAGAGATTGCAGTGAGCTGAGATCGCGCCATTGCACTCCAGCGTAGGCGACAGAGCGAGACTTCATCTCAAAAAAAAAAAAAAAAAGAAAAAAATTGAAAAGTAAGGCTGTGTAGGATTTGTTTTTAAACTATACAGTGTCTTTTTTGTATAGTTAACACACTACTAAATGTGTCTTTACACATTATCTTTTAGTTTTTCTAGAGACGGAGTCTTGCTCTGTTGCCCAGGCTGGAGTGCAGTGGCACCATCATAGCTCACTGCAGCCTGGAATTCTTGGGCTCAAGCAATCCTCTTACCTCAGGCTCCTGAGTAGCTGGGACTATAGATGGGTGCCACCACGCCTGGCTAATTTGAAAAAAAAATTTTTTTTTTTTGAGATGGAGTTTTGCTCTTGTTGCCCGGGCTGGAGTCCAGTGTCACCATCTCTGCTCACTGCAACCTCCGCCTCCAGAGTTCAAGCAATCCTCCTGTCTCAACCTTCTGAGAAATTGGGATTACAGGAGCTCGCCACCACACCAGGCTAATTTTTTGTATCTTTAGTAGAGATGGGGTTTCACCATATTGGCCAGGCTGGTCTCGAACTCCTGACCTCAGGTGGTCCGCCTGCCTTGGTCTCCCAAAGTGCTGGGCACCACGCCCGACCTAAAACATTTTTTTTTGTTGGCCAGGAGCGGTGGCTCACACCTGTAATCCCAGCACTTTGGGAGGCTGAGGTGGGTGGATCGTGAGGTCAGGAGATGGAGACCATCCTGGCTAACACAGTGAAACCCCGTCTCTACTAAAAATACAAAAAATTAGCTTGGCGTGATGGCAGGCGCCTGTAGTCCCAGCTACTCGGGAGGCTGAGGCAGGAGAATGGCGTGAACCCGGGAGGCGGATCTTGCAGTGAGCTGAGATTGCGCCACTGCACTCCAGCCTGGGTGACAGAGTGAGACTCTGTCTCAAAAAAAAAAAAAAAATTTTTTTTTGTTGTTTAGACAGAGACTCTTTATGTTGCCCAGACTTGTCTTCAATTCCTGGGCTCAAGCAGTCCTCCTCCTTTGGCCTCCCAAAGTGCTGTGACTATAGTTTTTTGATTAGAAAAAAAAAAAATACAAGTTAAAAACTGGTATGATCACTCCACACTGTATCAGGAACTCAGCTCACTGCAACCTCCAACTCCCTGGTTCAAGCGATTCTCCGGCCTCAGCCTCCCAAGTAGCTGGGACTACAGGCACGCACTGCCATGAGCAGCTAATTTTTGTATATTTAGTATAGATGGGGTTTCACCATGTTGGTCAGGATGGTCTCGATCTCCTGACCTCATGATCTGCCCGCCTCGGCCTCCCAAAGTTCTGGGATTACAGCCGTGAGTCTGGCCTACTTTTATTCTTATGATAACCCTATGGTCACAAAATGTCTGCTCTACTTCCAGCCTGGACAACATAGTAAGACCCAGTCTCCAAAAAAAAAATTTTTTAATTCATTTAAAAAATAAAAAATAAATGTATTTAAGTTGCTCTTTACCTGTCTTTTTTTTTAAGAGATGAGGTCTCACTATATTGCCCAGGCTGGTCTTGAAATCCTGGGCTCAAGAGATTCTCCCACCTTGGCCTCCCAAAGTGCTGGGATTACAGGTGTGAACTGCTACTCCCAGCCTACCTAATCTTTATTTGAACTTTTCTTTTCTTTTCTTTTTGAGATGGCATCTTGCTCTGTTGACCAGGCCAGAGTGCAGTGGCGCAATCTCAGCTCACTGCAACTTCTGCCTGCCAGGTTCAAGCAATTCTCCTGCCTCGGCCTCCCGAGTAGCTGGGATCACAGGCATGCACCACCACGCCTGGCTAATTTTTGTATTTTTAGTTGAGACAGGGTTTCGCCATGTTGGCCAGGCTGGTCTCTAATTCCTGACCTCAGGTGGGGACCTCTTGGCCTCCCAAAGTGCTAGGATTACATGCATGAGCCACCACGCCTGGCCTTTTTTTTGAGACGGAGTCTTGCTCTGTCACCCAGGCTGGAGTGCAGTGGCTCAATCTTGGTTCACTGTAAACCTCTGCCTCCCAGGTTCAAGCAATTCTCCAACCTCAGCCTCCCGAGTAGCTGGAATGATAGGTGCCTGCCGCCACTCCTGGCTAATGTATTTTTAGTAGAGACAGGGTTTCACCATACTGGTCAGGCTTGTCTCGAACTCCTGAGCTCAGGTGATTCACCCGCCTCGACCTCCCAAAGTGCTGGGATTATAAGCCACCGCACCCGGCTTTTTTTTTTTTTTTTGAGAGATGAAGTGGGCTGTGAGTGCTGGCTCATGCCTATAGTTGCAGCATTTTCGGGGTGCTAAGGCAGTAGAATCACTTGAGCCTAGGAATTCAAGACCAGCCTGGGCAACATGGTAAGACCCCATCTCTACAAAAATTAAAAATTAGCTATGTGTGGTGGTAGGTACCTGTAGTCCCAGGAACTTGGGAGGCTGAGGTGGGAGGATTGCTTGAGCCTTGGAGGGTGAGGCTTTAGTGAGCTGTGATCATGCCACTGCAGTCCAGCCTGGGCAACAGAGTGAGACCCTGTCTCCAAAAACAACCAAAAAAAGGAGAGATGGGGTCTTGCTCTGTCATCCTGGCTGGAGTGCAGTGGCTGATGATGGGTCACTGCCGCCTTAAACTCCCCAGCCCAAGTGAATTCTCCCGCCTAAGCCTCCTGAATAGCTGAGATTACAGGAGTATGCCACCATGCCAGGCTTGAACTTGTTTCTGGGTTTACATTGACTTCCACTCATTATTTTATTTTTTATTTTTACAAATCTGACATTTCAATTTTTTTTTTTTTTTTGAGGCAGAATTTTGCTCTGTTGCCAGGCTGAAGTGCAGTGGCACAATCTTGGTTCACTGCCACCTCCGCCTCTGGGGTTCAAGCGATTCTCCTGCCTCAGCCTCCCGAGTAGCTGGGACTACAGGCATGTGTCACCATGCCCAGCTAATTTTTGTATTT
Source organism: Homo sapiens (assembly GCF_000001405.40). Taxonomy (NCBI): domain Eukaryota; kingdom Metazoa; phylum Chordata; class Mammalia; order Primates; family Hominidae; genus Homo; species Homo sapiens. Next base: position 45,535,409 of record NC_000001.11, read on the forward strand.
TTAGTGGAGACAGGGTTTCACCATGTTGGCCAAGATGGTCTCGATCTCTTGACTTCGTGATCTGCCCACCTCGGCCTCCCAAAGTGCTAGGATTACAGGCGTGAGCCACTGCACCCAGCCTCAATTCTTATATTTTCTATCAGATATCAACCTTAAATTCAAGTATGATTTGATAATTGTTCTTCTATTGCTGTCCTGGTTAATACTATGCTGCTTTTCATTATTAAATAAGGCACCCATTTAGGATATTGAACGCTATGGATTTTAGCTTCAAGTTTTCATTTTCCCAGAAGATGAAACTAGAGACATAAAATATTGATTTTTCTTCTTTTCTTCCCTCTTCTTTCCCCTCCAATTTTAGGGGATCAAGAATGAATGTAGAGATATAGTCCAGACCAGAGCAGTAAAGGGAACATGTCCAAATTGGATCAATCATGAAGCCAACTTGGAATACTAAAGTTGGTTTTTATCTCTAGCTACCTGATGCTTCAGCAACTGATTAATTCTCAGATTCTTTTTTTTAGAACCAAGTCTCTGTAAGTAGAAGCACTTTTCGGTTATTTCTTAATCTCAACACTATTGGCATTTTAGGTTTGATAATTCTTTGTTATGGAGGGACCGTCCTATGTGTAATAGGATGTTTAGCAGTATCCTGGCCTCTTCCCTCTAGATGCCAGTAGCACCCCCCACACACGGTGCCAACTGTCTCCCCAGGTTGAGAACCGCTGAGTTAGAGAAGGTCAAAAAAATGACTAGAGGACTCCTAGTTTATCTAACCTTCTGACCTATTTGTCCTGTTTGTCCTGGCTGGCAGGGTCAGCTCTGCCTAGAGGCAGGGGAAAAATCTTTTACTTCTTTCATGTATTCATACGTTACTTCTAGCTATCCATCCTGGCCAAAGCTTCCAGAAATTAGGAAGCTTGCTTGCCAAAAGCACTGCAATTAGGAGAGTGATGATGTCGGGACTAGAAAGACTCACACCCACTGTAATCTGTCTTCATATTGCTCTTGAGTGCCACTCTGCCCAAAATTTATCATGTTGACAAATGACAAAAGGCTCTGAAAAAGCATACACATGAAAAAGGAGAGCTTTACCTCTAGGCAAGAATGCTTCACTCTGATTAATTCCTACCCCCAACCACACCCCTCACCACAAGATAGAATCTTGTCTTTTGTGAGGTCTTAGTCATGTTCCTTTGGCCCACTGCAGGCCATAATTCTGCAACTAGAGACATCTCTAATTCTCTCCTTCCACCTTCCCCTAGAGAAATGTCAGGCCTGACAGATGGACCCTAGTTTGAGATCTCTATGACCAGAGTGGGTTCTGAGGCAGGACCAACCCTTACGGTTGAGCAGTCTGAGCATCTGACAAAAGGGAATAGTGGGTGGTCTGGTAACCTGCCCCTAACCTGCTCATCAGAGATGGTTTGCTGAACCAGGAGAAAGCTTGGCCCTTTCTAATTATAAAATAAAACAATTTCACTCAGTATATGTTTCAAACCAGAAGATTTATCTCCCCTCTTTTCTTCTTTAACTTAAACAGCCCCATTTCCCCAGCTGCTCCTTAACTGACCTGCTTTCCAAACCCCTGCTGATATCTTCCTATAGCATTTAGCTTAGTATCAAGTTCAACCTCCTTCCTTAGCTTGACACACGAGGCTCTCTACCCTCTGACCCCTTGTCACTCCTCCCTCATATACACCTCCTGCCGCTCTAGCCGTAAAGCACTATTTGCAATCCCCGGAGTGTATGTTGCAGATCTCAGTGCTCTCCCCAATTCTCTCCACTTACTCTTTGCCTAAATCCTGCTTGAAAAAATTGGGCTTAAGTGTTACCAGTTCAGTGGTAGCTTTCCTGACAACCTCCTTATTCCCAGTCTGATTTTCAGTGCCCCTTCCTCTGTATTTCCACCATACCCTGTGCATATTTCTATCATATGCTTACATAGTTCCATAATTGTTTATAATTTATGTTTCTTTTCCCCCTTTGGACCATGATCTTTGTGAGTCAAGGTTATGGTGGTTGTAAGTATCTCAGAGCATTGAATAGAAACCGATACAACCATTGCATTGAACTATGCATTCCTTGAGGGCAGGGCCATATCTTCACCTCTGCATACCAACATCTAGCATATCACCAGTAAATAGTTGGTGTTCAGTGAATGAAGAATGAATACATGAATGCTTCAGGCAGAAGGTTGCTCTCATGTGGCTAGCTACACATTTGGTGATCTTTTTTTGTTTGTTGGTTTGCTTGTTTTTTGTTGCTGTTGTTTTTGTTTTTTGAGACAGAGTCTTGCTCTGTCCACCAGGATGGAGTGCAGTGGTGTGATCTCGGCTCACTGCAATCTCCGCCTGCCGGGTTTAAGCTATTCTCCTGCCTCAGCCTCGGAGTAGCTGGGACTACAGGTGTGCGCCACCACACACAGCTAATTATTGTATTTTTAGTAGAGACAGTGTTTCACCATGTTGGCCAGGATGGTCTCAATCTCCTGACCTCGTGATCCACCCACCTTGGCCTCCCAAAGTGCTAGGATTACAGGCATGAGCCACCGCACCCGGCCTTTTTTATTTTATAAAGACAGAGTCTTGCTCTTGTCACCCAGGTTGGAGTGCAATGGTGTGATTTTGGCTCACTGCAACCTCTGCCTCCTGGGTTCAAGTGATTCTCCTGCCTCAGCCTCCCGAGTAGCTGGGACTACAGACACCCACCACCACACCCAGCTAATTTTTGTATTTTTAGTAGAGACAGCATTTTACCATATTGACCAGGCTGGTCTCGAACTCCTGACCTCAGGTGATCCACCTGCCTTGGCCTCCCAAAGTGCTGGGATTACAGGTGTGAGCCACCGCACCTGGCCCTTTTTGTTTTTTTCAGTCTGAATCTTTTTCATTCAGCCTGCTGCCCAGGCTGGAGTGCAGTGGCGTGATCTCAATTCACTGCAACCTCCACCTCCCGGGTTCAAGCAACTCTCCTGCCTTAGCTCCCTGAGTAGCTGGGACTATGGGCGTGCACCACCAAGCCCGGCTAGTTTTTGTATTTTCTGTAGAAACGGGGTTTCGCCATGTTGGTCAGACTGGTCTCGAACTCCTGACCTCAAGTGACCCACCCGCCTCAGCCTCCCAAAGTGCTGGGATTACAGGAATAAGCCACCATGCTCGGCCATATTTGGTGATCTTATTTTTGAGTGTCATGACGATGCAAAGAGGACATGTTGGAGCCAGGAGACTGATGGAATCCTGCCCTCACCCAATTTATTGGTATCTGTCATAAGTGTACAAGTCCCATATTCATGTCAGCAGAGAAAGTGCTGAACAGGGCCGGGCGCGGTGGCTCACGCCTATGATCCCAGCACTTTGGGAGGCCGAGGCGGGCGGATCACAAGGTCAGGAAATCAAGACCATCCTGCTAACATGGTGAAACCCCGTCTCTACTAAAAAATACAAAAAATTAGCCGGGCGTCGTGGCGGGCGCCTGTAGTCCCAGCTACTCGGGAGGCTGAGGCAGGAGAATGGCGTGAACCGGAGAGGCGGAGCTTGCAGTGAGCCCAGATCACGCCACTGCACTCCAGCCTGGGCGACAGAGCGAGACTCCGCCTCAAAAAAAAAAAAGAAAAGAAAAGAAAAGAAAAGAAAAGAAAGTGCTGAACAGATATTTGCTGAATTAATCAGTCTCAATTTCCCCATTTTCAAAGATCTTAGTACCTGCTTCCTTCTACCATATGTTAGCAAGAAGATTAAATATAAAATTAATATACTTATTACTATTTTCTGAGTTTGTTGGAAGCAGAGAGTGTGGTAAGTCAGCCTCCTCTAAAACGGAGCCAAACACAGCCACTTTGGATGGTGGCGTGGAACTGCTGACAGGAGTGAGCTTTACTTATGGAGAACTAATCTAAGCCTGAGAATTGCACTGTAACTTCTATCCTTCTCCTTCCTGGAGGGGGAGGGGGGGAAATACAGGCATTTTTCTTTTTCTTTTTCTTTTGAGATGGAATCTTGCTCTGTTGCCCAGACTGGAGTGTGGTAGTGCAATCTCGGCTCACTGCAACCTCCGCCTCCTGGTTTCAAGCAATTCTCTTGCCTCAGCCTCCTGAGTAGCTGGGATTACAGGCACCTGCCACCACACCCGGCTAATTTTTTTTTTTTTTGAGACGGAGTCTCGCTCTGTCGCCCAGACTGGAGTGCAGTGGCACGATCTCGGCTCACTGCAAGCTCCGCCCCCTGGGTTCATGCCATTCTCCTGCCTCAGCTTCCCAAGTAGCTAGGAATACAGGTGCCCGCCACTATGACCGGCTAATTTTTTGTATATTTAGTAGAGATGGGATTTCACCGTGTTAGCCAGGATGGTCTCGAACTCCTGACCTCATCATCCGCCTGCCTCGGCCTTCCAAAGTGCTGGGATTACAGGCATGAGCCACCACATCTGGCCCCAGAGTAGCTTTTTTTTTTTTGAGACGGAGTTTTGCTCTTGTTGCCCAGACTGGAGTGCGGTGGCATGATCTCGGCTCACCGTAACCTCTGCCTCCCGGGTTCAAGCGATTCTCCTGCCTCAGGCTCCCGAGTAGCTGGGATTACAGGCATGCACCACCATGCCCAGCTAATTTTGTATTTTTAGTAGAGATGGGGTTTCTTCATGTTGGTCAGGCTGGTCTTGAACTCCCCACCTCAGGTGATCCACCTGCCTCAGCCTTCCAAAGTGCTGGGATTACAGTTGTGAGCCACTGTGCCCAGCCCAGAGTAGTAATTTTTGTTTGTTTGTTTTTTGAGATGGAGTCTTGCTTTGTTGCCAGGCTGGAGTGCAGTGGTGTGATCTTGGCTCACTGCAACCTCTACCTCCCAGGTTCAAGTAGCTGGGAATACAGGTGCGTGCCACCACGGCCAGCTAATTTTTTGTATTTTTCAGTAGAGATGGGGTTTTACCGTGTAAGCCAGGATGGTCTGGATCTCCTGACCTTGTGATCCACCCGTCTCGGCCTCCCCAAGTGCTGGGATTACAGGCGTGAGCCACCACACCCAGCCCAGAGTAGCTATTTTTTAAGTGTGTAAGAATTGGGCCCCTACTGCCTTAGGTGGGACAAACCAGTGTGGGGATTTTCACTGGAGATGTTTTTGATCAGTGCTATAAACTGGATTTGCTGCTTCAATCTCAAGGGGGTTTTCAGACAGGGTCTGGCCAGGGAACTCCAGAGTTCTAATTAACTTCTAATTGGCCATTTAAATAATAATATCTCGGTCTGTCCAATGCTCAGAGATCCTGAAGGATTTTATCTAATGAAGAAGGTATTTTGCTTCTTACTAGTGTCCCAGGCTTATGTGGAGCTTAATTAATGTTCATTGAGTGCCATTTGCTTCTGGTGACCCTGAAATCCTGTTGCCTCTCCGAAATAGACTCAAATATCTTGTCTCCAACTGGACAAGAACACAGTCAAGCCAAGTAGCTTGGCTATAATTGGTCTATGACTAACATGGCAGCCTTATATCAAAGGCTTATTGCTAGAATCCCTAGAAAAAGAAATGAGGTAAAAGTACAGCAGGCGCCATGTCTGGCCACAAAGACGGCAAGAAGCCCCTGAAACAGCACAAGGAGCAGGCCGAGGAGATGAATGACTAAGATGACGCTTTTAAGCAGAAACAAAAAGAGAAGCAGGCCAGGCCAGGCATGGTTGCTCATGGTTGTAGTCCCAGCACTTTGGGAGGCTGAGGCTAGAAGATCACTTGAGTCCAGGAGTTCGAGACTAGCCTGGCCAAAATGGCAAAACCCTGTCTCTACCAAAAATTTTAAAAATTAGCCAAGTGTGCTGGTGTACACCTGTAGTCCCAGGACACCTATAGTCAGGAGGCTGAGGTGGGAGTATCACTTGAGCCCAGGAGATCAAGGCTGCAATGAACCATGATCACACCATTGTGAGATCCATGATCTAGCCTGGGTGACAGAGTGAGATCCTGTCTCAAAAAAAAAAAAAAAAAAAAGGGAAGCAAAAAACCAAACCAAAACAAAACAAAAGATAACATAAAAACAAAACAAAAGGAAGCAAAAAGCCAGGCATGGTGGCTCACATCTGTAATCCCAGCACTTTGGAAAGCCAAGGCAAGCAGATCACCTGAGGTCAGCAGTTCGAGACCAGCCAGACCAACATGGAGAAACCCTGTTTATACTAAAAAAAAATATATATATATATATACAAATACAAAAATTAGCCAGGCGTGGTGGTGCATGCCTGTAATCCTAGCTATTCTGGAGGCTGAGGCAGGAGAATCGCTTGAACCCGAGGGGCAGAGGTTGTGGTGAGCCAAGATCGCACTATTGCACTCCAGCCTGGGCAACAAGAGCAAAACTCCGTCTCAAAAAGAAAAAAAAAAAAAAAGGAAGCAAAAGAAACTCAAGAGCTAAAAAATGGAGGTCTCAGGGACGGGCCTGGCTGAGGTGGGAAGATCACTTGAGGCGGGAAGTTCAAGACCAGCCTGGGCAACATAGAGAGACACTGTCTCTACAAAAAAGTGAAAAAATTAGCAACGCATAGTGGTGCGTGCCTATAGCCCTAGTTACTCAGAAGACTGAGGTAAGAGGATCCCTTGAGGCCTGGAGTTTGAGATTACATTGAGCTATGATTATACCACTGCACTCCAGCCTGCACAATAGAGCAAGAATAAACTTTTGGCTGGGCATTGTAGCTCATGCCTGTAATCCCAGCACTTTGGGAGGCTGAGGTGAGTAGATCATGAGGTCAGGAGTTCAAGACCAGCCTGATCAATATGGTGAAACCCCGTCTCTAATAAAAATACAAAAAAAATTAGCTGAGCCTTGTGTCAGGCACCTGTAATCCCAGCTACTCAGGAGGCTGAGGTAGGAGAATTGCTTGAACCTGGGAGGCAGAGTTTGCAGTGAGCCAAGATCGCGCCATTGCACTCTGGGTGTGCAAAGGAGAGTCTCTGGAGCAAGACTCCGGAGCAAGACTCCATGTTAAAAAAAAAAAAAAAAAAAAGAATAAACCTTTAAAGAAAAAAAAGAAAAATCATACAGTGGCTTATCATCTCCCAGCCCAGAATCCTACCAGAGTTGGCCCTTTGGTCTTTGTTCTACTCTAAATTATGTATCACCTGGAATTAAACCAACTGATTTAAAAAAAGAAGAAGAAAAAAAGAAAGGAAATCAGGTTCTTAAAGCCCAGCACTAGTAGAGCTCAGACAAGTTACCTTTTTATCCTAATGAAGTAGGAAGGGCACCACTATGTACCTAGCACCCAGGAATGTTTAACCTTTACTCACGTTCTGCCTGGAGAAGGAAGCCAGGCTGCAATGCAGGGATCTGGCTCCTGAACTCTGTCAAGGCTGAGGCAGGGCTGGATAAGAAATCTCTACCCCCATGTCAGGCTTGTGACCAGCCTCCTCCCTCATCTTGCACAACCTTGATCCAGGGGCAGGAACTGATACACTGGCCTTTGGAAGCCGTAGGACTTTGAACTTCGTTGAACTTCGGAGCTGAAGGGCTGAACAGAGCTGGTGCCAAACCCACTTTTAGTAACCCCATAGTTTTTTTTTCCCCCCACTTAACAACATATCAAAGACATTTTTTCCACAACAATACTTACATATTTACTTTATCCTTGTTGTGTCTGTATTTATCACATGGATGCACAACAATTTATTTTGGATATTCCCTTCCTACAAATATTTACGTAATATGTTTTAATTTTTTTATATTAAAAATATATTTTAAAAATAGAGACAGGGTCTCGCTATGTTGCCCGGGCTGGTCTCAAACTGCTGGCCCCAAGCAATCCTCCAATCTTGGCCTCCCAAAGTGCTGGGATTACAGGCGTGAGCCACCACGCTCAGCTGATTTGGGTAATCTAAACAACACAGTAAACAGCCTTGTCCCTTTTCTATTATTTCCTAAAACTAAGTTCCTTACAATTGCTGAATCAGAAGGGATGGACATTTAACATTTTCATATATATTATCAAATTGCCTTATATATATGTTTTCTTTTTCTTTCTCCTACTTGTATTTTGAAGTATATATATTTAAATTTGTAATACTTTTTTTTTTTTTTTTTTTTTTTTTTTAGAGACAGGGTCTTGCTTTGTCATCCAGGCTGGAGTGCAGTGGCACAATCATAGCTAACTGTAACCTCAAACTCCTGGGCTTCAGTGATCCTCCCACCTCAGCCTCCATTGTAGCTAGGACTACAGGTGCACAACACCTCTATTTTTGTAGAGACAGGGTCTCAGTATGCTGCCCTGGCCTCATGTGATCCTCCCACCCAGCCTATGCTCCCTTCTTATCAAACCACATGTAGTTCCTGGAATGTAACATCCTGCTTCATTCCTCCACAACTTGGCACATATCAATTCCTCTGCTCAGACTACCATTCTCCAGCTTCCTTTAACTCCCTTCCCAACAACAGTCTATTTTTCCAAAAAACTCCTGGCACATGGTAGATATCATTAAATATTGGTCAGTCGAATGAATAAATCAATCACTTCTACCCACTTTTAGCACAGAGCAGCCTCTGTGGGTGACATGTGCAACAGAAGACCGTAAAATTAGGAAATGCAGTTGACAGGGGAAATCCGCACCGCCATATGACAGGCTGTCTGCTTCCGTCAGCGGTTATTCCCTTGCCTGCCTGCCCTAGCCCACACCACTTCCTCCTCTTCCCCCCACCCCCGACTTTCCAGTCCCAGTCCATTGGTTTCAGTTGGCTGCAGCCTCCTTTCCACCACTTCACTGCAGCATTGATCTTTGTAACTGCCATAATAGAACTGATTCCTACCCTGATATAACTATAGCTTCTATGCCAACAGCTGTAGCTCTACATAATCATGTGTGTGCATGTACAGGTGTAAGTGTGCTTGCATGGGTGCATGAGTGTATATGTGCGCATGCATGAGAGAGAAAGAGACTGCAACCCTGTGCAGAGTCCTCCTCCTCTATTCTGGAGTTCTGTCTCTGTCAGGGATGGGTGGCAGTTTGTAGTAGTTTCACTTGAAGGGGTAGGAGAAGAGGGAACAGTTTTCCTATTTCAACCTAGCTTGCAGCAGCCTATTTTGAATATAAATAATAATCATTACCACTCATTAAATCTCTATGTACCACCAGGCACTTTACATCCATTGTTTCATTTAATCCCCAAACAACTCAAAAAAGTAAGCATGGCCAGCTTGGTGGCTCATGCCTATAACTGCAGCACTTTTGGGAGGCCAAGGTGGGAGGATCGCTTGAGCCCAGGAGTTTGAGATCACCTGGGCAAATATAGTAAGACCTCGTCTCTACAAAAAATAAACAAAATTAGCTGAGCACGGTGGTGGACAGTTGTAGTCCCAGCTACTTGGGAGGCTGAGGTGGGAGGATTGTTTGAGCCTGGGAAGTCAACACTGCAGTGAGCCGTGATCATGCCACTGCACTCTAGCCTAGATGATAGAGTAAGACTCTGTCTCAAAAAATAAATAACATATATTTAAGAAATTAAGAATTTTGCTTTGGTGCATAATCAGGAAAAAAGCAATAAATGGTTCTGAGGACCAAGTCACTCTGGTGGGATTGGGGATTGGAGCTCAGATCCCAAAAGATGAGGTAGCTGACTGCATAATGCAGTCCCCAGGGCCTGGTGCCAGCCTTGCTGGCTCTCAGCAGCCACTTGAATGGGACCACAGGATTTGAGGGGCCTGAGAGGGAGAATAATGCCTCAGTGCACAGGCCCAGGGCCATTTCCAGTAGCTACCTGTGTAGGGACTTTCACTACTTGGGGGAAATGAGTCAGGTCTTGTGAAGTTGGTTTCAGAGCTGGCCAGAGTTTAGGAATGATTCGGCCCTAATAGGGGATTAGAAGGAACTTAAATATGTTCCTTAAATGTGCGCTCATTACAATGTCACTAGAAGGTCCACGCATAAAGTCAAGATCTTGTTCAGGCCCCCTTATCGCCCTGCTTCGTATATGGGTCCTCTGGGAACCTGAACTCTGTTCTTCATTCTCATTCAGACAGCCTAGCCTACAGTAAGCAGGAAGTGCCAGCAAATAAGTCACTGGGGTAGCTCCGGGACAAACTCAGAGACTTGGACAGCAGGCATTTATTTCTTCATCTCTTCTACCTGGCCACATTCCTCTTAGGGTCTAGAAACCCCTGCCAAATGCTAAAACGTTCAGTGAGGGGTGCTGAGAACTTAACCTTTCCCTCCCTCCTGCCTAGTTGTCCAGAAAGGGATGCTCCCTTCTCCTTCCTAGACAGCCATTCTCACTTTCTAGCTCTTCATCTGTTTCAGCCTCCTCTGTCGCCACACAAGGCCAACCCTGCACACACACATAGGTATGCATTCTGCCTGTTCTACATTAGCCCCTCTGGACTGTGAACCTTGAAGGCAGAGAACAAGGCTGGTCCTTTTTTTTTTTTTAAATTTTTGTGATGAAATCTCACTCTGTCACTCAGACTGGAGTGCAGTGAACAATCTTGGCTCATTGCAACCTGCACCTCCTGGGTTCAAGCACTTCTCCTGAGTAGCTGGGATTACAGGTGCCTGCCATCACACCCGGCTAATTTTTGTATTTTTTGTTTGTTTGTTTTGATTTTTGTTTTTCCGTCGGATTTATTTCCTCACATTACAGCATACTTTTCATATGAGCCTACACATATCAGATGGTAACTCTGGAATGGGTGAGTCTGTGACACTGACCCAGCACAGCTGTGAGGGTGATGACAGGCAGGTTAGCAGGTGCGCACAGAGGGGCTTTCTTCTAAATTGGAGGTCAGGTTAGATGATTCAGCTCCGCAGAGCTCATTCAGTGCTCCGTCTTCTGGTGGCTTCCCTTGATTTCTAATAAAAGCTGCAGATGGAGTCACTCAGTTCCACATGGCTGGGGAAGCCTCAGCAAACTTACAATCAAGGTGGAAGGCACCTCTTCACAGGGTGGCAGGAAAGAGAATGAGTGCCTAATTTTTCTATTTTTAGTAGAGATGGGGTTCCACCATGTTGGCCAGTCTCGTCTCAAACTCCTAACCTCAAGTGATCTTCCCACCTTGGCTCCCAAAGTGCTGGGATTGCAGGTGTGAGCCACCGTGCCCGGCCAAGGCTGGTCCATTTTTGTGCCCAGTGAAAGGACTAGGACATAGTATATGCTAAGTAAATGTTAGCTAAATGTATGATCCATGATCCCCCCCACAATTATCCCATTATTTTTTTTCTTTTTCTTTTTCTTTTTTTTTTGAGACAAGAGTCTCGCTCTGTCACCCAGGCTGGAGTGCAGTGGCATGATCTTGACCCACTGCAACCTTCACCATCCAAGTTCAAGGGATTCTCATGCCTCAGCCTCCAAAGTAGCTGAGATTACAGGCGTGCACCACCATGCCCAGTTAATTTTTTGTATTTTTACTAGAGATGGGGTTTCACCATGTTGGCCAGGCAGATCTTAAACTCCTAATCTCAAGTGATCCACCCGTCTTGGCCTCCCAAAGTGCTGGGATTACAAGCTTGAGCCACCGCGCCCAGCTTCCCTCCATCATTTTCTCCACTTTCATATCTCCTGTCTCTTCCACTGGACCCTTCCCCGCTGCTTAGCACGTGGTCATGCTCGCATTTCCCACATAGTGAAAAACTCTCCCTCCATCTGCATCAAGTCACTATTAACCCATAACTTTTCTTCCTCTTACTTTTTTTTTTTTTTTTGAGACAGGGTCTCACTCAGTTGCCTAGGCTTTGTAGTGGTGGGTGCGATCACAGCTCACTGCAGCCTTGGCCTCCCAGGCTCAGGTGATCCTCCCACCTCAGCTTCCCAAGTAGCTGAGAACACAGGTGCATGCTACCATACCCAGCTAATTTTTGTATTTTTTGTAGAGATGGGATTTCACCATGTTGCCCAGGCTGATCTTGAGAACCCCTGGGTTCAAGTGATCTGCCTGCCTTGGCCTCCCAAAGTGCTGGGATTACAGGCATGAGCCACTGTCCCTGGCCTTTACTGTATCCTTGAGAAGTCCTTCCTCTGATTCTCCATGTCTTCATCTCCTGTTCATTCCTGAATTCAGGTCATCTGGCTCAGGATTAACCATTCCACTGAAGGAGCTCTCCACATTGGTCACCAATGATCTTCATGTCCACCAAATCCAAAAGTTTCTGCTGTGGATATCAGACAACATGAATATAAAGACTATGGTAAGTAGTGGATGCTCAATAAAGTGGTTGTTCTTATATTCTTATTTGCTCACTTCTGTTTTTTTGTTTTTTAAAAATTATTATTTATTTTTGAGATGGAGTCTTGCTCTGTCGCCCAGACTGGAGTGCAGTGGCACCATCTCGGCTCACTGCAACCTCTGCCTCCCAGGTTCAAGCAATTCTCCTGCCTCAGCCTCTCAAGTAGCTGGGATTACAGGCACCTGCCACCATGCCCAGCTAATTTTTGTATTTTTAGTATTGATGGGATTTCACCATGTTGGCCAGGCTGGCCTCGAACTCCTGACCTCAGGTGATTGGCCCGCCTCGGTCTCCCAAAGTCCTGGGATTACGGGTGTGAGCCACCACACCTGGCCTGTTTGTTTTTAGACAGGGTCCTTGGTAAAAAGAATTTGAGGGGAAAAAAAAAAAGAGACAAGGTTTTGCTCTGTTGTCTAGGCTGGAGTAGAATGGCACAATCATGACACACTACAGCCTCGAAGACCTGGGCTCCAGCAATCCTCCCACTTCAGTCTCCTAAACACCTGGGACTATAGGTGTGCACCACCGTGCCCAGCTAATTTTTATATTTTTTGTAGAGATGAGGTTTCACTATATTGCCCAGGCTGGTCTTGAACTACTAGGCTCAAGTGATCCTCCCTTCTTAGTCTTCCACAGTGCCGGGATTACAGCCATGAGCTACTGTGCCTGGCCTGTAGGTTCTTCTTTTACGTATTTTTTTTTTTTTGAGACGGAGACTTGCTCTGTCACCCAGGCTGGAGTGTAGTGGTGCGGCTCACTGCAACCTCTGCCTCCTGGGTTCAGGCGATTCTCCTCCCTCAACCTCCTGAGTAGCTGGGACTGCAGGCGCGTGCCACCATGCCCAGCTAATTTTTGTATTTTTAGTAAAGACGGGGTTTCACCATATTGGCCAGGCTGGTCTCGAACTCTTGACCTCGTGATCTGCCCGCCTTGTGCTGGGATTACAGGCGTGAGCTACTGCGCCCGGCCCCTTTTTTTTTGAGACAGAGTTTTGCTCTTGCTGCCCAGGCTAGAGTGCAATGGCACAATCTTGCCAAACGCAACCTCTGCCTCCTGGGTTCAAGTGATTCTTCTGCCTCAGCCTCCTGAGTAGCTGGGATTACAGGGATGTGCCACCTCACCTGGCTAATTTTGTATTTTTAGTAGAGATGGGGGTTCTCCATGTTGGTCAGGCTGGTCTCGAACTCCTCACCTCAGGTGATCTGCCTACCTCGGCCTCCCAAAGTGCTGGGATTACAGGCGTGAGCCACCATGCCTGGCCTATTTTATTTTTTTTTGAATACAGGCTGGAGTGCAGTGGCGCGATCTCAGCTCACTGCAACCTCCGCCTCCCTGGTTCAAGTGATTCTGTTGCCTCAGGCTCCCAAGTAGCTGGGATTACAGGCTCGCATCAATACATCCAGCTAATTTTTTTTTTTTTTTTTTTTTTTTTTTTTTTTTGAGGGGCAGTCTCGCTTTGTCAAGAGGCTAGAGTGCAGTGGCTCGATCTCGGCTCACTGAAACCTCCGCCTCCCGGGTTCAAGCGATTCTCCTGCCTCAGCGTCCTGAGTATCTGGGACTACAGGTGCGCGCCACGACGCCTAGCTGAATTTTTTTTTTTTTTTTTTTTGAGATGGAGTTTCACTCTTGTTGCCCAGGCTGGAGCGCAATGGCGCAATCTCAGCTCACCACAACCTCCGCCTCCCAGGTTCAAGCAATTCTCCTGCCTCAGCCTCCCGAGTAGCTGGGATTACAGGCATGTGCCACCACGCCCGGCTAATTTTGTATTTTTAATAGAGACGGGGATTCTCCATGTTGGTCAGGCTGGTCTCTAACTCCTGACCTCAGGTGATCCGCCTGCCTCGGCCTCCCAGAGTGCTGGAATTACAGGCGTGAGCCACCGCACCCGGCCAAGTCTGATTGTTTTTATGAGGATGGCCTGATACATTAGACATTTGGTCCACCAGGACATCACTTATGTTGGGGAGACAGTGGGGGATAACGGGGGTGGGGAAATGGGAAGAGTTGCTCTCAGGGAGTAAAGGTGTGGGGAAAAGCAGAGCCAAACCGAGATAACCCTGTGTCTTGCCCATCCCTGCCAAGGAAAACACATACATGCAAGACACCTCTCCACTCAAACAGCACAGACTATTTCAAATCGCAGATGTGTCATTTAATTAATACCTGTGTGACTTTGGGAAAATTATAAATAGCCTTAACCTTGCTGAGTCTGTCCAATCTGTAAAATGGATTATGAATACTTTCCTCACAGGCTTATGGTGTGCTGGTAATATCTTCCTCTGGATGGCAGTTACATTGCAAAAAATAATTTAAAAAAAAGAACTGTATACATTTAAGATTTATACATTTTCTTTCTTCCTGGATGTAGAATAGGAAAAAAAGAAAAAGAAAAAAAAAAAGACTGGTGTATTTTCTGTATATATGCTATACTACGATTTTTAAAAAGGCTTGTACGAAATAAAAGAATATTCCTTTTCGGCCAGGCGCAGTGGCTCACTCCTGTAATCCCAGCACTTTGGGAGTCCAGGGCGGGTGGATCACGAGGTCAGGAGTTCAAGACCAGCCTGGCCAAGATGGCGAAACCCCGTCTCTACTAAAAAATACAAAAAAATTAGCCAGGCGTGGTATCGGGCGCCTGTAATCCCAGCTACTCGGGAGGCTGAGGCAGAGAATTGCTTGAACCAGGGAGGCGGAGGTTGCAGTGAGCCAAGATCGCGCCACTGCACTCCAGCCTGGGCGAGAGCGAGATTCCGTCTCAAAAAAAAAAAAAAAAAAGGAATATTCCTTTTCCAGGATTATTATGAAGATTCAATAAAACCATGTTTATTAAGTGTTAAGCACAGTGCCTGGCACATAACGTGCTGGGCGGGGTCTATGGTCCAGACAGGGGGACCAGGCACTTTCCAGCGCCTGGATCTGCAGACGCGAGGTCTTCTGTATTCTGGCCAATCTTGGTGTTGCAGCTGCTCTCTGGGCCTCAGTTTGCTTGAACTAAATGTAACGGGGCCAACTTAGGTGAACTTTGGGAATCCAGCCAACCTGACTTTAGGGAGAGTATGGAGCCACGGATGGCATTGTGAATCCGGAGGGCCGACACCAGAAGAACCTGCAACGTGGCATCTGCTACCTTACTTCCCCCGGAAAAGCGCCTGCGGCGGCGCCTAGGCGCGCGGTGCAATGTGGGCCAGCAAAAGGCGAGGCTGGCCCCGCCCCTTGCACCGCCCACGTGGCCAGCGCCACCTGCCTCATTGTGCCCAGGAGTTCTCCAAACCCGCGCTGCGGAGTGAGTGACCAAGTTCCGGCCAGTTCGACCTCGAGGATCCAGAGGTGGAGACGGTACTACCTCCCAGCTCTGTTTTCCATCCCCTTCAGGTCCTTCCTCGGGAGGCGGCGAAGGCGGTCCACCCTGCGCGTGATCCTTTATGCCCGGCCCCTGCCCCTCCCTCCGGGTGGAACTTCCCCCTCACCGCCAGACTTAAGCTGAGGATCGTTGGATCTCTGGCGGGGTGCAGAACTGAGCCCAGGCCACAGTACCCTATTCACGCTCTGTGCTTGTGCCAAGGTGAGTTTCTCTTGCTGCTGGCCTATCTTTCTCCCGGAGGAGATGGCCTCGATTCTTTACTACTGAAATGTAAGCCCCTGGGGTTGAGTGGAGAGCGCAGAGCACTGGAGGGGACGAGACTTGGTTTCGGATTTGAGCTCTTCTTTTTCTCTGTATGATCTCTTGCTAACTTCCCAGTTTCTCTGAACCTGTTTCCTCAGCAATAAAATGAGGTCCTACATTAGAACTGTAGCAAGAATTGAGATAAAGCTTTGAAGGCGCACAGCGCATACTAGGTGATCTGCAAGTTTTAATTGCCATCTTTTTGTTTGCTCACCTATGTGCTTTTTCCAGCTGCTCCGGCTTTCTTATGCAGGTGCAGGGATAGTTCTCAGAAGTGGGGAGAAGTGGGGATAATTCTCTTACTTAGACACCTGCTTTGGGTCTGAGAAAGTCTGACATGTTATTCTGTTGCCCCAGAACTCTGTTAAAGTAAGACACAGATCTGAACCTTCACTGGATGAGGCTACTGTTAATTAACTCTTCCCCTTCAGATCGTTCATACTCAGGGCTGCAGGCCTGTTACTTTTCCAAGATCTGTTTCCTTATCTTTAATACAGGAGCAATCTCAGTATGATTCTATCTGGTCCACTGGGATTTTTTGCCGAGTATAGTAAAGTGCTTTGATATTCTCCAAGAGGATTCTTTTCAGGTTTTCCAACAGGTAAAGGAAGAAGGTGACAGAGGCAGCGACTTCCTCAAATGTCCTTCCAGCTGGCCAAACTCAACCTGTCAAGATCTCTCCCCCATAAGCTGTGTGTGTGTGGTGTGTGTATTGTGTACATTGTATGTATGTATGTATGTATGTATGTATGTATGTATGTATGGGACAGGTACTCTAGGAGTGAGGGGTTCAGGCAGATGACAGGCTCAGACCTCAAGGAGTAGCCAGGTTTGTGGGGGAAATTTATATATAAACAGAAAAATGTAGTGATGTGCACATGCTATCAGTACATGGAAGTAGCCATCCATTTATTTATTTATTTATTTTCTTTTTAGAGATGGATGGGGGTCTCTCGGTCTTTTGCCCATGCTGGAGTGTAGTGGTGGAATCCTTGCTCAGTGCAGCCTCAAACTTCTGGGCTCAAATAATCCTGCCACCTCAGCCTTTGGACTATAAACTACATGCCACTGTGCCCAGTTAATCTTTAAAATAAAAAAAAAAAAATTCCCCCTAGCAAGCAGACTCAGAAAGAAAAAAACAAATTTTTGTAGAGACAGTGTTTCCTTTTGTTGCCCAGGTTTCAAGTGATCCTCCCGCCTCAGCCTGCCCAGGTGCTGAGATTACATGTATGAGCCACTGCACCTGGAAAGGAGCCAGAAATGTGAAGTGCTAGCTGAAGGATGAGCAGCAGCTAGCCAGGCAAAGGTAGGGTTTGGGGAAGGAAAGTGCACACACCTAGAGTCAGGTAAGTGATGTGACCCTGTTGAGTGTTCAAAGTCTGGAATACAGTCTGACATGAGGAGGTGGTGAAATGAGAAAGATAGAAGCCAGGTTTTGAGAAGCCTGGACTTTATCCTGAATATAGGGGAGAATTGCTGGAAGGGTTTGAGACTGGGAGTCACATGGTTGGATCTGGTGATGGACTGCGGGAAGAGGGACCACTCTGGAAGCCAAGATCTGTGGTTTAAGTAAAGAGTGATGGTCAGCTGGGCACAGTGGCTCATGCCTGTAATCCCAGCACTTTGGGAGGCCAAGGTGGGTGGATCACCTGAGGTCAGGAGTTCGAGACCAGCCTGGCCAACATGGTGAAACCCTCTCCGTACTAAAAATACAAAAAGTAGCTGGGTGTGGTGGCACACACCTATAATCCCAGCTACTGGGGAGGCTGAGGCAGGAGAATCACTTGAACCCGGGAAGCAGAGATTGCAGTGAGCCGAGATCATGCCACTGCATTCCAGCCTGGGCAACAGAGTGAGACTCTGTCTCAAAAAAAAATTTAAAAAGGCTGGGCACAGTGGCTTATGCCTATAATACCAGCACTTCGGGAGGCTGAGGCGGGCAGATCACGAGGTCAAGAGATGGAGACCATCCTGGCCAACATGGTGAAACCCCGTCTCTACTAAAAATACAAAAATTAGCTGGGTGTGGTGGCATGCGCCTGTAGTCCCAACTACTGGGGAGGCTGAGGCAGGAGAATCGGTTGAACCTGGAAGGCGAAGGTTGTAGTGAGCCGAGATCACACCACTGTACTCCAGCCTGGCGACAGAGCGAGACTCTGTCTCAAAAAAAAAAGAGTGGTGGTGGTCAGAGATGGGGCAGTGGCAGTGGAGGTAGATATGGATGGACTAGAGAAAGATTTAGGAATATATATTTTAAAATTCTTTTCACATACATCAAGAAGTACAGGAAGCATTATTGCAATCTTAGGTCTTAGGTTACATATTAGAGCATTCTCTTTTTCTGTAGCTATTAAGTATTAACAAGATTTAAAACCCAGCTAAACTGACAAAATCTGGCCAACATTACATATGTAAGGTGATTTTCCAAGCTGGCTTTTCTAGAAGTATAGGAGAGGCCGGGTGTGGTGGCTCATGCCTGTAATCCCAGCACTTTGGGAGGCTGAGGTGGGCGGATCACGAGGTCAGGAGATCGAGACCATCCTGGTTAACATGGTGAAACCCTGTCTCTACTAAAAAATACAAAAAAATTAGCTGGGCATGGTAGCGGGCACCTGTAGTCCCAGCTACTCGGGAGGCTGAGGCAGGAGAATGGCATGAACCCGGGAGGCGGAGCTTGCAGTGAGCCGAGATCACGCCACTGCCCTCCAGCCTGGGTGACAGAGCGAGACTCCGTCTCAAAAAAAAAAAGAAGTATAGGAGAAAGCCAGGTGTGGTGGCTCACACCTGTAATCCCAGCACTTTAGGAGGCCAAGGTGGGAGGGTCACTTGAGGCTAGAAGTTTGAGGGGGCAACACAGTGAGACCCTATCTCTACAAAAGAAAAATAAGGCCAGGCATAGTGGCTCACACTTATAATCCCAGCACTTTGGGAGGCTGAGGCAGAAGGACCACTTGAGCCCAGGAGTTTCAGACCAGCCTGGGCAACAAGGAGAAACCCTGTCTCTACGAAAAACACAAAAAATGAGCTGGACATCGTGGCCCATGCTTCTAGTCCCAGCTACCTGGGAGGCTGAATGGAAAGGATAGCTTGAGCTTGGGAGGTGGAGTTTGCAGTGAGCTGAGATCACACCACTGCCCTCCAGCCTGGACGTTAGAGCGAGACTCTGTCTCAATAAATAAGTAAATAAATAAGCTGGGTGTGGTGACATGTGCCTGTAGTCCCAGCTACTCGGGATTGCTCCAGTCCAGGAGTTCGAAGCTGCAATGAGCCATGAATGGGCCACTGCACTCCAGCCTGGGCAACAGAGTGAGACCCTGTCTCAAAAAGAAAAGTACAGGAGAAAATACTCTCCTCACCAACTACTTATCAAAACCATAATCTGATAATACTCATAAATGCCTGCAAGGAACTACAAATACTTTCTTTAGATGGCTTTTATTTATTTATTTTTTAGACAGGGTTTCAGTCTGTGGCCCAAGCTGGAGTGCAGTGGTGTGATTTCAGCTCATTGCAACCTCTGCCCCCCAGGCTCAAGGGATCCTCCTGCCTCAGCCCCCTGAGTAGCTAGGACCATAGAGACACATCACTATGCCTGGCTAATTTTCATATTTTTTGTAGAGATTAAGTTTTGCCATGTCCCCCAGGCTGGTCTCGAACTCCTGGACTCAAGCAATCTGCTTGCCTCAGCCTCCCAAAGTGCTGGGATTAACAGGCATGAGCCACCACACGCAACCAGATGTTTTTTTTTAAGGCCCAAATGGATTATACTATCAACATGTTGTCTGGTTTGCTTTAACACTTGTTATCCAGGGCTTTGGTCTTTTGGTGAGATAGAGTACAAAGTCAACACTCTATCCACAAGTTGTGCATCTGCGGATTCAACCTAGAATCAAAAATACTTGGGAACAAAAACCAACTTTAAAAATTCAAATAAAAAAATACAGTATAGGCCGGGCGTGGTAGCTCACGCCTGTAATCCCAGCATTTTGGGAGGCCAAGGTGGGTGGATCACCTGAGGTCGGGAGTTCGAGACCAGCCTGACCAACATGGAGAAACCCTGTCTCTACTAAAAATACAAAATTAGCCAGGCGTGGTGGCGCATGCCTGTAATCCCAGCTACTCGGGAGTCTGAGGCAGGAGAATCACTTGAACCCAGGAGGCGGAGGTTGCGGTGAGCCGACATTGCGCCGTTGCATTCCAGCCTGGGCAACAAGAGTGAAACTGTGTCTAAAAAAAAAAAAAATTATAACACCTATTTACCTAGCATTTAGCATTTATATTGTATTAGGAATTATAAGTATTTAGAGTTGATTAAAATATACAGGAAGATGTACTTAGGTTTATGCAAATACTATGCCATTTTATATAAGGGACTGGAGCATCCCAGGATTTTGGTATCTGAAGGGGTCCTGGAACCAATCTCCTGTGGATACCACGGGATGACTATACAGAAAGAAGAGCATGGGTTAGGCCCTGTGCAAGGTGCTTTAGATATAGTATCTCTTGAAAATATCAGAACTGAGATTCAAACCCAGGTCTGCGTAGCCCCACAGCCTAAACTGTTTCCTCTGTACTCTACTGCTGGATTTGATGAGTACAGTTTTGGACATGGCGAATCTCAGATGCCTATACATACTAGTGGAGAGGTCCAGAGGGCGTTGAATATACAGAAGTGGGGTGAGAAGAATCAAGGCCTAAGGCGATAACCGAAGACATGAACTCAACTAGGGAATGAGAAGATTGAGGAGAAAACCCTGAAGGGACCTTTCCTTTGCCTCCCACACCAGCATATGTGGGAGCCAGAGGAGAGGCCCATGCAGCTAGGAAACACTCATGTAGATATTGTTTCCTTTTTTTCCTGTGTCTTCTACTTCCCTGCAGCCAGGCAGCAACTGTAGAGCCCTTTGAGAAAGAAAGAATTCAACAGAGGGAAGGAACCTAGGCATTGAATTGGAAATAATAAAACCTGATTCCTGATAATACCCTCCTCCCCACTCAACCCACACATCTCTCTTTTACACTTGAATATAACATGAAGGTTTCCGCCGGGCGCGGCGGCTCGCGCCTGTAATCCCAGCACATTGGGCCGAGGTGGGTGGATTGCTTGAGGTCAGGAGTTTGAGACAAGCCTACCCAACATGGTGAAACCCCGTCTCTACTAAAAATACAAAAAATTAGCCAGGTGTGGTGGTGGGCGCCTGTAATCCCAGCTACTCTGGAGTCTGAGGCAAGAGAATCACTTGAACCTGGGAAGTGGAGGTTGCAGTGAGCCAAGATCGTGCCACTGTACTCCAGCCTGGGTGACGGAGCAAGACTCCGTCTTAAAAGAAAAAAAGGATAGCCGGGCGCAGTGGCTCACGCCTGTAATCCCAGCACTTTGGGAGGCCGAGGTGGGTGGATCACAAGGTCAGGAGTTCGAGACCAGCCTGGCCAATACAGTGAAACCCCGTCTGTACTAAAAATACAAAAATTAGCCGAGCGTGGTGGCGGGCGCCTGTAGTCCCAGCTACTCGGGAGGCTGAGGCAGGAGAATCGCTTGAACCTGGGAGGTGGAGGTTGTGGTGAGCCAAGATTGCGTCATTGCCCTCCAGCCTGGGCAAGAAGAGTGAAACTCCATCTCAAACAAAATAAATAAATAAAGTAAAAGATAGGCTGGGCACAGTGACTCATGCCTGTAATCCCAGCACTTTGAAAAGCTGAGACTGGTGGATCACCTGAGGTCAGGAGTTCAAGACCAGCCTGGCCAACATGGTGAAACCCTGTCTCTACTAATAATACAAAAATTAGCTGGGCGTGGTGGCACATGCCTGTAATCCCAGCTACTGGGGAGGCTGAGGCAGGAGAATCGCTTGAACCCAGGAGGTGGAGGTTGCAGTGAGCCAAGATCGCGCCATTGCACCCCAGCCTGGGTGACAAGAATGAAACTCTATCTCAAAAAAATAAAAATAAAAAAGATAACATGAGGGTTTCTGAATGCTGCCAAAGGTCCAGATAGGCAGTTCCTGACAAGCTCAGAGTCTGGAATCTGTTCACGCACAGCTAGGCTGGAAAGCAGTTGTATCAAGCAGAAGATGAGGAAGTCAAGAGCTGGCCGAGGATGATTTTCTGTCCTAGAGAAAAACATCTATGTGGCACCTTCATTCTTCCCTAGGGAGCTCTTGTTCTTTGCAGATCTCCTCCATCTTTCATCCCTGTTCCCCAAGCCTCAGCCTTTTCGGTGTTCAGTTTCACCAGCAAAAGAAAGGGAGAAGCAAGATTCAGGTTTCTTCTTCCTTTTCCCCTTAAGCCAGGGTGTTGTTCAAGCTCTCACCCCAGGTGTAATTTCAGAGCCTTCTCATGCGTGCTGGGTAATCTGCGAGAGGCCAACAGGTCATTGGGCATTAAGCCCAGGAAACCTGCCTTAGACCCTGGTGGCAGCAGGCCACCAGGTTCCTCTTGTCAAGTCCAGACTTGCTTGCTTGATCCCTTGGAAATTTGATTATAAAGAGCATTGCCCTGGTAGCTTGTGGTTTGACACTCAGATTGAAGTTTTGATTTTGTTTTAGCAGAAAAGAGTGGTTTCCAAAACCAACTTAAACTAGACTATAAAATTCTTCCTGGGTCAGAAGTATTAGGAAAGACAGTGTTGGTGTACTGGCTTTACTCACAACTTGTCTTTTTTTTTTTTTTTGAGATGGAGCCTCACTCTGTATCCCAGGCTGGAGTGCAGTGGCATGATCTCAGCTCACTGCAACCTCTGCCTCCTGGGTTCAAGCGATTCTCCTGCCTCAGCCACCCGAGTAGCTGGGATTAAGGTGTGCACCACCATGTCCAGCTAATTTTTGTATTTTTAGTAGAGAGGGGGTTTCGCCTTGTTGGCCAGGCTGGTCTCGAACTCCTGACCTCAAGTCTTAAGTGATCTGCCTGCCTCGGCCTCCCAAAGTGCTGGGGTTACAGACGTTAGCCACTGTACCCAGCCTCAACTTGTCTTATTATTATTATTATTTTTTGAGACAGGGTCTCGCTCTGTTACCCAGACTGGAGTGCAGTGGCACTATATCAGCTCACTGCAACCTCCGCCTCCCGGGTTCAGGTGATTCTCATGTCTTGGCCTCCCAAGTAGCTGAGATTACAGGCATGTGCCACCACGCCCAGCTAATTTTTTTTTTTTTTTTTTTTTGAGATGGAGTCTTGCTCTGTCACCCAAGCCGGAGTGCAGTGGCTCAATCTCGGCTCACTGCAACCTCCACCTCCCGAGTTCAAGCGATTCCTCCTGTCTCAGCCTTCTGAGTATCTGGGACCACAGGCATGTGCCACCATGCCCGGCTAATTTTTGTATTTTTAGGAGAGACGGGGTTTCACCATGTTGGTCAGGCTGGTCTCGAACTCCTGACCTCGTGATCTGCCCTCCTCGGCCTCCCAAAGTGCTGGGATTACAGGTGTAAGCCACCAAACCCGGCCTAATTTTTGTATTTTCAGTAAAGATGGGGTTTCGCCATGTTGGCCAGGCTGGTAATACCCTGACCTCAGGTGATCCGTCGCATCGGCCTTCCAGAGTGCTAGGATTACAGGTGTGAGCCACCACTCCTGGCCACAGCTTGTCTTATTACTTGCTCTATCCTACATCCTTTTAGAACCTGGAAACTAAGATTATATTTATAAAGATATTGTTGGCAATTAAATCAATCCCAAGAGTGATATTCATGGTACTGATGAGATCAAGGGAAAAGGTTGTATCTACCTCATTGGCTCTTGGTGTGAACATTCTCTCTCCTTTTCTTTCACTTGAATAGCTCCTGTTCAGTTATTCTTTAGGACTTGACTCAGGAAGAGATTCCTCCAAGAAGCCATCCTAGCAAGGTTACCCTTTTCTTGCCACCCTTGTGCAGCTCTTGTGCAGAATTTGATCAAAGCTCTTATCACAGTGTACTGATATCACCTGTTCCCATTACAAGACCATAAACTGAAGGAAGGCAGTTTAAATATTTAAATACATTTTTCTCTTGGGTTTAGCACAAGAGTTGGAACATTCAATTTACTGACAAAACGAGTATTCTTGGGCCATTTGGTGACCTCTTATTTGCATAGCTTTCCAGAGGGGGAGGCTCCAGTTACCTGCTTTGTTTGGTTGGAAATTTACTTGTATCTGTAATTAGTTACTTTTCTGCTGCACTGAAGTCATGTGTATAGTTTCCTTTCCTGGAAAGAGTTCTTCCCCTTAACTCTTGGGAATTCTTAAAAACCAGTGTCAATATTTCTTTGTCCTTGCCCTTTTCTGTAGTACATCATACTTGTGTCTACCATGAGTATCTTTTTATAGGTCTGTGTTTATTTGCCTTTTTTCCATTAGCTCCTCCTTAGATCCTTGGTTTTGCCACTTCTTTTCTCTTTTCTTTTCTTTTTTTTTTTTTTTTTTTTTTTTTTTGAGACGGAGTCTCCCTCTGTCACCCAGGCTGGAGTGCAGTGGCATGATCTCAGCTCACTGCAACCTCCGCCTCCCGGGTTCAAGCAATTCTCCTGCCTCAGCCTCCCAAGTAAGTAGCTGGGATTATAGGCACCCGCCACCATGCCCGGCTAATTTTTCTATTTTTAGTAGAGACGGGGTTTCGCTATGTTGACCAGGGCTGGTCTCGATCTCTTGACCTTGTGATCCGCCCACCTCAACCTCCCAAAGTGCTGGGATTACAGGCGTGAGCCACTGTGCCCAGCCAGTTTTGCCACTTCTTAGCTGTTGATTTGGAGCAAATAACTTCACTTTTTTTTTTTTTTGAGATGGAGTCTGGCTGTGTCGCCCAGGCTGGAGTGCAGTGGCGCAATCTTGGCTCACTGCAACCTCCGCCTCCCGGGTTCAAACGATTCTCCCGCCTCAGCCTCCATAGCTGGGACTACAGGTGCATGCCACCACGCCTAGCTAATTTTTGTATTTTTTGGTAGAAATGGGGTTTCACTCTGTTGGCCAGGCTGGTCTCTAACTTTTGACCTCAAGTGATTTGCCTGCCTTGGCCTTCCTATGTGCTTGTATTACAGGTGTGAGGCACAGCGCCCGGTCTAACTTCACTTCTTTGAGCCTATTTTCTCAACTAAAAAATTAAAGATCTGGATATGGTGGCTCATACCTGTAATCCCAGCAACTCAGGGTGCTGAAGTGGCTGGATAGCTTGAGGTCAGAAGTTCAAGACCAGCCTGGGCAACCTAGCCAGAACCATCTCTAAAAAAGTTTAAAAACATCCAGGTGTGCTGGCACAGGCCTGTAGTCCCAGCTACTTGGAAGGGTGAGGCAGGAATATCACTTGAGCTTAGGAGTTCAAGGCTGCAGTGAGCCATGATCACACCACTGTTCTCCAACCTAGGAGACAGAACCAGACCCTGAGTCTAAAAAAGAGTTCCTTTTTTAGGACTCCCTTTACCTCCCTTGCAGGAGCCCACTCGGGCCTACCAGCATGGCTGACCAGACCTCTGTGAAAGGTACTTGGAGAATCTCTGCAGTTCTTTTTTTTTTTTTTTTTTTTGAGACAAAGTCTCGCTCTGTTGCCCAGGCTGGAGTGCAGTGGTGCAATCTAAGCTCACTGCAACCTCCGCCTCCTGGGTTCAAGTGATTCTCCTGCCTCAGCCTCCCAGGTAGCTGGGACTACAGGCACCCGCCACCACGCCTGGCTAATTTTTTGTATTTTTAGTAGAGATGGTCTTTCACTGAGTTAGCCAGGATGGTCTCGATCTCCTGACCTCGTGATCCACCCGCCTCGGCCTCCCAAAGTGCTGGGATTACAGGCGTGAGCCACCGTGCCTGGCCGAGAATCTCTGTAGTTCTGACAACCTCCTGGGAACATTTATTTCATTCTCAGAGAAGTGGCCCCTTCCTGGGCCTATTCAGTTACCTGGTCTCTCTCTCATAATGGCCTTTGCCTGCCTTACACTGGCTTGAGACCTTATTTAGTCAAGACTGGGTGCTTCTGTGTGGCCACCCTGCTTTTGTTTTTAGATAGTGCAGTTCTTTAACAGAGATCTTTAGCCTGCCACAGAGAAGGGCAGCCAGGCTGGTGGTCTGGTTAGTGTTTGTCCAGGAGCTACTGGCCATGGTTGGTTTTGGGCACCCTGTCTCTGCTGCCTTTGCTCACAGGCACATATATAACCACGTGTTTGTCCTACACATCTGTCCCCTCTTCCCGGCCCATGCTTTGTAGTAGTGAGACAGAGTCTTACTCTGTCACCCAGGCTGGAGTGCAGTGGCGCAATCTCAGCTAACTGCAACCTCCACCTCCCAGGTTCAAGTGATTCTTGTGCCTCAGCCCCCCGAGCAGCTGGGACTACAGGTGCGCGCCACCATGCCTAGATAATTTTTGTATTTTTAGTAGAGATGGGGTTTTACCATGTTGACCCAACTGGTCTTGAACTCTTGACCTCAGGTGATCTGCCCGCCTCAGCCTCCCAAAGTGCTGGGATTACAGGTGTGAGCCACTGCACTTGGCGCTTTGCAGTATTCTTGACAGTGGAAATCTGAGACCTGAACAACAGCACTAACCCCAACACCATTCTCTTCCCATCTGTGTTTCAGGGGGCAATGGCGGCTTCCTGTGTTCTACTGCACACTGGGCAGAAGATGCCTCTGATTGGTCTGGGTACCTGGAAGAGTGAGCCTGGTCAGGTGAGGGATGGGGGAAGAAAAAAGAAACTTGTTGAGCCTCTGCCTGCATTTTCCTAGCAGCCCCACCCCCATACTCCCCTTCCAGCGGGGATGAGCCAGTGGGAAGAGATAAGAGAAGACACCAATTATACATCCTGGGCTTCCCCAGCTGACTCAGAGAGTGGGCTGAGGGGCCCAGCAGGGCTGGGGGCATAGGAAGGACATCTTTCTCTAACTGGATCTGCACTGAGTGCTGTGGCAAACATGGGGCCCCTCTGTGCCCATCCCTATGCTATGACCCCTAATATGGCAGTTATCACCCTGTGCTGTGATCATGTCTCCTCTCCCACACTGGGTTCTTTGAGGGCTCAGCCTCTCCCTACTGCTCAGTCCAGAATTAGGCACATAGCAGGTGTCAAGGTTTGAAGAATAACTAGGTGAATTGTATATTGTATAGACCAAAGGTCAGCAAATTTTTTTTTTTTTTTTTTTTTTTTTACTCGAGACAGGGTCTCGCTCTGTTGCCCAGGCTGGAGTGCAGTGGCACAATCTTGGCTCACGGCAGCCTTGACCTCCTGGGCTCAAGTGACCCTCCCACCTCAGCCTCCTGAGTAGCTGGGACCACAGGCACACACTAACACACGGGCCCAGCAAACTTTTTTTTTTTTTTGAAACCGAGTCTCACTCTGTTCCCCAGGCTGGAGTGCAGTGGCGTGATCTTGGCTCACTGCAACCTCTGCCTCATGGGTTCAAGTGATTCTCCTGCCTCAGCCTCCCGAGTAGCTGGGGCTACAGGCATGAGCCACCACACTTGGCTAATTTTTGTATTTTTAGTAGAGACAGGGTTTTACCATGTTGGCAAGGCTGGTCTTGAACTCCTGACCTCAGGAGATCCACCTGCCTTGGCCTCCCAAAGTGCTGGGATTACAGATGTGAGCCACCTTGCCCGGCCACAAACTATTTTTTAAAGAACAAGATAGGGCCAAGTGTGGTGGCTCATACCTGTAATCCCAGCACTTTGGGACGCCAAGGCAGGAAGATTGCTTGAGCCCAGGAATTTGAGACCAGACTGGGCAACACAGTGAGACCCCCGTCTCTACAAAAAATTAAAAAAATTCGAATGCGCCTGTGGTCCCAGCTACTTGAGAGACTGAGTTAGGGGGATTGCTGGAGCCCTGGAAGTCGAGGCTGCAGTGACCTATGATCATGCCACTGCACTCCAGCCTGGACAGAGCGAGACCATCTTAAAAAAAAAAAAGGTAGGCTGGACACTGTGGCTCACGCCTATAATCCCAGCACTTTGGGAGGCCAAGGCAGGTGGATCACAAGGTCAGGAGTTCGAGACCAGCTTGGCCAACGTGGTGAAACCCCGTCTCTACTAAAAATACAAAAATTAGCCAGGCGTGGTGGCACACACCTGTAATCCCAGCTACTTGGGAGGCTGAGGCATTAGAATTGCTTGAACCTGGGAGGCAGAGGTTGCAGTGAGCCAAAATTACGCCACTGCACTCCAGCCTAGGCAACAGAGCAAGACTCCGTCTAGGGGGAAAAATTAAGGAAAAAAAGTTAAAAAACAATTAGATTCTATTGGACAAGTTACAGATGGAGGTGATTATACACTCATGTGACCTTTTAATATGTAACCACTTAAGCTGGGTGTGGTGGCTCATGCCTGTAATCCCAGCACTTTGGGAGGCTGAGGCAGGCGGATCACCTGAGGTTGGGAGTTCGAGACCAGCCTGACCAACACGGAGAAACCTCATCTCTACTAAAAATGCAAAATTAGCCAGGCGTGGTGGTGCATGCCTGTAATCCCAGCTACTCAGGAGTCTGAGGCAGGAGAATCACTTGAATCCGGGAGGCGGAGGTTGCAGTGAGCCGAGATCGTGCCATTGCACTCCAGCCTGGGCAACAAGAGCAAAACTGCGTCCCAAGAAAAATAATAATAAAATAAATAAGTAACCACTTAAAAATATAAATGTAGTTCTTAACTCAAGAACTGTTAAAGTTGATAATTGACTGACCCCTGGTGTAGACCATCCCAGCTGAGGGGAGTCTGGGAATATGGACCTGCTCTCTCAGGGTGGACGTAGCTATGAGATTTGGCTCCTGCCTGGAATGGGGCATTTCCCCAGGGCTTCTTCCTTCTTCCTTGGAAATCTTGAGTCAGAGTGAAGAGAAGTTTGGGGATTAAGTTTCAGAGAAGCCCCAGCAGAGAGAACAGATTCTTCTATCTGGGATTTAGACTGATGTTTGTGGTGTGCTTGGATGACCTGTGTCTCTTTTCCCTTTTGCTTTCTTTCCTATAGCTGCCAAGGAGCCTGGAGCCAGGGTCCCTGTGCTTTAGGCAGGCACTTCTCACAGCCTCGGAGAAGTCCAGGAGCTAGGTCAAGGCAGAGGGTTGGGGGCCACAGACAAGGCCAAGGCGGGGCATGGAACAGCAGGGGTCAGATGTTAGGGGAAGTACGTCGGCACCCGGGTGGGGATCTTGAATACTATGTCAGGCACCCACAACAAGAGCTTTGGGTGCTTTGTGTCTAGGGCCGGGTACCCTTGTTTCTGCTGCTGATGCCGTGTTTCCAGTCTGGATTTTAGCAAAATTAACTGACCCATCCTTCTATCTGATGCCTGTTTTCTTCTCTCTCATTAGGGAGTTCTGGGTCCAGCTTTTAGCCCACTTATCTGCCTCCAGCTTTCAGCCTACTTATCTGCCTTCCTTAATCTTTTCCCCCTTCTAACCTCTTTTGCTGGCCTGTGCTCCCAGAGTTCCCAGAGTCTGTCTACACAACTCCCTGTATGTCCTTGGCCTAGGAATTTTTTCCTGTGTTTCTCTAACCAGCTCCTTAGAACCTGGAACTTGTTTCCATGGTCTATACTTCTTTTCTCTATTTATCCATCTGTCTTCTGATTGAAAAAAAAAATTATTTATTTTTGAAAATTTTTAAATTTTTATTTATTTATTTATTTATTTAATTTTATTTTTGAGATGGAGTCTTGCTCTGTCGCCCAGGCTGGAGTGCAGTGGCGCAATCTCGCCTCACTGCAAGCT
Organism: Homo sapiens; assembly: GCF_000001405.40. NCBI lineage: Eukaryota > Metazoa > Chordata > Mammalia > Primates > Hominidae > Homo > Homo sapiens. Next base: position 45,564,907 of record NC_000001.11, read on the forward strand.
CCGCCTCCTAGGTTCACACCATTCTCCTGCCTCAGCCTCCTGAGTAGCTGGGACTACAGGCACCCCCTACCACGCCCAGCTAATTTTTTGTATTTTTAGTAGAGACGGTGTTTCACCGTGTTAGCCAGGATGGTCTCGATCTCCTGACCTCATGATCCACCCACCTCAGCCTCCCAAAGTGCTGGGACTACAGGCGTGAGCCACCACACCCAGCCATTTTTTTTTTTTTTTTTTTTTTTTTGAGAAGGAGTTTCACTCTTGTTGCCCAGGCTGGAGTGCAATGGCATGATCTTGGCTCACTGTAACCTCCACCTCCCAGGTTCAAGCGATTCTCCTGCCTCAGCCTCCCAAGTACCCGGGATTATAGGCATGCACCACCACGCCCAGCTAATTTTGTATTTTTAGTAGAGACGGGGTTTCTCCGTGTTGGTTAGGCTGGTCTCAAACTCCCGACCTCAGGTGATCCACCCACCTCGGCCTCCCAAAGTGCTGGGATTACAGGTGTGAGCCACCGCGCCTGGCTTTTATTTAAAAAAAAAAATTTGTTTTCAATTTTTTGTTGTTATTTTTTTTGTGTTTTTTTGAGACGGAGTCTCACTCTGTCTCGCCCAGGATGAAGTGCAGTGGCATGATCTCAGCTCACTGCAGCCTCCCCCGCCTGGGTTCAAGCGATTCTCCTATCTCAGCCTCCTGAGTAGCTGGGACTACAGGCATATGCCACCATGCACAGCTAATTTTTGTATTTTTAGTAGAGAAAAGAATTTCACCATGTTGGCCAGGCTGGTCTCAAACCCCTGACCTCAGGTGATTCACCTGCCTCTTCTTCCCAAAGTGCTGGGATTATAGGCGTGAGCCACCACGCCTGGCCTTAATTTTTTTTTTTTTTTTAAAGAGGTGGGGGTCTCACTATGTTGACTAGGCTGGTCTTGAACTTCTGCCTTCAAGCAATGCTCCCATGTCAGCCTCCCAGAGTCCTAGGATTACAGGCGTGAGCCACTGTGCTCAGCCTGAAAAAATATTTACTGAAGCCCTCTTTATGGTAGATGCCGGGAAAATATTGTTAGTTTTTGCTAGACCTTGCTGAGATGGCTTGGGTAGGAAGGCATCTTAGAGACTGGTTGGGGTGGGAGCAGAGCAAAGGGTTTGGAGCCTCTGAAGAGGCTTCTGGTCCCTTAGACTGAAACCATCTTCCATCTTTTTTTTTTTCTTTCTTTGTTTTGAGATGGAGTTTCGCTCTTGTTGCCGAGGCTGAAGTGCAGTGGCACAATCTCAGCTCACTGCAACCTCTGCCTCCTGGGTTCAAGTGATTCTCCTGCCTCAGCCTCCTGAGTAGCTGGGATTACAGGCACCTGCCACCACACCTGGCTAATTTTGTATTTTTAGCAGAGATGGGGTTTCACCATGTTGGCCAGGCTGACCTCCAGCTGGCCAGGCTGGTCTCGAACTCCTGACCTCAGGGGATCTGCCCACCTCAGCCTCCCAAAGTGCTGGGATTACAGGCGTGAGCCACCGCGCCCAGTTCATCTTCCATCTTTTCACCTCCACTGCATAGATGTGCCTGTTATATTTCTGAGCCCCCTTCCCCCAGCATTGACCTTGGGGTGGTGACAGTAGAAGGCTGAAACCAACATAGCTGAAACCTCTGCTTCTCTCACCTGGCAGGTAAAAGCAGCTGTTAAGTATGCCCTTAGCGTAGGCTACCGCCACATTGATTGTGCTGCTATCTACGGCAATGAGCCTGAGATTGGGGAGGCCCTGAAGGAGGACGTGGGACCAGGCAAGGTAAGGACTGGGGTTGTAAATAGAGGTGGGATAAGAGAACTTAGAAGCTGAAGCTAGGGCTGGGGCCCAGCTGGAGGGAATCTGGCATCAGCTTCCTTCCAGTTCCTCTCCCAGAGTTGAGGGTGGGTGAGACCACGTGCTCATGGCTCTTCTCACTGTGGGCCCTGCCCCCTGCACTAGGCGGTGCCTCGGGAGGAGCTGTTTGTGACATCCAAGCTGTGGAACACCAAGCACCACCCCGAGGATGTGGAGCCTGCCCTCCGGAAGACTCTGGCTGACCTCCAGCTGGAGTATCTGGACCTGTACCTGATGCACTGGCCTTATGCCTTTGAGTGAGCCTTGCCAGAGCCTCATCTGGGGAATCAGGGGGTTGAGCAGGATGGTGTTAGTAACTTATTGTAAGTCACAGCAGCAGAGCAGGATAGGAACACTCATTTGCATGCCAAGCTGAGGAGCTTGACATGGGATCTTAGCCTCTTCTGCTACAGCAGCTTAGCTGTAGCTACAGGAGTTTAACTCTGGAAAAAGGAAGGCAGTCTCACATGGTGTGTACCCCAGGGTATGCACCTGTAACCCTCCTGCTCCCTTTATTCATTTAGAAAAGGTGCTGACTTTTCTGTTGAGCACCTGGGGTTACAGTAATAAGTAAGTCTCAGCAGAAGATGTGAGAAGAGCTCACCATTAGTGCCGTGCCCTGTGCTGGAAGAAGGGTGGATAACTCCCTGAGGATGAGTTAAGGAAGACTTCCTAGGGGAGAGGAGATATCTACGTCTAGGAAGAGGAGGGGGCATAGGCATTCCATGTAAACTTAACACCTGGGTTACGATCTGGAAGGATGAAAAAGCATGGCTTTTTTTGGCCAGGCGCGGTGGCTCACGCCTGTAATCCCAGCACTTTGGGAGGCTAAGGCGGGCGGATCACGAGGTCAGGAGATCGAGATCATCCTGGCTAACACGGTGAAACCCCGTCTCTACTAAAAATACAAAAAATTAGCTGCGCGTGGTGGTGAGCGCCTGTAGTCCCAGCTACTGGGGAGGCTGAGGCAGGAGAATGGCGTGAACCCAGGAGGTGGAGCTTGCAGTGAGCTGAGATAGTGCCACTGCACTCCAGCCTGGGCGGTAAAGCGAGACTCCATCTCAAAAAAAAAAAAAAAGAAAAAGCATGGCTTTTTAAAAATTCTTGGCCCTTTGTCCTCTCTGGGATTGGAGTTTGGGACATAGAGTGGCTGGATGGGCAGGTAGGGTAGAAGCCTGGCATTTGTGTCCACACTTGGTGGGGCTGTCTCTCACTCAGGCGGGGAGACAACCCCTTCCCCAAGAATGCTGATGGGACTATATGCTACGACTCCACCCACTACAAGGAGACTTGGAAGGCTCTGGAGGCACTGGTGGCTAAGGGGCTGGTGCAGGCGCTGGGCCTGTCCAACTTCAACAGTCGGCAGATTGATGACATACTCAGTGTGGCCTCCGTGCGTCCAGCTGTCTTGCAGGTAAGGACAGCAAGCAGATGAGTGGTTTAGGGGTTGTCTGCTCAAGAGCATGAGGGAGCAGACGATGGATCTGCTTAAGGGAGATAGCTAGCAAGTTGTCAGAGTGTTGGTGCAGAAGTCCTCTGCATAAAGGTGGGCATTGAAGCAGTGGGAGAGAATGAAATTGCCGATGGGAAATGGTGAGAAAAGCAGGCTGAAGGGGAGTGGAGGAGTCAGCAATAGGGGGTGGTCCAGACATGCATGTCTGGGATGGGCCAAGCAAGCTGGGTGTCACCACTTCATGGTGATGGGTTATTCTTTGGCTCAGGTGGAATGCCACCCATACTTGGCTCAAAATGAGCTAATTGCCCACTGCCAAGCACGTGGCCTGGAGGTAACTGCTTATAGCCCTTTGGGCTCCTCTGATCGTGCATGGCGTGATCCTGATGAGCCTGTCCTGCTGGAGGAACCAGTAGTCCTGGCATTGGCTGAAAAGTATGGCCGATCTCCAGCTCAGATCTTGCTCAGGTATGGGGCAGTCTTAGGGAGAGGGCCCTGGGTTGGGAGGCAAGGGTTAAGGGATTTCTTATTTCAGTGTCTGGGTGAGGCTGAGGATCTTGCCTTGTGATCTGGAGGGAGGCCACTGTAGGCATATTTCCCATTTCAGCAGGGCTCAGGTGCTCCAGGAGCTTAGGGAAGCTGCATGGGGAACAAAATAGTGCTTATGAATACTGACCCCTTTTCCTCATCTGTCTAATCCCCCAACTTAGGTGGCAGGTCCAGCGGAAAGTGATCTGCATCCCCAAAAGTATCACTCCTTCTCGAATCCTTCAGAACATCAAGGTACTTGGTAATGGGTTCTATCTTCTTTAGCTCTTTGGGACATTTTCTTGGCCCTGACTCTACCTGGCTAAAAAGGCAGTGTTGTGGAACCCCAGCTTCTGCTCACAAAGCTGGCTTTCTTGAACCCCACTCTCCATCCTCAGGTGTTTGACTTCACCTTTAGCCCAGAAGAGATGAAGCAGCTAAATGCCCTGAACAAAAATTGGAGATATATTGTGCCTATGCTTACGGTGAGGATGTATCAGCCTCCTAGACTTGGGGAATGTGAGATTTGGGGTGGGATTCTGGCCCAGGTGTGACCTAAGGCTTGCTGGTTGTGAGAAGGACACAATGTTGTGGGTGGGATTGCTATGCTGGACATAGTGCCCTCATTTCTCTTTATTGAGCTCAGGGAAGTAGTATGGCTCAGGGATAAGGCATATAACCTGTGAGTCCCAGTCCTGCTTCTTGATATCTTGTAACCTAGAGCAAGTTATTAAACTTCTCCAAGCCTCAGCTTCCTATGTGTAAAATGAGCCCAGTTCCTGACATGTAGTAGATTCTCAGTAAATGATATGAGGAGAGCCCAGAAGGCGTTGTTGACCTCACTCGAGGGATTGGGGTTGGGAGGGAAGTCGGCTGTACTTAGGGAAATAAATGGTTCCTGGCCTCTTGATCTCAGTTCAGACTGCAAACTCTTAGGGGCAGGGGTAGCTACATATCAGGCTATGGGTTTGGTGCTAGAATGGTGTTGATACTGTGGTGTTCTCTGAGGATGGGGATCCCAGCCAATGCCATCTGGCATAGTGCTGTACACAGGTGAGTTTGTTTAGGAAGATTTGGGGAAGATGCCTGGAGTCTTTGGAATGGCAACTCCTGCTGATGGAGTAATCTATCTGTCTCTCTTTCCAGGTGGATGGGAAGAGAGTCCCAAGGGATGCAGGGCATCCTCTGTACCCCTTTAATGACCCGTACTGAGACCACAGCTTCTTGGCCTCCCTTCCAGCTCTGCAGCTAATGAGGTCCTGCCACAACGGAAAGAGGGAGTTAATAAAGCCATTGGAGCATCCATATTGCTTGCTTGTCTTATTTGCCTGGTCAGGCCTGAGATGGAGGCTGTTTCCCTCAGGGATGACAGACCTCGGGCTGCTGGATGTGACCTGCCCTTGAAGCCCAAATATTCATATCCTGGTTCTGGAGGAACCTGTGAGGAGGCTGAGTAATTCTGTATCCTTGCATTAGGCACGTTGGGAAGTAGCGCCATCTACTGGCACATCTTAAGCACTGCATGCTTCCCTGGAGTCTTCTCAAGAATGCCTCAAATTGGCCACCTCAGGAGTGAGCGATCAGGGCAATGATTGTCCGTTGGTTTCAAGGCAGTGCTGGACCTGGGCCTTAAGTTTCCATCCCCCTGTCCTGACCAGTGCCTAGGTTTAGTAATTTGAAGAGTCCAAGCGACTTACATTAAGAAGTTAGGGAATCCTAGCTTGCAAAATCACAAAAGGTGGGGACAGGGGCTTTCTCCATCAGACACTATAGTCAGTGTGCATAGGTGACCTGCAGGAGGCAACAGTCCTGCCCAGACCTTGTCACTCGGCCCCTAAGGCCCTATCTTATGCACTTTTTATTGGTGGGCACCAGAGACCACTGATAAACAGGTTTTAGGAAGGTTTATGGCAAATCTCTCTAACCTCCAGTCACACGAAACTCTTTACTTTCCCAAACCATTGCTCTTTGTTCAAGAAGTATTTATTGGGTACTTATGGGTTAGGCATGATGCTAAGCCCTGGGGATATAGCTATAACCAAGACACATAAGTCCCTACAGCCTACTTGAGGAGACAGACTAAGTAATTGCATAATTAGTTTAATTACAGTCGGAAGAAGTGTTATGAGAAGTGCAGGGCGAGTAGCCTACTTATTTAATCAGCTAAGATCTGAAAGATGAATAGGGATTAATTAGTTAAAGGAGGTAAGAGTGGGAACAGCATTCCATACAAATTGGACAGCTTAGGGAAAAGTCTTGAAACTGGAAGACGCTGCTGGAAAAGCCTAAAGAAGACTTGTAGGACAGCAACTAAAAGTAAGGGGGACCTGGTGGTAGAGGCGATGGCATAAAACAATGCTGGCATTGGTAGGAACTGATGATTGGAAGGCCTAAAAGACTGTTGAGATTTCTATTATTTATTTTTTGAATTGAGGTCTCTGTCACCGAGGCTGTAGTATACAAAAATTTTAAATTTTTATAGAGATTAGGTCTCCTTATGTTGCCCAGGCTGTTTTTTGTTTGTTTGTTTTGTGATGGAGTCTTGCTCTGTCACCCAGGCTGGAGTGCAGTGGCGCCATCTCGGCTCACTGCAACCTCCGCCTCCTTGGTTCAAGCGATTCTCCTGCCTCAGCCTCCTGAGTAGCTGGGATTACAAGTCCCCGCCATGACACCTGGCTAATTTTTTGTATTTTTGGTAGGGATGGGGTTTCCCCGTGTTGGCCAGGCTGGTCTTGAACTCCTGACCTCAAGTGATCTGCCCGCCTCAGCCTCCCAAAGTACTGGGATTATAGGCGTCAGCCCTCCCAGGCTGATTTTGAACTCCTAGGTTCAAGACTCCTAAATTCTTGGCCTCCCAAAGTGTTGGGATTACACGTGTGAGCCACTACACCCAGCCGCTTCCAAATCTTTGTGAACAGTGCTGCAACAAACATGGAAGTGCAGATCTCTCTGATACACTCATTTCCTTTCTTTTGGGTATATACTCAGCAGTGAGATTGCTGGATCATATCGTAGCTCTATTTTTAGTTTTTTGAGAAACCTCTAAAATGTTCTCCATAGTGGTTGCACTAATTTACATTCCCACCAACAGTGTTTGAGGGTTCTCTTTTCTCCACATCCTCTCCAGCATTTGTTATTGCCTGTCTTTTGGATAAAAGCCGTTTGAACTGGGGTGAGATGATATCTCATTGTAGCTTTAACTTGCATTTTTCTGATGATCCGTGATGTTGAGCACCTTTTCATATGCCTGTTTTCCATTTGTATGTCTTCTTTTGAGAAATGTCTATTCAAATGTTTTGTGTATTTTCACTGGATTATATTTTTTCCCATAGAGTTGTTTGACTTCCTTATATACTCTGGTTATTAATCCTTTGTCAGAGAGATAGTTTGCAAATATTTTCTCCCATTCTGTGGGTTATCTCTTCACTTTAATGATTGTTTCCTTTGCTGTACAGAAGCTTTTTAACTAGATGTGATCCCATTTGTCCATTTTTACTTTGGTTGCCTGTGCTTGTGGGGTATTACTCAAGAAATTTTTACACAGATCAATGTCCTGGAGAGTTTCTCCGGTGTTTTCTTGCAGTTGTTTCATATTTCGAGGTCTTAGATTTAAGTCTTTAATTCATTTTGATTTAATTTTTGTATATGGTGAGAGATAGGGGTCTAGTTTCATTCTTCTGCATATGGATATCCTGTTTTCCCAGCACCATTTATTGAAGAGACTGTCTTTTCCCCAGTATGTGTTCTTGGCACGTTTGTTGACAATGAGTTCACTGCAGGTGTGTGGATTTGTTTCTGAGTCCTCTATTCTGTTCCATTGGTCTATATGTCTGTTTTTATGCCAGTACCATGCTGTTTTGGTTACTATAGCTCTGTAACAAAATTTGAAGTAAGATAATGTGATTCCTTCAGTTTTGTTCTTTTTGCTTAGTATAGCTTTGGCTATTCTGGGTCTTTTGTGGTTCCATATAAATTTTATGATTGTCTTTTCCATTTCTGTAAAGAATGTCATTGATATTTTGATAGTGATTGCATTGAATCTGTAGATTGCTTTCAGTAGTATGGACATTTTAACAATATTGATTCTTCCAATTCATGAACATGGAATATCTTTCCATTTTTTTGTGTCCTCTTCAATTTATTTTGTCAGTGTTTTATAGTTTTCATTATAGAGATTTTTTCTTTGGTTAAGCTCATTCCTAGATATTTGGTTTTATTTGTAGCTGTTGTAAATGGGATTACTTTATTTCGTTTCCAGACTGTTCAGAAATTAGTCTTGACTTAAACATCTCACCCTGCCTAACATTAACATTCTCTATAGCAAATGTCTATTTTGTTGTTGTTAACAACTTACCTGAAAAATTAGCAACAGACATCTTTGTCTAATCACTGTGGTTGTAGGAAAATCCAGGTTCTTGTCACATGAACAGGAAAGATTAGGCTCGCAGAAACTTTGAGGGGTGAGGGGGATGGAATTTATTGGGGAAAAAGGAAAAACAACACAGCAAAGCAAGAGAGGGGTTCCTGTTAACAGGCCCTCATCTCACAGATTGAATCCCAGGTTCCACACAGGAACAGGAGGGGCCAGGCTCCTCCCCACTGCAAACAGCATGAACTTCCATGGCTCCACCCCATTCTCCCAGTGCGCAGGCCAGTCAGATGTTCTCTGGGAACCCCTTTATACTTGGCTGTCTCATTCCCCCGTCTAAAGAAGTACATCTAACTGCTCTTAGAGTGAGGCTAAGGACAAAGACCAATCTTAACTGCTTCCTGCTGACAGGGGGTGCTGTTTTGGGAAGACGGCAGTCAGATCTCCCTCAGAGGCCTATATTAGGGTCCCCTGCAGAAGGGGCCATTGTCCAAGGCTCTGGTTGCATGTCTGTTTGGAGTTTGATGGCCTGAAGCTGAGAAGAGACAAACTGGGTTATTAGAAAACATGTATCAAACCAAAACAAGGGTAAGGACAGGTGAAAAATCATGAGGCCTTTTACCAGTTTGTATGGGGAGAGGGAGGCCAAAAGCCCAATTGGTAAAAAAAACTTTTACCCTTTTGCTGGCATGTCAGGCTTCTGGGTTCCCTTCCTCTGAGCCCAATTCTAAGTTAGCCAGTTTAAGGTTCGGGAAATTAACTCTTTCTCAATTTGGAGGATTATCTGAGGGGAGAAAAAAAAGGTGTTTTTTCAAAGGAGTCCCAGGAGTTCAAGATGCATTCAAAAGGAGTACAAACTGAAGGTGAATGGCTACTCATCTAGAAAGGGGCAAGCAGGCGCCCCTAGTTCCTTTCTCTTCCTACCAAATACCTGGGGTATGTGAGGGAGGGAAAGTGAGGCATTCCTCTTTCTTTCCACCATCCTTGTATCCCTGAGTCCTGGCGAATGCAACAGCATGCCACCCATGGGTGTTAAAGAGGCTTTTACCCATGTTAACTAGCGGGGCTGGGGGAGGGAATTATTCACTCTACTCACATACGCCTTATCTCCCCTGCTGTAAGTAGCCGTGAATTCCCTAGACTTCATTTACGCCATGGATACTAGCATGACTTTTATCCATGAAACAGAAAGCTTAGCTTAATTGGCAGGAGTCAGCCACGCTCACCTGTGCTGTGCCTTTTAACTTCCATTATCTTCTGCCTCTGGATCCCTCAGATCCAGTCTTCTTTCCTAGGGCTTTGACCCAAAGCTTGGAATTGAGTTTGAGACAAAAATGTGTCTTGGAGGGAGTTGCACGGACTCCTTATCATAAGCCAAATGCTAAAGTGAAGCTGTGGAATTGAGTCCTCCCCCAACAAGGGAAAGAAAAGGTTGTCTTGTGACACACCCAGATAACTGGTGGCTATAGTTATGCTTGCTAGGATTTGGGTGCATGGTGCTTGGCTTTGGTTAGCTCCCTTGGTCTTGCTTTCCCAAAAAGGAAACCCCCAGGTGATGGGCACCCTATTTATTCCCATTGCCTGGCAGGATTTGATGTATAATTGCTCAGAACAAGAATATTGATCCAGATTTCTACATTACCCATCCCTTTTGTTCTTTCTGAGCTGTAGCTGGAGATTGCTGGTTGGTTCACAGGAACAAGCAGGGTTAGTCTAAAATGCAGGCAAAGACTTAAAAACAACTAATTAGTTTAGAATTTAATGACAAATGAAGTCGGGTGCGGTGGCTCACGCCTGTAATCCCAGCACTTTGGGAGGCCAAGGCAGGTGGATCATGAGGTCAAGAGATTGAGACCATCCTAGTCAACATGGTGAAACCCCATCTCTACTAAAAATACAAAAATTAGCTATGGTGGTGTACGCCTGTAGTCCCAGCTACTCAGGAGGCTGAGGCAGGAGGATTGCTTGAACCCTGGAGGAGGAGGTTGCAGTGAGCCAAGATCGCACCACTGCACTCCAGCCTGGCAACAGAGCGAGACTGTCTCAAAAAACAAACAAACAAACAAACAGAATTTAATGACAAATGTATACGTTTTGAAACATAATTTCTTTCTCTGCAGTTCTCATTTATTTTTATTTTTATTTTTCAATTTTTCTTTTGTTACCAGTTCTCATTTCTGTTAAAAAATCATGATAGGACTGAGTTGTTTGCAAAATAGACTTTAGTCTTATACTTGGCCTGATTAGTTGCATAAAGTGCAGCAAGAATAACTATTTCTACATAGGCCTTTTAGATTGGCTTTGATGCAACTCTTTTCCACAAGGACTCTTAGAGAAGACCTTTTAAAGCCGAGCCCAGCCATGGGTCTGTATCCTTAAATACCTGTGAGTTGAGTGCTCCTCTTCTCTTAAGGTCCCAAGATAAACTTGGAACTCTGGGCCAGTTAGAAAGTGACACTCTTGGCTGGGCATGGTGGCTCACACCTGTAATCCCAGCACTTTGGGAGGCCAAGGCAGGCGGATCACGAGGTCAGGAGATCCAGACCATCCTGGCTAACATGGTGAAACCCCATCTCTGCCAAAAATACAAAAAAAAAAAAAATTAGCCGGGTGTGGTGCCACATGCCTGTAGTCCCAGCTACTCAGGAGGCTGAGGCAGGAGAATAGCTTGAACCTGGGAGGCAGAGGCTGCAGTGAGCCAAGATCATGCCACTGCACGCCAGTCTGGGCGACAGAGCAAGACTCTGTCTCAAAAAAAAAAAGGAAAGTGACATTCTTTACTGACCACAGGTCAGGAACCCTGTACAGGGACTGTGTAGGCAAGGGTATGAAGCCAGTTTTCTCCCCAAGGGGATTTTTTTGGCTCTGCAACTCGAGCTTGACTGCTTAAAGGGAAGCATACCCTTGCACTCAAAGCCTTGGTAAAACAACCAGTTTCTCCAGTTGCATCCTGTTGCAAAAGAAAATGGATTCTTACTGCACTGATGCAAACAACTATATTACCACAAGTTAAAAATACTCACAGAGGCTGGGTGCAGTGGCTCATGCCTGTAATTCCAGCACTTTGGGAGGCCGAGGTGGGCAGATCACCTGAGGTCAGGAGTTCAAGATCAGCCTGGCCAACATGGTGAAACGCCATCTCTACTAAAAATACAAAAATTAGCCAGGCGTGGTGGCAGGCACCTGTAATCCCAGCTACTTGGGAGGATGAGGCAGGAGAATTGCTTGAACCCGGGAGGTGGAGGTTGCAGCGAGCTGAGATCATGCCATTGCACTCCAGCCTGTGTTGTGGGAAGTCAGGAACCCCGAATGGAGGGACCGGCTGAAGCCACGGCAGAAGAACATAAATTGTGAAGATTTCATGGACATTTATTAGTTCCCCAAATTAATACTTTTATAATTTCTTATGCCTGTCTTTACTTCAATCTCTGAACATAAATTGTGAAGATTTCATGGACACTTTTCACTTCCCCAATCAATACCCTTGTGATTTCCTATGCCTGTCTTTAATCTCTTAATTCCGTCATCTTCGTAAGCTGAGAAGGATGTATGTTGCCTCAGGACCCTGTGATGATTGCGTTAACTGCACAAATTGTTTGTAGAGCACGTGTGTTTGAACAATATGAAATCTGGGCACCTCCGAAAAAAGAACAGGATAACAGCAATGTTCAGGGAACAAGAGAGATAACCTTAAACTCTGACTGCCAGTGAGCTGGGCAGAACAGAGCCACATTTCTCTTCTTTCAAAAGCAAATGGGAGAAATATCACTGAATTCTTTTTCTCAGCAAGGAACATCCCTGAGAAAGAGAATGCGTCCCTGAGGGTAGGCCTCTGAAATGGCCACTTTGGGGGGCAGCTGTCTTTTTTGGTCGAAGCTGTAGGGATGAAATAAGCCCCAGTCTCCCGTAGCGCTCCCAGGCTTATTAGGACAAGGAAATTCCCACCTAATAAATTTTGGTCAGATCGGTTGTCTGCTCTCAAACCCTGTCTCCTGATAAGATGTTATCAATGACAATGTGTGCCAAAACTTCATTAGCAATTTTAATTTTGCCCTGGTCCTGTGGTCCTGTGATCTCGTCCTGCCTCCATTTGCCTTGTGATATTCTATTACCTTGTGAAGCACGTGATCTCTGTGACCCACACCCTATTCGTACACTCCCTCCCCTTTTGAAAATCACTAATAAAAACTTGCTGGTTTTACGGCTTGGGGGGCATCACGGAACCTGCCGACATGTGATGTCTCCCCCGAACACCCAGCTTTAAAATTTCTCTCTTTTGTACTCTTTCCCTTTATTTCTCAGACTGGCCGACACTTAGGGAAAATAGAAAAGAACTTACATGACTATCGGGGGCAGGTTCCCCCGATAAGCCTGGGGGACAAGAATGAGACTTCATCTCAAAAAACAAACAAACAAACACAAAAGCAAAAAAGAATACTCACAGATAGTTTCCAAATTCTAGAGGAACAAGGCAGAGAGAAACAAAAAACATGCTCCAGGCCGGGCGCGGTGGCTCACGCCTGTAATCCCAGCACTTTGGGAGGCCGAGGCGGGCGGATCACGAGGTCAGGAGATTGAGACCATCCCGGCTAAAACGGTGAAACCCCGTCTCTACTAAAAATACAAAAAATTAGCCGGGCGTAGTGGCGGGCGCCTGTAGTCCCAGCTACTTGGGAGGCTGAGGCAGGAGAATGGCGTGAACCCGGGAGGCGGAGCTTGCAGTGAGCCGAGATCCCGCCACTGCACTCCAGCCTGGGCGACAGAGCGAGACTTCGTCTCAAAAACAAAACAAAACAAAACAAAACAAAAAAAAAACATGCTCCAGATTTTGTTCAGAAGAGTATACCTTACTCCTCATGCCTGTAATCCCAGCACTTTGGGAGGCCGAGGCTGGCGGATCACAAGGTCAGGAGATTGAGACCATCCTGGCTAACACAGTGAAACCCCGTCTCTACTGAAAATACAAAAAAAATAGCCAGGCCTGGTGGCGGGTGCCTGTAGTCCCAGCTACTCGGGAGGCTGAGGCAGGAGAACAGTGTGAACCTGGGAGGCGGAGCTTGCAGTGAGCTGAGATTGTGCCACTGCACTCCAGCCTGGGAGACAGAGCGAGACTCCATCTCAAAAAAAAAAAAAAAAAGAGGATACCTTACTCAATTTATTAAAGGACATAAATAGCTCAAAGTAAGTTTCCTTGACTCTGAAAAACAAAATAAGGATCAGCAATATTCCAAGCAAAAGTTAAAAAGTTTGCTTCAGTTTCTTGAGTACATTCAGTTAACTCTTGTTTTACTTGATATTTGTGAACATTTTAGCTCTTCATGAGTCCTGTACGTTTTTCCTTTATTCCAATGTCACAATCTCCAAAGTTATCAGAAACCTGTATTTGAGAGCACCTGTCAAAGTTCTATAGCTTATTATAAACCTTGTTTTGAAAAGGATTAAAACGAAACAACAATTGTCTGTGAATAACAAAATGTTCAGTGTAGTTACAGTTAGAAGCACAATTGACAAAGAAGTTTGATTATCTCCGTGGTTTACAAAAACTTAACAACCTTAATTATGATTGATAGCATATACTCAGACATTAGAATTTTAGAAATTCCATACAATTTTGGAACATGTATTATTCACCAAAATGTAACCTAAAGAAGATTGAACACAGTATCAAGTACCTAAATGTTTCAAATAATCCTGTTTAGCTCTCTTTTCTGGACACTCTAGGGGCCCTTCTGAAGTATTCGAAAAGCCAGGTGTCAGGAAAGACAATTTTGAAACTGAAGTTTTATTTTGGAAAGCCTGTTAAATATGTTAGAGGTTTGAAACACTTAAAATAGAATTCCAGATTACAATAAATTATTTATTTTGCCAAAATAATGACTCAGAAACATAAAAAGAAAAAAAAAAAACCTTTTATAAGCCTTTACAAATTTTGCCAAAGAGCAGATTAGTGCCTTAAGAGTACCTTATTGTGCTTTTATTTCAATGTTCAATTTACAGAAAAATCATACAATACACTTTTGAATTTAGTCAATATGTTCACACAGATAATTTCTTTGCAAGATTAATTTTTTTTTTTTTGAGATGGAGATGGAGTCTCACTCTATCACCCAGGCTAGAGTGCAGTGGCATGATTCCAGCTCACTGCAACCTCTGTCTCACGGTTCAAGCAATTCTTGTGTCTCAGAGTCCCGAGTAGCTGGGACTACAGGTGCCTGCCACAATGCCAAGCTAATTTTTGTATTTTTAGTAGAGACCAAAAAGCAGTTTATAACCATAAAACATTTAGCCAACCTGGTATCTGACCTGCATAATTTAGTCCAACTATTTTTTTTTTTTTTAAGACAAAGTTTTGCTTTGTTGCCCAGGATGCAGTGCAGTGGCACGATCTCGACTCACTGCAACCTCTGCCTCCTGGATTCAAGCAATTCTCCTGCCTCAGCCTCCTAAGTAGCTGGGACTACAGGAGCACGCCACCATGCCCAGCTAATTTTTTGTATTTTAGTAGAGATGGGGTTTCACCCTGATGCCCAGGCTGGTCTTGAACTCCTGAGCTCAGGCAATCCGCTCACCTCAGCCTCCCAAAGTGCTGGGATTACAGGCGTGAGCCACTGCACTCGGCCCAGTCCACTTATTTATATTTTGATGACATTGGCTTTTTACCAATAATCTTTAAGGCTGTTTTCATTTCTCAAAGATTAAAGTCAGGTGAACTGAAAAGTATCACAGGTTTTATCTTTCCTTTTATTTTTTTTGAGATGGAGTTTCGCTCTTGTTATCCAGGCTTGAGTGCAATGGCACAATCTCAGCTCACCGCAACCTCCACCTCCCAGGTTCAACTGAGTCTCCTGCCTCAGCTTCCCAAGTAGCTGGGATTACAGGCATGGGCCACCAAGCCTGGCTAATTTTGTATTTTTAGTAGAGATGGGGTATGTCCATGTTGGTCAGGCTGGTCTCGAACTCCTGACTTCAGGTGATCCGCCCGCCTTGGCTTCCCAAAGTGCTGGGATTACAGGCGTGAGCCACCACACCCAGCCTATCTTCCCTTTAATAAATATTTGATCCAAGTGCTTATCTTCCTTTAGGCCAATTAATTAGAGCTATTTCTATAGACGTCACACACAACACGTATATAACTCCACGGACAGGCAGAAGAAAACCCAGCCCCCACAAGATCCTTCATTTGCCAATCTCCTATTTGGACCATTGGCCTTTGAGGACTTTTAATTCCTGGGGTTACATGAGGAAAACAGGCCGGGCATGGTGGCTTATGCCTGTAATCCTAGCACTTTGGGAGGCCAAGGTGGGTGGATCAGCTGAGGTCGGGAGTTCAAGACCAGCCTGGCCAACGTGGTGAAACCCCATCTCTACGAAAACTACAAAAATTAGCTGTGCACGGTGGTGCTCGCCTGTAATGCTAGCTACTCAGGAGGCTGAGGCAGGATAATCACTTGAACCCAGGAGGTGGAGATTGCAGTGAGCTGAGATCATGACAGCACACTCCAGCCTGGGCGACAGAGTGAGACTCTGTCTCAAAAAAAATTTAAAAAGTACATGGATTTAAAATATACTTATTTTTTAAAATTTTTATTTTTTGTTTTTTTGAGATGGAATCTCACTCTGTTGCCCAGGCTGGAGTGCAGTGGTGCAATCTCGACTCACTGCAACCTCCGCCTCCTAGGTTCAAGCGATTCTCCTGCCTTAGCCTCCTGAGTAGCTAGGATTATAGGCGCCCACCACCATGCCCGGCTAATTTTTGTACTTTTAGTAGAGACGGGGTTTCACCATGTTGGCCAGGCTGGTCTCAAACTCCTGACCTCAGGTGATCTGCCTGCCTCGGCCTCTCAAAGTGCTGGGATTACAGGCGTGAGCCACCCTGCCTGGCCTTATTTTTATTTATTTATTATTTATTTATTTTTGAGACAGAGTCTCACTCTGTCACCCAGGCTGGAGTACAGTGGTGCGATCTCAGCTCACTGCAACCTCCACCTCCTGGGTTTAAGTGATTCTCCTGCCTCAGCCTCCTGAGTAGCTGGGACTACAGGCCCCCACCACCATGTCCGGCTAATTTTTGAATTTTTAGTAGAGATGGGTTTTTACCATGTTGGCTAGGATGGTCTTGATCTCCTGACCGTGTGATGCACCCGCCTTGGCCTCCCAAAGTGTTGGGATTACAGGCGTGAGCCACTGTGCCCAGCTATTCATTTTATTTTATTTATTTATTTTTTGAGATGAAGTCTCGCTCTGTTGCCAGGCTGGAGTGCAGTTGCACGATGTCGGCTCACTGCAAACTGCCTCCCAGGTTCAAGCGATTCTCCTGCCTCAGCCTCCCGAAGTAGCTGAGATTTCAGGCGCCTGCCACCACGCCTGCCTAATTTTTGTATTTTTAGTAGAGATGGGGTTTCACCAGGGGATCCAGGCTGGTCTCAAACTCCTGACCTCAGGTGATCTGCCCGCCTCGGCCTCCCAAAGTGCTGGGATTACAGGAGTGAGCCACCGCGCCCGGCCTGCATCCAGCTATTTATTTTTTTTTGAGATGGAGACTCACCATCGCCCAGGCTGGAGTGTAGTAGTGCAATCTCAGCTCACTGCAACCTCCAACTCCTGGGTTCAAGTGGGTCTCTTGCCTCAGCCTCCCAAGTAGCTGGGATTACAGGAGCCTGCCACCACTCCCGGCTAATTTTTGTATTTTTAGTAGAGATGGTGTTTCACTATGTTCGCTAAGCTGGTCTCGAACTCCTGACTTCAAGTGATCCGCCTGCCTCAGCCTCCCAAAGTGCTGGGATAACAGGCACCTGCTACCACGCCCAGCCTAAAATATATTTTAAAATATATTTCTCTGAGTTCCTCAAGGTAGAGTCCATGTCTTTTGTCCCCAGAACCTAGTACAAAGTCTTGTACCTCAAAGTTGCTCAGTGAATATTAATTTAATGGATGAATCGGTCACACCAGTAATTGCAGAGGTTTTCTCAGGCCCTAGCCCTGGCTGCAAGGACTTTGGAGAGATCTCCCCTCCCAACACCCTCCATTTACCACATCATCAGACTGTGGTAGCCATTCAATGAGTGCTTAGCGTGAATTCTACACAGTGCTAATTACCTGTAATTCTCACAATGTCCTTAAGCGGTGGCTACTAATATGTCTTCATTTTACACTTAACCTTAATCCCAGCTACTCGATTACAATCCGGGTTACGTGACCTGGCTCACGTCACCTAGCTAATAATGGAAGAGCCCATGTATGTTTGCCATAGGAATTGGCATTTTCACGTCCAGCTCTCTAGCCCCAAAGATTTCAACCTCTTCGAGCCTTGACAGATTGGAATAAGAATCCTCTCCAGGAATCTTTCCCAATATGCTGGAACCTAAAGGGAAATAAAAACCCCTACTCCGATCAGCGTAGACTGGGCCATGGTGAAAAGGAATGGATGATACTCCAGGTGTGAGGAATTGCAGCTTTTTAGCCTGCCAGTTATTTTTCACTCAGCCATTTGCAGGAAATGAGGCACACTGCTTTCCATAACTGATTTGTCTTGCAACTTTCTGAACAAGTCACAGCTTCCCCTTTTTTTTTTTTTTGAGACGGAGTCTCGCTCTGTTGCCCAGGCTGCAGTGCAGTGGCGAGATCTCGGCTCACTGCAACCTTTGCCTCCCGGGTTCAAGTGATTCTCCTGCCTTAGCCTCCCGAGTAGCTGGGATTACAGGAGCCTGCCACCACACCTGGCTAATTTTCGTATTTTTAGTAGAGACGGGGTTTCACCATGTTGGCCAGGTTGGAACCTTGGCCTATTTATTTATTTATTTTTGAGACGGAGTTTCGCTCTGTTGCCCAGGCTGGAGTGCAGTGGCGAGCTCTCGGCTCACTGCAACCTCTGCCTTCCGGGTTCTAGTATTCTCCTACCTCAGCCTCCCGAGTAGCTGGGATTACAGGCGCCCGCCACCACGCCCGGCTAATTTTTGTATTTTTTAGTAGAGACGGGGGGGTCTCACCATCTTGGCCAGGCTGGTCTTGAACTCCTGACCTCGTGATCCACCAGCCTAGGCCTCCCAAAGTGCTGGGATTACAGGCGTGAGCCACCGCGTCCGGCCCCTTGGTTTATTTTTCTAAGAAACAGACTAACACTGATCTCACTAGTAGCATTGTTAATATTAAACAAGATAGCTAATAGCTTTAAAGCGTCTAATCACGGTACCCCCACGAGTAGTAGTCACACAGCAAATCATAGGCAGGAGTGGACAAACAGCGCTGGGAGCATTAATTCTGGTAGATTTGGAGTCTGGGCAGGGCCTAAGAGGATGGGATCAGCGGATTGGGCCAGCCAAAGGGGGCGGGTTCAGAGGGAGGAGCCAGCTGCCTCCCGCTGCAAGCCCCGAGCTTTGAATCAAGCGCGGTAGTTTCAGCTGTAGCCAATCCTAGAACAAAATCTTTTTGCGTCAGTTGTTGCTGAGGCCTAGATCTCACCCAGATCAGTTCTAGTCGCTGCTGCTTGTACCCGTCCTCGGCCCTTGCGTGTCCGTCCGTTACGACTCAGAGGACGGAGAGAAAGTCTAAGTCACCTTCCTCAGTATCCAGGCCGGAAGGAGACTCTCAGCTACTCGCCCTGAACATGCAGAGCAGCACTGGCTTCCCTGTCTCTGGATGCCGCAGGGGCGTCCTGTCAGGAGTTGTAGTGTCAAGATTCCAGTTCTTCTTATGCGACTTGCTGGAGAAGCAGGAAGTTGCTGTTTATTGGAGAAGTCGGGCTAGGGAGGGAAACAATCCCGCGGAGCCATATGGAGAGGGCAGGAGGTGTCTAGATAGTGGTAGGCCGGCGGGGGACGGAGGGTATGGGTGGTGAGTCCTGGCCCTTTAAACCCGAGGGGGAGGATCCGGAAGTGGATGGGCGGGGCGAAGGGTCCTCGTATATAAAAGGGCCCCGGCCGCGCGGGGTCTCTAATCTGCCATTTTCTGTCCCTGAGTGAGTCTCTGGCGTCCCAAATTGCCTGTTTTTCTCGCAGGCTCTATTCCGTTCGCTGGTTCGCCACCTCAGGGGAACGATGGCCATGGAGTCCACAGCCACTGCCGCCGTCGCCGCGGAGCTGGTTTCTGCCGACAAGTAAGCGGGACTGTGGAAAGCTTAAGGCACTGGCCAGTCCGCGGGGAGGGCTAATGGACGGGGGCTCCGGAGAAGGGGCAGACCGGTGGGCGGGAGTACTTGCCTTCCCAAGAGCAGCTGTCGCTGTTCGGGAAGGCCTGGTCACTGGAGCAGTCCTTCTTTTGCTGAGAGCCTCGCGCAGCAGCGGTAACGGCGGTCGGCTGGCGCCCCCTGCCCCGCTTTTCGCGGCCGCCATCTTGCCGGGGGCAGCGGCGGCTGTATCCTTCGCCTGCCCCTCTCCTTCCTCCCCCAGCCCGGGGCGGTTGGCCGGGAGGCGGGGCCCTGGCGCGCGGGTTGGCCTTCACGCCCCTTCTGTCCCCAGCGTGTGCCTCTGGTAGAACCCCTGGATAACCCGGGAATATAACCAACGAAGATTTGGCGCCAAAAGGGAAAAAAAACCTTGCACGAGGAAGGAGGCTGGACCTGAGGGGTCGGGGTGGGCGGGGCCTTGCTGAGGGCGGGGTTTTGCGCGCGTGCGTTCGCTTCCCTCGCCGGCCCTGGGGCAGGGGGCGGGGCCTTGAGGAGGCGGGAAAACTCCATTGTTTGGGGCCGCTGCGGCTCCAGCAGGAGCTTTGGACTATCTCCGTGGGGCCGGCGAGGCTAGTTCCCCCCGACACCTCGCTCACGTCTTGTGCTGGGAGATAGTTATCGCTCCCCGCGACTCCGTGAGCCCCTGCCTGTGGTGGGGAGGATTGTCGTTCTTTAGACTTTGGAGGTGGTGTCTGTTTGGGGGGAACATTACCGGACGTAAAGCGTCTTCAGGAAGCGCTGTCTGGAGCTCTCACCAGCACTGTTTGGTTGCTAGGTGAATCGGCAGTAGTATGCACGAAGTGGAGAAGGACTGGAGGGAAACAAGATAGGATTGTTTTGAAAGCGGCACAGTGCCACTCAGGCGTAATCTGTTTTTTGAACAGTGGAGGGAAACACTACACGAGTTCAAGGAAACAAGTGCTGTTTCCCATACAGTAGGTCTGATTTCCCAATCTTGCCATATTTTTTTAGGCATCTGGTTCTATTTTTTTTTCTAATCTTGTGCGCTTTAGAGGTTAGTTGCCTTCCCTGTAAAAGGAATGGTTGCTGTGAAGTTTTTTAAATTGATATTCTATAGGCTTACACTCTGTCATGATTATGTCTTTGTTTGTTTATAGTTAGAGATTTACGTATATCTCTGCTTACCACCTTTTCTCTCTGCGTTCTTGTAGAGCAGTGGTTCTCAAGTCACCCTGAGAATCATTTGGGAACTCATGGGAAATACAATTTTAATTTCAAACTCCCATTACCTGCCTCTTTCCCCATTGATTCGATATAAGCAGTATAGATTGGGCTTGGGAGTCGTGCTATAGCTATTATAAAAAGAGCTGCTTTTTATAATGTTTCCTAGACAGCTCTAGCAGTCAGTATTTCACTGACAGCTGTGTGTTTTTGTTTTGTTTTTGCAGACAGGGTCTGGATCTCACATCCAGACTGGAGTGTAGTGTTGTGATCATAGCTCACTGCAACCTCGAACTCCTGGGCACAACTGATCTTCCCTAGTAGCTTGGGACTACAGGTGTGCCACTACACCTGGCCAATTTTTTGTAGATACAAGGTCTTAATGTTGCCCAGGTTGGTCTCAGACTCTTGGACTCAAGCAGTCCTCCCGCCTTGGCCTCCCAAAGTGTTGAGGTTACAGGCGTGAGGCACGGCGCAGGGCCAGGTGTTTTTGTTTTTGTTTTTTGAGGTAGAAGTATGCAACAAATACCTCTTGCAGGTCCCCTGTGTCTAGCCAGAGTTAGGTCATTAGTGAATTTAGTTTCCTGGCAGGTTATACATAGAGAAAGTTTATGTATATGTGGCTAGAAGAAAGCAAACCATTTAGTTCCTCACAGCATAAATTGAAAGCTAAAACTGAGCAATTATATGTGCTGGGTGTGTGGGGGTGGGGGGGCAGGGTCTCTGTCACCCAGGTTGGAGTGCAGTGATGCCATCTCGGCCCCCTGCAGCCCCTACCGTGCCGTGTGTGTGTGTGTGTGTGTGTGTGTGTGTGTGTGTGTGTGTGTGGTGTGTGTGTGTGTGTGTGTGTGTGGTGTGTGTGTGTGTCACCCAGGCTGGAGTGCAGTGATGCCATCTCGGCCCACAGCAGCCCCTACCTCCTGGCCTCAAGTGATTGTCCGGCCTCAGCCTCCCGAGTAGCTGGGACTGCAGGCGCACACCACAAGGCCCAGCTGATTCTAGTATTTATTTTGTAAAGACGAGTTTTTGCCATGTTGCCCAGGCTGGTCTCCCAACGCCTAGGCTCAAGGGATCCACCCACGTGGGCCTCTCAAAGTGCTGAGATTACCGGCGTGAGCCACCAAGCCTGGCTAGTATTTTCATTTTCATTTTCATTCTTCGTTTCCCCATCTAATTAGTGTGAGAGAACATGAAAGCAGTGTGTCTCAGTTAAGTAAGTTAGTGGGGACACTTAGAGGTAAAGTTTATAAGGTCCTCATGTTTAAGGGTAGGATAAAGAAAATGACTTGAATTTAGACTTTAGGTAAGAATGTACATTATAATTCGAGGATGACCATTGAAAGAATAAATATAACTTCCAAACCAGTAGAAAGAAAAAAAATGGAATGAGAAATAAACCTCAGTTCAGGTTTTTTAAATTTAGGAGATGAGGATCTTACTATGTTGCCCAGGCTGGATTCCCAACTCCTAGTCTCAAGCAATCCTTCCATCTCAGCCTTCTGGGTAGCTGGGACTACAGGCATGCATCACCTCGCCTGGCTTAGAATTGGCTTTGATAGCAGCTTCATTGCTTCAGTAGTGATATTGGACCACAGTTTTGTCGTCTGCAAAAAGTCTTAGGTTGGCTTTTGTCCCCTCGTGCCATTAAAGCAGTATTGTTTAAGGTGATGTATATCTACATGCTAAATTAATCCTGTCATTCTTAGCTTTCTAACTAGTTCTTAGTTGGTTTTTTTTTGTTGTTTTTTTTTTGAGAGGGAGTTTTGTCACCCAGGCTGGAGTGCAGTGGCACAATCTCTGCTCACTGCAACCTCCGCCCTCCCGGATTCAAGCAAGTCTCTTGCCTCAGCCTCCCAAGTAGCTGGGACTGCAGGTGTGTACCACCACACCTGGCTAATTTTTTGGGGTTTTGCCATGTTGGCCAGGGTGATCTCGAACTCCTGACCTCAGGTGATCAGCCGGTCTCGGCGTGAGCCACCGTGCCCGGCTGCAGTTATGATTTAATACTGCATCTTTGTTCATTTACATATCTCAACTGTGGATGGTGCCGTGTATGGTCTGTGTGTTTTGATGAATTTTAACTTTTTATAATTTGTATTTTATGGTAGTGAAGAAGACTAGTACCTACATATCTTTTATGCATTGATTACATACATTTTGTTAATTCAACATTTCTAGGCTATGAGGTTTGTCTTGAGTTTTTTCATATATATATATATATATATATATATAATTAATTTTTTGGAGAGAGAGTCTTGTTGTCTTGCCCAAGCTGGAGTGTAGTGGCCAGATCTTGGCTTACTGCAACTTCTGCCTCCCCTGTGCAAGCGATTCTTGTGCATCAGCCTCCCAAGTAGCTGAGACTACAGTTTACAAAAATTAGCCGAGCATGGGTAGCAGGGTCCTGTAATCGCTTGAAACCGGGAGGCAGAGGTTGCAGTGAGTCGAGATTGTGCCACTGCACTCTAGCCTCAGAGCAAGACTCCATCTCAAAAAAAAAAGGGCCAGGTGGTGTGGCTCACGTGGTAATCCCAACACTGTGGGAAGCCAACACGGGCATATCACTTGAAGCCAGGAGTTCGAGACCAGCCTGGCTGACATGGCAAAACCCCGTCTCTACTAAAAATACAAAAATCAGCCAGGCGTGGTTGCGCATGACTGTAGTCATTCAGAGTCTAACTCCGTTGCTCAGGCTGGAGTGCACTGGTGCGATCTAGGCTCACCGCAGTCTCCACCTCCAGGGTTCAAGCAATTCTCCTGCCTCAGCCTCCCAAGTAGTTGGGATTACAGGCGCCCGCCACCACACCTGGCTAATTTTTGTATTTTTAGTAGAAATGAGGTTTTACCATGTTGGCCAGGCTGGTCTCGAACTCCTGACCTCAGGTGATCCACTCACCTTGCCTTTCCAAAGTTCTGGGATTATAGGCGTTAGCCACCGTGCCCAGGCTACACTTCTTTTTTTAAAATTAATTTTTTGAACTAGAGAAGGGGTCTCATTTTGCTGCTTAGCCTGGTCTCAAACTCCTAGCCTCAAACAGTCCTTCTGCCTTCCAAAGTGCAGGGATTATAGCTGTGAGCCTAGCCTTGAATTTCTGTTAGCAATGTATGGGAGTACAATTTCTCCTTAACCCTATCTTTGACTATTCGATGGGTAAAACATACTTTCTAAGTATAGTTTTTTTGTTTCTCTTAAGAATGAGCGGCCGGGCGCGGTGGCTCACACCTGTAATCCAGCACTTTGGGAGGCCGAGGTGGGCAGATCACGAGGTCAGGAGATCGAGACCATCCTGGCTAACACGGTGAAACCCCATCTCTACTAAAAATACAAAAAAAAAATGTAGTCCCAGCTACTTGAGAAGCTGACGCAGGAGAATGGCGTGAACCCGGGAGGCGGAGCTTGCAGTGAGCCGAGATCGAGATCGCGCCACTGCACTCCAGCCTGGGCAACAGTGCGAGACTCCGTCTCAAAAACAAAAGAATGAGCAGTAGCAGGTGGTCAAGTGTTTGTTTGTTTGTTTGTTTGTTTGTGAGTGTTTATATTAAATCCATTAATCTATTCCCATTGGGCTTTTTTATCCTGTTGACTAAGATTCTATGTATATTTGCTAAGTTAACCTTTTGTGAAATGAATTAGATGGAGTAGAATCTGTCAATATCCTATGGTTTCTGGTTTGTTTGTTTATTTATTTGAAACAAGGTCTTACTCTCTCACCCAGGCTAGAGTATAGTGGTATGATCATAGCTCACTGCAGCCTCTATCTCCTGGGCTCAAGCAATCTTCCCATATCAGTCTCTGGAGTAGCTGGGACTACAGGCATGTACCACCATGCCCATCTCATTTTATTTTTGGTAGAGATAGGTCTCGCTGTGTTGCCCAGGTTGGTTTTTGAACCCCTGAGCTCAAGCAGTCCACCTACCTAGGCCTCACAAAGTGTTGGGATTACAGGAGAGAGCCACTGCACCCAGTCTGGTTTCTGGGTTTAAAACGGCCTT
Organism: Homo sapiens; assembly: GCF_000001405.40. Classification (NCBI taxonomy): domain Eukaryota; kingdom Metazoa; phylum Chordata; class Mammalia; order Primates; family Hominidae; genus Homo; species Homo sapiens. The sequence goes on from NC_000001.11 coordinate 45,589,450, forward strand.
CTCCAAACAAATTACCAAGTAATTTCCCTATCATTTCCTCTAGTACTTCTCTGGATTCATGCTCATTCTAAAAATTCATAATGAACGTCATAAAACTATGAAGCCATAGCTTCATAGTTGTAAATGTAGTGACTATTAGAATTAACATTTTAAAAAATAACTGGATCAGGCTGGGCGCAGTGGCTCACACCTGTAATCTCAGCACTTTGGGAGGCCCAGGCGGGAGGATCACTTGAGGTCAGGAGCTCGAGACCAGACTGGCTAACATGGTGAAACCCCATCTCTGGTAAAAAACAGAAAAATTAGCCAGGCGTGGTGGTGGGCGCCTGTAATCCCAGCTACTTGGGAGGCTGAGGCAGGAGAATGGCTTGAACCCAGAAGGCAGAGGTTGCAGGGAGCTGAGATGATACCACTGCACTCCAGCCTGGGCAACAGAGAAGGACTGTCTCAAAAACAAAACAAAACTGAATCAGACATACCTATTGCCCAGATAGGACATGAACATCCATTTATAATTTTTATTCTGATCCAGTAGTCCTCAGAGCATGGTTCTAGAAACCAGCAGTGTGTCACCTGGGCAGTTGTTAGAAATGCAGATTCTTCAACCTTACCTCAAACCTTCTGACTCAGAAACTGTAGGGGGTGGAGCTCAAACTGTTATAACCGTTCCTCCAAATGGTTTGCATACAGACTAAAATTTGAGAAACACTGCTTTAATTCATCTTTTTTTCCAACTATACAAGTACTGCCTTAGTTCACCCTCTTTTCTATTTGTCTAGGCTTGTGCTAAGCAAGAATAGAAATAAATTTATCGGCCGGGCGCGGTGGCTCACGCCTGTATTCCCAGCACTTTGGGAGGCCGAGGCAGGTGGATCACGAGGTCAGGAGACGAGACCATCCTGGCTAACACGGTGAAACCCTGTCTCTACTAAAAATACAAAAAAATTAGCCGGGCATGGTGGCCGGTGCACAGGCACCGGCCTGGCACCAGGCCCAGGCTGAGGCAGGAGAATGGCGTGAACCCGGGAGGCGGAGCTTGCAGTGAGCCGGAGATCGTGCCAGGGCACTCCAGCCTGGGCGACAGAGCAAGACTCTGTCTCAAAAAAAAAAAAAAAAAAGAAAAGAAATTTATCACTGATAAATGCTTTACAATGATACTTAATAGTGTTTTTACTGGTTCCTTGCTTTTAATGGTATTCAATTCAGAGTCTTATATTGCAGTCATAGTGTAACTTTTTTTTTTTTTTTTTTTTTGAGACGGAGTCTCGCTGTGATATCTCCCTGACATTGTATTTAAAAAAACCTGTGTGTTATAGAAGGTTATATAGGGAAATAAAAGACCTAGTCCCTTAACCACAGGTAGTTTGAGAGGCTCTGTGCTAGACCATTTGGTCAGAATGACCTCTTAATAAAACTATTCGATATACATGACTGGCTGTGACGGAGTTTGTAGATAAGGATCCAAGACCATTTCAAGATTCTAGGCAAATGGCCCAGATAGCTTACAACCTGTAGCTGAAAGCACTGCCCTTTAAGTTGTTCCTCATCCCTGTGGTTATAGCTGTGAAGTTGCCACTTATTTTCAGCCCTGGATATTTGAGTGAGTAAGAATTAAATGAATTAAATTTGATAATGTAAGTAAGTAAATAATACTTGAGTATTTAATAAATGACAGCTCTTTTATTCCTTTATATTTTTCTGAATTTATTTTATTTTCAGGCTTAATAATTGCCTCCAGTTTTACATTTTTTCCCCTTTAATTTTTTATTACAGAATTGAAGATGTTCCTGCTCCTTCTACATCTGCAGATAAAGTGGAGAGGTAAGATTATTTACATGGTAGTTAGATTCGTATCAGAAACATAAACTAAGAGCAATATAACTTTAAAGTTATTTTTATTTTTTAATTAATTTATTTTTGATAGAGGCAAGGTGTCGCTTTGTTGCTCAGGCCGAAGTGCAGTGTGCAATCAGGGCTCACTACAACCTTGAACTCCTGGGCTCAAGCAATCTTCCCACTTCAACCTCCTGAGTAGCTAGGACTATAGGCACATGCCACTACACTTCGCTCATTTTTAAATTTTTTGGAGAGATGGGGTCTTGCTATGTTGCCAAGGCTGGTCTCAAACTCCTAGCCTCAAGCATTCCTCCCTGCCTAAGCCTTTCAAAGTGTAGGATTATAGGTGTGAACTACCAGGCCCGTCTCACCTCCTCCCCCTGTAACGTTTCCATCTTGATATGGCTATGGTTTTTTGTTTTTCTTTATCTCAGATCTACACCCGTAGTGACTATGTTTCTTAATCAGAGGTGGGCATAATAATTAACTAAAAAGCTTACCCAAAAGGTAGATGGTAGGTTACATCCCTAGAGATTTCTTGTTTCATTTTTTAGAGACAGGGTCTTGCTCTGTTGCCCAAGCTGGAGTTCAGTGATGTTATCATAGCTCACCACCACCTCGAACTCCCGGGCTAAAGGGATTCTTCTGCCTCAGCCTCCTGAGTAGCTGGGACTGTAGGCATGCACCACCACATCTGGCTAATTATTTTATTTATTTTTTAGACTGAGTTTCACTCTTGTCGCCCAGGCTGGAGTGCAGTGGCGCAATCTTGGCTCACTGCAACATCTGCCTCCTGGGTTCAAGCAATTCTGCCTCAGTCTCACAAGTAGCTGGGATTACAGGCGGGTGCCACTACACCCAGCTAATTTTTCTATTTTTAGTAGAGATGGGGTTTCACCATGTTGGCCAGGTTGGTCTTGAACTCCCGACCTCAGGTGATCTGCCCGCCTTGGCCTCCCAAAGTGTTGGGATTACAGGCGTGAGCCACTGTGCCCACCCGAATTATATTTTTCGAAGCGGAGTCTTGCTTTGTTGGCCAGGGTGGTCTCCAACCTGGGCTCAAGCAATCCCCCTGCCTTGGCTTCCCTAAGTGTTGGGATTACCAGCCTGATCTACCATGCCCAGCTGATTTTATTTGTTGAGCTTGAGATAAAATTTGGGTTCATGTGTTATGGAAAAGCTTTCTGATAAGATTGAGAATTATTACTGTTAGAATATCTTACAAATATTTTGTTTGTTTGTTTTTTGAGATGGAGTCTCACTCTGTCACCCAGGCTGGAGTGCAATGGCATGATCTTGGCTCACTGCAACCTCTGCCTCCCGGGTTCAAGCGATTCTCCTGCCTCAGCCTCCCAAGTAGTTGGGATTACAGGCACCCACCACCATGCCCGGCTAATTTTTGTATTTTTAGTAGAGACAGGGTTTCGCCATGTTGGTCAGGCTGGTCTCGAACTCCTGACCTCGGGCGATCTGCCCGTCTTGGCCTCCCAGAGTGCTGGGATTACAGGCGTGAGCCACCACACCCGGCCACAAATACATTTTTTAAGCGTCCATAGGGTTTTATGTTTTTCATGTTTGAAATCCTGTTGTCATCTTGGTTATTTAACCCTTTTCCCATTTGCCCTGAGAATACTTGCTGGTGGTGCTTGGGGCTGCTGCATTTACCCAGTGAAAACTGCCATGAAATAGCTCTCCTTTATTATTATTTTCACATCACTCTAATATATAGATTTTGGATAAAAAGACATCATTCTGTTTATAGCACTCTGTTTTTAGTAATGGTTATTTCCATTTACAAAATAGGGTAATTCTCGATTGCTGTAAATGTCAAATCCTAGAAAACGTAGCATTCCTATGTATGATGTTAACATCATTCTCAAATGGTTGTTGGCCAAAGATTCATTTGATGAATCCAATTTTTATGAAATAGGCGATTCTGATATTAGTTGTGTTTAGAAATAACTCCGGCCAGGCAGGTGGCTCATGTCTGTAATCCCAGCACTTTGGGAGACTGAAGTGGGCTGATCACTTGAGGTCAGGAGTTCAAGACCAGCCTGGCCAACATGGTGAAACCCTCTCTCTACTAAAAATACAAAAATTAGTTGAGCGTGGTGGCGGGCGCCTATAATCCCAGCTACTCGGGAGGCTGAGGCAAGAGAATCACTTGAACCTGGGAGGTGGAGGTTGCATTGAGCCAAGATTGTGCCACTGCACTCCAGCCTGGGTGACAGAGTGAGACTGTCCCCCCCCAAAAAAAAAAAAAAAAAAAACTCCGAGAACAGTTTTATATTTTTATTTTCATGCTGAAAGTCAGATTTGCTTCAGCTTCAAAGAACATGTTTATGTAAAATTAAATGAGTGCTGGCAATGAGCTGTACTTTTTTTTTTTTCTCTTAAACGGGAAAAGGGTTAAAATAAGTCTTATGAAATACTGCTTGGCTGGGTGTGGTAGCTTACACCAGTAATCCCAACACTTTGGGAGGCCAAGCAAGACCTCCATCTCTGAGAGGATCACATGACCCCAGGAGTTCGAGACCAGCCTGGGCAACATAGCAAGACGCCATCTGTACAAAAAAAAAAAATTTTTTTTTTAATTAACTGTTCGTTGTGGCACTTGCGTGTGGTCCCAGATACTGGGGAGGCTGAGGTAGGAGGATTGCGGAAGCCCAGGAAGTCGAGGTGGTGGTGAGCTATGATCCTGCCACTGCACTCTAGTCTGGGTGACAGAGTGAGACCCTGTCTCCAAAAAAAAAAGGAAAGAAACAAAATAGGGCTAGGCGCGGTGGCTCACGCACTTTGGGAGGCTGAGGTGGGTGAATCACCTGAGGTCAGGAGTTCAAGATCAGCCTGGCCAACATGGTGAAACCCCGTCTCTACTAAAAAAGATACAAAAATTAGCCGGTCGTGGTGGCTAGCGCCTGTAATTCCAGCTACTTGGGAGGCTGAGGCAGAAGAATCACTTGAACCCGGGAGGTGGAAGTTGCAGTCAGCCAAGATCACGCTACTGCACTCCATCCTGGGTGACGAGCGAAACTCTCAAAAAAAAAAAACAAACAACAACAAAATTTCTTGTGAGTTAATCTGGTATTTGGGTGGTATGAATACTGAATACTGTTTAGGGTTGATCCTAAACACAATACTTTCAAGGGGGTTACTCATAGGATGTACCATAGTATTTAAGTTTCTGGACTGACTAAATGTAGCTAGGCTATCCAAAACACAGTGCTTGATATGTAATCATCAGTATTAAACTTCACTGCCCAGGTTGGAGTACAGTGGAGCGATCGTGGCTCACTGCAGCCTTGACCTTCCCTGGGCTCAGGTGATCCTCCTGCCTTAGACTCCTGGGTAGCTAGGATCACAGATGTGTGCCACTATGCCTGGCTAATTTTTGTATTTTGTTTTTAGAGATGAGGTTTCGTCACGTTGCCCAGGCTGGGGCTCAAGCCATCTTCTCACCTCAGCCACCTGAAGTGCTGGGATTACAGGTGTGAGCCACTATGCTTGGCATAAGCATTTGATTTTTAGAGGACCAGAATATTCTGATTCTGAGAGAAACATGAAGGATGGTTGGAAAACACATTATTAGTCTCACCTTAAATTTATAACCTCTGACCTGAAGTGGGTTTTTAGTTTTGATTGGCAGTTATACCGCATTTCTCCGGTCAAGTTGTTTTCCCATTCTGCGGAACTGCTTAATCTTTCCTTCTTTTTTTTCCCCCCTTGAGTCAGGGTATTGCTCAGCCACTCAGGCTGGAGTACAGTGGGTCCTGATCCTGGCTTGGTGCAGCCTCAAACTCCTGGACCAAGAGATACTCCTGCCTCAGCCTGCCAGACTAAGTTTTGTGTGTGTGTGTGTGTGTGTGTGTGTGTGTGTGTGTGTGTGTGTGTGTGTGTGTGTGTTTTAGAGACAGGGTCTTATTATGTTGCTCAGGCAGGTCTTGAACTTCTGCCCTCCCTATGATGCTCCCTCCTTAGCCTCCTGAGTTGTTGGAATTACAGGCATGAGCCACTGCACCCAGCTGATCAACTTTTTCTTTATATATTCTTAAACATTCAACACCATACCCGTCATCTTGCTTTTACCTGATGATTTTCCTTTGTTTTATATTTGGTTCTGGATTTTTGTTTGTTCACTGAATAAACAATATGAAGAGAAATTTCTTAACACTGTGCCATAAATCTGTGCCCATATAGTCTCTCCTTTTGAATGCCTGTTCATGCTCTTATTCAGCAGTTCTCAAAGTTTTTTTCTTGTATACCTTTGGGGTCTCCAGTACTCTTTCAGGGATAATGTAAGATCAAAACTGTTATTGTAATAACAAGACTGCCTTTTTGACCACTGGCAGTGATTGTGCAAAAGTAATGGTGGATAAACCTGCTGTTACCTTAACATAAATCAAGGCAGTGGCAACAAATAGTACTAGCAATTCTTGTGTTCTTCACTATCACCTTCACTTAGAAAATGTCCATGATGAAGCGTTACAAACTGAAGTTTATTAATTCTCAGTCCTTGACTACATGGTTTTAAGGTAACCTGGCAAAATAGGAATTATGGATGGAGCGCTTCAGCATATCAAAAGTGGCTACCATGGTTTTCTTTATGAAAAGCCCTTGTGTGATTAAGAGTTGATTGAGCTACTTTTTTCATGTAACTTTACTGGCTTTTATTCGAAAGAATGTTTTATTTGAAAGTTTTATTTTTGAAAGAATGACCAACAGACAAACTTTTATTTAGACTTGATACTTAGCAGATGTTTTCTCCAAAATGAATACAGTGAGCCTGTCACTTTAAGGGAAATAACTGACAGTATTGGGTGCTAGTGATAGAATGTGAGCTTTCACATGAAAAATAAAAATTTTGGATAAGTTATATATCAACTGCTGTTGTGAGACTGACAGTATCCTAATACTTTGACTGTTCTGATGAAATTGATTTTTAAGTTGTGGTAAAACACATATAATATAAAATTTTCCATCTTTTTAAGCGTGTAAGTCAGTAGTGTTAAGTAAATTCACATTGTCGTATACCCAATCTTATCTTGCAAATCTGAAACTATTACCCAGTAAACAACTCCCTCTTTCTGTCTTCCCTAGCCCCTGGCAACCACCATTCTGCTTTCTGTCTCTGAATTTGGCTACTTTAGGTACCTCGTATAAATGGAATAATAGAATATTTACCTTTTTGTGACTGGCTTATTTCACTTAGCATAGTGTTCTTAACGTTCATCCATGTTGTGGTGTGTCAGAATTTCCTTGCTTTTTATTGTGAGTACTGCTGCTGTGACGTTGGGTTTATGTAATCGTTCATAAGTAGAAGATCTAGAATACAAGATAGACTGGTTTTTAATGTACCAGTATGAGAAGTTCATCAGTGTTTTCAGATTATACAGTACAACTAACCTTTAAGAAATTACCACTTGTTGGTCAAGTGCTGTGGCTCACGCCTGCATCCCAGTACTTTGGGAGGCTGAGGCGAGAGAATCAGGAGTTCGAGACCAGTTTGGCAAACATGGTAAAACCCTGTCTCTAGTAAAAATACAAAAATTAGCGGGGCATGGTGGCATGTCCCTGTAATCCCTGCTACTCAAAGTGGCTGAGGCAGGAGAATCGCTTGAACCTGGGAGGCAGAGGTTGCAGTGAGCTGAGATCGCACTACTGCACTCCAGCCTGGGCAATAGAGTGAGACGCTGTCTCAAAAAAAAGAAAAAAAAGAAAAGAAAAAAGAAATTACCACTTGTTGGCTGGGCATGGTGGCTCACGCATGTAATCCCAGCACTTTGGGAGGCCAAGGCAGCGGATCACTTGAGGTCAGGAGTTTGAGACCAGCCTGGCCAACATGGTGAAACCGTCTCTACTAAAAATACAAAAATTAGCTGGGTGTGGTGGTGCCCGCTTTTAATCCCAGCTACTGGGGAGGCTGAGGCACAAGAATGGTTTCAACCCAGGAGGTGGAGGTTGCAGTGAGCTGAGATCGTGCCACTGCACTCTAGCCTGGGCGACAGAGCAAGACTTTTTTTTTTTTTTTTTTTTTTTTAAGACAAATGACCACTTGTTGGGTTTGGGTGTGGTAACAGAAGAATATCCAGTTATCTGAAAGGACTGTTTAAATATTCTGTTTCCAACTACATATCTGTATCAAGTCAGATATTCCTGTACTTTAATGAAAAGAAAACACGGTAGAGTAGTGAATATGAAAATCCTGTTCTCTTCTACTAACAGACATTTAGGAGATTTGTAAAAATGTAAAACAGTGCCACTATTCTTACCAAATTTTTGTTTTGAAGAGTTATTTTTCAAAGAAAGTCATGTTATTAACATGTAACATTTTAAACTATTTAAAATTATTTTAGTTTTAATTTCAGTATGGCAAATACTGACAGATATAACTTGGATACACAGAGGCTTTTTGGGGGGCTTCAGTAACGTAACAGTGTAAAGGATCCTGACATCATAGTTTCTTTGCTCTTACATAACACCAGCATCTCCGTTTGTTCACAAGATCCCACTCATTATTTACTTAATAATAGAACTCCTTTAGTTCTTTATGCAACAATACTCTTCTTGTTTCCTATGAGATTACTTATATCAGCCCACTAGGTATCATCAGATTTAACCGTTTGTTGACCCCCTCATACTTCCCTTCGTCTATTACCTCACATCAGTTTCTTTGACAGGAAAATGTGAAAGGTGTCCACTCTGTTTATCTGCTACTACTTTTGTTCTTAATTGAAGCTGCTTCAATCAAGTTTTTCTCTACCATTCTACTAAAATAGTCTTGTTTATGGTCTTTAGTACCATCCATATTCCTTACTCTAGTAGTCATTTCTCAGCTCTCTGAGTTAATCTTGTCAGTAACATTTGACCCAATCCATTACTCCTGTTACTTTTTTTTTTTTTTTTGAGATGGAGTCTTGCTCTGTCACCCAGGCTTGAATGCAATGGCACGATCTTGGCTCACTGCAGCCTCCTTCTCCCAGGTTTAAGCAATTCTCCTGCCTCAGCCTCCCAAATAGCTGGGATTACAGGTGTGCACCACCATGCCCGGCTAATTTTGTATTTTTAGTAGAGACGGGGTTTCGCCATGTTGGCCAGTCACTGTGCCTGGACCCATTAGTTTTCTTCATACTATTTTCTTGTCTCTTTTCCTTCACTGGCTATTCCCCTCAACCCCCATTCTTCCTTGTCGTCCCTACCTCTAAATGTTGGAAGGCTCCCAGGGCTCAGTCAGTCCTACAACGTCTTTATTAGTAGCCACTCCCTGTGTATTCTCCTCTGTTAAGTCCAGTGGCTTTAAGTACCTGACTCTCCCATTTGTATCTCCAGTCCCCATATCTCTCCCAAATTTCTCCCTTTTAATATCTTGGAGGTCTAATAGGGATCTCAGAATTAACATATCCAAAGCTAAATACTGTACAGTAATTGATTGCCTTGTTTCTCACTGGCTTTTCCTTCAGTTGACTTTTTAATCAGTCAGTGGCAATGTTGTTCTAGAACTTTTCATCTAGATTGTGTAGATTTGAATCGCTGCCATTAATATTCAGTTTTCCATCTGTAAAGTGGGGGTAATAATTCAATAACTTTATGAGGTGTAGATCCTAGGATTTAAATGTAGATAAAATTTCTACATAGTCCATTATTAACACTTAATACCAGTTGCCCCGGCCAAAAAAACATTTGCTTCACCTCTTTCATTCAATAAATTATATATCTAGTCCATTAGCAAATTTTAAAATAAGTATATTCAGAATCTAACCCTCTCTAATACTCCTCAGGTTCCTGTCTAGATTTTTACGGTTTCTTTCCTTTTTTTTTAAATAGAGAAAGAGTGTTTTTGTTTGTTTGTTTGTTTGTTTGTTTGGACATAGGGTCTTGCTCTGTTGCCCACGCTGGAGTGCAGCAGTGTGATCCTAGTTCACTGCAGCCTTGAATTCCTGGGCTCAAACAGTCTTCCTGCCTTAGCCTTGCGAGTAACGGGGACTACAGGTGCATACCGTGATGTCAGCTAATTTTTGTATTTTCCTATAGAGATGCTAGTCTCTAACTCCTGGGCTCAAGTGATCCTCCCACCTTCGCCTCCCAAAGTGCTGGGACTACAGGCATGAGCCACCATGCTCAGCCTTAGACTTTTTCTTTTCTTCTCTTTTCTTTTCTTTTTTTGAGATGGAGTCTCGCCCTGTCACCCAGGCTGGAGTGCAGTGGCACAATCTCGGCTCACTGCAACCTCTGCCTCCCTGGTTCAAGCAATTCTTCTGCCTCAGTCTCCCGAGTAGCTGGGACTACAGGCACACACCACCACGCCCGGCTAACTTTTGTATTTTCAGAAGAGAGGGGGGTTTCACCATCTTGGCCAGGCTGGTTTCGAACTCCTGACCTTGTGATCTGCCCGCCTCAGCCTCCCAAAGTGCTGGGATTACAGGCATGAGCCACTGCTGCCCGGCCAGACTTTCTTTCCAACTGGTTTTCTCCCCAGTTCTGTTCTTGTTCTATCTTAAAGTCTATACTAATGTGATGCTGCTCTCTCCCTCTTCCTCACCTTTATTTCCCATAATTCTTCCCCAGCTTACTCTAGCCAGAAGAGTTTTCTGTTTCTCAAATATTTTAAGCAAGCTTCTTTTAGAGCTTTGAACTTACTATTGCCTCTGTCCTAGAGTGCTTTTCCTCTGTATTTTTTTTTTTTTTTTTTTTTTGGCTTGCCTTCTTAAGTTCTCTGCTTCAATTTGACATTGTCCCTGTGGTCTTAGCTCATTCTTGTTATAATCACAGTGTCTGGAATTGTGCCCAGCAATATCAGGTACCCAAGTATTGTTGATTGAATTAAGAAGAGGGATTATCCTTCCAAATAATTTGGTTTTCATTAATGGAACTTAAAATGTCACTGACTCTTGCTCTTTTGACCCAGGTTTTTCTTAAAGCTATAAGAAACATTAAATGAAAGTCTAAGTGACATACAGGAAACTGCACATAACTTTAAAGTAACAATTATGAGTTTCTACATATGTATACACCTGTAAACCATTATCACAATCAAGATAATGAGTATTTTCATCACCTCAAAGTTTTTTCCTCATGTGCCTTTGTACTTCATTCCCTCCCCAGCAACCATTAATCTGCTTTCTGTCACTGAAGATGGGTTGCATTTTGTAGAATATTATCTAAATAGAATCATACAGTAAGTACTGTTTCTTTTTGTATAGTTTCTTTGATTCAGCATAATTATTTTGAGATTCATCCATGTTACCACCTGTATTAATAGTTCATTCTTTTTGTTAGTGAATGACATTTTATGATGTAGATATATCACAATTTGTTTATCCATTTGGGTTTCCAGTTTTTGGCTTACAAATAAAGCTGCTGTGAATATTTGTGTACAAGTCTTTGTATGGGCATTCATTTCCATTTTTTGGGTTCACACCTAGGAGTAGAATGGCTAGATCATATGGTAGGTATATATCTAACTTTAAGAAACGTCCAAACTGTTTTCTAAAGTGATTCTACCATTACATTCTTACCAGCAGTGTTTGACAGTTCTAGTTGCCCTACATCCTCACCATCATTTGATATGTGGTCAGTCTTTTAAAATTTTAGCTATTATAGTGAATATAGCAGTATCTTATTGTGGGTTTAGTTTGTATTTTTTTGAGTGAGCAATAATGTTGGCATCTTTTCATGTGCTTATTTGCCATCTGTGTATCTTTGATGACATGTTTGTTAAAATCTTTCGCCCCCTTTTTATTGGATTGTTTTTTATTACTACGTTCTAAGAGTTCTTTATATATTCAAGTCCTTTATCAGAAGTTTTGCATATATTTTCTCCCAGTTGGGCCTGCCTTTTTTGTTTTTATAACAGTGTCTTTCAAAACCAAGTTTTTCATTTTAGTGGTGTGTCTAGTTTATTGATTTTTTTTCCTCTTGTTAATAGTTTGTGCTTTTTCTTTCATATTCAAGAAGTCTTTGCCAAAGCCAAAGTCACTAAGATTTTATCCTGTATTTTCTTGTAGAAACTTTATGGTTTAAATCTTATATTTAGAAAGCCTATGATCCATTGCAGATTAATTTTTGTATGAGATATGAGATAACAGTTGAGGTTCACTTTATTGCATGTGGATTTATAATTACTCCAGCACCATTTGTTAGATTATCCATTCCTCATTGCATTGCCTTGGTACCTTTTTCAAAATTTCAGTCAGTCATATATGCATGGATCTGTTTTTGTACTCTGTGTTCTATTTGATCCATTTGGTTTTCTTTATGCCAATACTACATTGTCTTAATCTTGAAATCACTGCCTCTTGCCCTGTTTACCTAAATGCTTCTTAATTTTAATATTTCTTTTAGCTAGTGCAATTTGTATGAATTTATGGTTCTTTTATGATACCTTTTTTATTTGTGGATCAATTAGGAAATATTTATAGTAATATACAATACAGGCTTTGTGATTAGATGAGCCGTTAAGAGAATTTTTTTTTTTTTTTTTTTTTTTTTTTTGAGGTGGAGTCTCGCTTTGTTGACCAGGCTGGAGTGCAGTGGCGCATCTCAGCTCACTGCAAGCTCCGCCTCCTGGGTTCATGCCATTCTACTGCCTCAGCCTCCCGTAGCTGGGACTACAGGCACCCGCCACCACGCCCGGCTAATTTTTTGTATTTTTAGTAGAGACGGGGTTTCACCATGTTAGCCAGGATGGTCTCGATCTCCTGACCTCGTGGTCTGCCCGCCTCGGCCTCCCAAAGTGCTGGGATTACAGGCATGAGTCACCGCACCCAACTGAGAAAATACTCTAGTCAGGCTTCTGGGAATGTTGCCTTTAAGATTTCTTTTGATTTTGTGATGGTAAATAAGTGTGTTAGCCAGGCCTTGCCAGAGTAGTCCAAAAGTTTTAAAAAATGAAACTATTGCTCAAATGTAGCAGGTATTCAAAAAATACTGATTTAAACAGTACTTGACACTAGAAAAAATCTTTTTTTTGCAGTCTGGATGTGGATAGTGAAGCTAAGAAACTATTGGGTTTAGGACAGAAACATCTGGTGATGGGGGATATTCCAGCAGCTGTCAATGCATTCCAGGAAGCAGCTAGTCTTTTGTAAGTATTGTATATTTTGCTATGATGTAATATTATGTTCTAATAAACCTTGAGTTATCAAAAATTATTTTATGGGGAAAAAGCATGAAGAGCAAGAGTTTTAAAACATTTGATTATTTTTCATGTGGTTTGTACCAGTAACTATAAGTGTAAAACTTAAATATCACCAAGCAGTTCCACCCTTTCATTTTCCTGAGTATGTAATTTGTATTCCAGTCACTACTAATTTGGGTGACCACACCTTGTCCTGGTTTATCTAGGACCCCTCTCCCCATCTCTCCACCCCCGCTTTTTTTTGTTGAGACAGGGTCTCTGTCACCCAGGCTGGAGTGCAGTGGCACAATCTCATGCTCACTGCAGCCTCAACCTCCCAGGCTCCCCAGTAGCTGGGACCATAGGTGTGTGCCACCATGCCCAGCTAATTTTTGTATTTCTTTTGGTAGAGATGGGGTTTCCCCACATTGCCCAGGCTGGTCTCGAACTCTTGGGCTTAAGCGATTCGTCCACCTTGGCCTCCCAGAGTGCTTTGCAAAGGGATTACAGGCATGAGCCACTGAGCCCCAGCCTGACTTTCCGAGTTTTAACACTAGAAGTTCTGTGTCTGTGGAAACTCTTTAGGTCCAAGCAAGTCATGATTGATAGTGCTATTATTAGCACAGCATTTTTTCATACATTTTTAGCACATTTTTCATACATTCTTAGCACTGTTGTTGGATTTGCTTAGAAGTTGGTAGCTACCACCAGGTAGCCATATAGACCTATATCCTGGAGGAAAAGGTTAGCTTTAGTGCCTTAAAGATCATTTATTTTCCCCAAAGACTTTAATGTACCTCCATTATCTGAGAGAAAAAAAAGCAAGTTAAATCGTCAAGCAACAGGCTTTTGGTCTATGGCGAGGTTTGAGTTTCCTCAAATATAGTATTAGCAATTGCAATTGAACTTGAAGGTCAATCATTGCATACATTACATACAGTTGATTACATTACATATAGTTAAGTTAAATCTTCCTTATAAAAGAAATGGTTATAACAAAGCGTTTGTGGGTTTCAGGTTTGACGCTTAATATCAATCCATTCTTTTCCTAAACCCCTACTGCCTCTGCCAACATCCAGAACAGAATCTTACTCCTGGATATCTGCAAAAATCTTTTGTCTGATTCCTGTCCTCTTTGTTCCTCTCTGTTTGACCTTAATGAATTGGGGCTCTGAGAGACTAAATTTTATCTGGTAGTATTTAGAGATTTTTTTTTTTTTTTTTTTTGAGATGGGAGTTTCGCTCTTGTTGCCCTGGCTGGAGTGCGATGGCGCGATGTCAGCTCACTGCAACCCCCGCCTCCCTGGTTCAAGTGATTCTCCTGCCTCTGCCTCCCAAGTAGCTGGGATTACAGGCATGCATCACCACGCCTGCCTAATTTTGTATTTTTAGTAGAGATGGGGTTTCTCCATGTTGGTCAGGCTGGTCTCGAACGCCCGACCTCAGGTGATTCACCTACCTCGGCCTCCCAAAGTTCTGGGATTACAGGCGTGAGCCACTGTGCCCAGCTGTATTTAGGTATTTTTATTTAAAAATGCATGGTTGTCTTACAACATAAAATGTTACCTAAGTTTTTAAGCACACATAAATACTTTCTCTTAGGTTATTTTTCCCAGATTACTGGAGAGGTCAGTATTCCCACTTTCCTGCCATTAAGGGTATTTAGGAGGAAAATTTGAGATGTCTTATTCTAATCTAGTAGACTACCCTTAAACATGACCTCCATCACAATTTACTGCTTAGATTCTCTAGTTACTCTCAATAGACTCTTAGGCCATTAGTTGGCCTGACTTTGCATGAATTCTGCCAGTATTTTACTCCATGAAAGCCAGTCTTCTTACCTTACATAGAGAAGTACTTTCTCCTTTTGTTCATTATACTTACGTAATTTTTGTCCTTCTTCCTTCTGTCTAGATATTAATAGCTAAGACTTAATACACAGTGCTATTTGTTGTCTAAACATTGTTTTCAGTGCTTTTACATACATTAACTCATTTAGTTCTTGCAATAGCTCTTTGAACAAACAGTTATTAACATTCCCATTTTACAGATGAGAAAACTAAGGCACTGTGAGAATAATTTGTCTAAGGTCTCACAGCTAGTTATGGGTTAAAGGTAGGATTTGAATCCAGTTAGAAGAACTCCAGATATTCTGCGCTTTACATCATGCCTTTCCATGGGCCTTAATCATCCTCTAGGTCCCAGCCAAAGGTCCTTTAACTATTCTGATCCATACTGACATCCATCTTTTAGCAGGAGGAATACCTATTAATACCTTAGGGCTGTTTGGCCCTACATTATGTATTACTAATTGTAGCACATTTATGTCACTTAGGATGTATATATATTATATATTGATAAAGAGCATACAAAATTTTCATGCATTGTTTAATGTCACTTTGACCTTGAAAGCAAGAGGGGTATTGGTTTTCTAGGAGTATGTTACTGGAGAAATATCAATTTATAACTGAAGAACTAGAACTAAATGTTTTAGATTAGATGGTAATTCAGATTTTAGATGTTTATTCTCTTTGTAGAGGTAAGAAGTATGGAGAGACAGCTAATGAGTGTGGAGAAGCCTTCTTTTTCTATGGGAAATCACTTCTGGAGTTGGCAAGGTATGGATGTTGTATTTAAAAACTGAAGTTTCCTTGTTAAGATTGTTTACTAGCTTTGAGATTTCACAGGAGCTAAGCAAGATTGGTTTTACCTAGAGAGTTTTGAAGGAGCTTGAAGTAGTGATGGAAGTTGTGAATGGCACTTGATACAATTAGTAGTTATATTTAAGTTTTGACTTTTGGAGTCAGTAGAAGCAAAGTTCTTTCCAGTAGTGAATGATCCAAAGTTCAGTGTAGAGAATCTTTAAAAGCACTGTGAGCTAGCTCAAAACAAGGACTGAATAGAGGACAACTGGAAAGAATTAGCAAGTGAGACTGTCCAGTAAAAAAGACTTTTACTATTGAAAAGTTCTTGGCTATGTTCTATCAGAATTTATTAATCAGAATAAGTTCTGTTTAGGGTATACAAACTAGCAAATGATGTCATCTATTTAATCTCAGTTCTGGTAAGGTTTTTTTTTTTTGAGATGGAGTCTCAGTCTGTCACCCAGGCTGGAATGCAGTGGCGCGATCTCGGCTCACTGCATCCTTCATCTTCCGGGTTCAAGTGATTCTTCTGCCCCAGCCTCCTGAGTAGCTGGGACTACAGGCATGTGTCACCACACCCGGCTAATTTTTTATTTTTAGTAGAGACAGGGTTTCACCATGTTGGCCAGGCTGGTCTCGAACTCCTGACCTCAGGTGATCCACCCACCTCGGCCTCCCAAAGTGCTGGGATTACAGGCGTGAGTCACTGCGCCTGGCCCAGTTCTGATAAGTTTTTTTTTTTTTTTTTTTAAGACGGAGTTTCACTCCTGTCACCCAGGCTGGAGTGCAATGGTGCGATCTCTGCTCGCCGCAACCTCTGCCTCCCCGGTTTGAGCGATTCTCCTGCCTTAGCTTCCTGAGTAGCTGGGATTACAAGTATGCGCCACCATGTCCAGCTAATTTTGTATTTTTAGTAGAGATGGGGTTTCTCCATGTTGGTCAGGCTGGTGTTGAACTCCTGACCTCAGGTGATCTGCCTGCCTCCACCTCCCAAAGTGATGGGATTATAGGCGTGAGCCACCGTGCCTGGTCTCTGGTAAGTTTTTAATCTCGTAATCATACAGAACTTTCTCATGATTTGCCGTGAAAATCTTGCTAGAGTATTTTTGGCTATTTAGAGAAATCGGGTGGATACAAAGTTTGGGAAATAGTATGGTCCTATTACAAATGGAATGCATATAGGTCTTGTTCTTTTGACAAGAGACATGCTTTTCAGGCGGCTGGATGGAGGAATATGCTTATTTCCTTCAGTGCTCTTGCAGTCTTAATTTATATTACTAAAGTTTTGATCATTGCTTCCTTGAATATACATAGTTTTGTATTGCCTGCGCTTGGCTTACACTTCTTGCTTTTATAATATAGGACTGTATTTTCTGTCTTAGAAAAAATTGCTAGGTTCTAGCCATCAAACCTTTGGTGCTTTCTTTTGTTCTCCTAGAATGGAGAATGGTGTGTTGGGAAACGCCTTGGAAGGTGTGCATGTGGAAGAGGAAGAAGGAGAAAAAACAGAAGATGAATCTCTGGTAGAAAATAATGATAACATAGATGGTATGTGGAGTTGCATGTGACATTCAAGAGATGCGACGTTGTATATTTCTTGTATACAGTGGTGGAAACGGGGCTCTACCTGTCCTGGATGGTCTCTCCTAAGATGCTTGGGGTGATGATGCCTGCATCTGGTGGAGATTGCAGTGGGGATAGCTGTTTACTGAAGCTGACAGCAGATTTTTGAAAGAGAATAACTTATTTTCTCAAGTAAATCCAGTTATTTCGATTGGGGTTTTTTAAATCAAAAAGATAAAAGCAAGATTAAATTGGTGTTTTAAATACTATTACAACCTTAAGTGTTTTTCTGATGCAAATTTTTTTAAACAGCCTGTGCAGTTCAGTTATTTTAATAGCAGTACTTTTAGAGCCCTTGTACATTTTTTATGTGTGCGAAAATTATATAATTTCTAAGCTGAATTTGGCTGCTATAGTTTTACATATCAGATGGGGGAGAATGAAAAGCTTGGCATCTCTTACCTAACTGGTAATCAGAATGCTCAAGTAAAACAATACCTAGTGTAACAAGCTTGGGTTTCTTTTGCAGTAAGTTGCTCTGCTAGCCGGGATGCTCCCTTTCCTTTTCTCTAGGGGGCAGATAATTTTTAGGCCATCTGCTGAAACTTGGTAGGCTTTTTGAGGGTTTAAAGGGAATGTATTTTTAGTTTCCATTTATGCCTTTATCATTAAACTCGAAGACATGTTTATGCTTCATGTTCTTTAACCATGTAGAGGAAGCAAGGGAAGAGTTGAGAGAACAGGTTTATGACGCCATGGGAGAAAAAGAAGAAGCCAAAAAAACAGAAGACAAGTCTTTGGCAAAGCCTGAAACTGATAAAGAACAGGACAGTGAAATGGAGAAGGGTGGAAGAGAAGATATGGATATAAGTAAATCTGCAGAGGAGCCACAGGAAAAAGTTGACTTGACTCTAGATTGGTTAACTGAAACCTCTGAAGAGGCAAAAGGAGGAGCAGCACCAGAAGGACCGAATGAAGCTGAGGTCACTTCTGGGAAGCCAGAACAGGAAGTACCAGATGCTGAGGAAGAAAAATCAGTTTCTGGAACTGATGTCCAAGAAGAGTGCAGAGAAAAAGGAGGTCAGGAGAAGCAGGGAGAGGTAATTGTGAGCATAGAGGAGAAGCCAAAAGAAGTTTCAGAAGAGCAGCCTGTGGTGACTCTAGAAAAGCAGGGCACTGCAGTGGAGGTAGAAGCAGAGTCTTTAGACCCGACAGTCAAGCCAGTGGATGTGGGTGGGGACGAGCCAGAGGAGAAGGTAGTTACCTCTGAAAACGAGGCAGGAAAGGCGGTTCTTGAACAACTGGTAGGTCAAGAAGTACCACCTGCTGAAGAGTCACCAGAGGTGACAACAGAGGCTGCAGAGGCCTCAGCTGTAGAGGCTGGATCAGAAGTCTCTGAAAAGCCTGGGCAGGAGGCTCCAGTTCTCCCTAAGGATGGTGCAGTCAATGGACCGTCAGTTGTAGGAGATCAGACTCCTATTGAACCACAGACTTCTATAGAAAGACTGACAGAAACAAAAGATGGCTCAGGACTAGAGGAGAAGGTCAGGGCAAAGCTGGTTCCTAGTCAGGAGGAGACTAAGCTGTCTGTAGAAGAGTCTGAGGCAGCTGGAGATGGGGTTGATACCAAGGTAGCCCAGGGAGCTACTGAGAAATCACCTGAAGACAAAGTTCAGATAGCTGCTAATGAAGAGACACAAGAGAGAGAAGAACAGATGAAAGAGGGTGAAGGTAACCGGGATATGCAAGAGCTGCAGTGGGTGGAGTACATTCTGGATTTGACTCACTAATTATGGGTAAAAGTCAGCCTTCCATTCAGGATTTTCCGTCTGCCTTTGGATTAGGAAAGGGCTAAATGAAAAGGGGGGTAGTTTAACAAGGTCGTGATAGTCAAGTAAGTTCAATCAAAAGCAGCAAGTCTTCTTTAGCTGGCTTATAAACTAACACTTTTACTAACTGCAAAATAGGCCTTCTGTGTGATTTCTGAGACTTGGCTAGCTATCAGTAACTTGTTGCAGCATACTAGCCAATAAAGTGGGATGGAAAAGGTAGATGAGGGGTGGGGTAGGTAGGGAAATAGTGGGCTAGGCTGGCAGAGAATGCTGAATGGATGTTCACTTGCATGCCTCTGGATTTTAAAATTATTGTTCACATGACTCCTTTTCTGTGCGTTGGGAAGCAGCTACAGAGCAGTAGAATCCACTGAATTGGTACACTGAAGCAGGCATGCCATTTAAATGAAGGCAGTTAACCTTGACTGTTGTATCACCAGAGTTAAAGAATTCTGGTGCCCCTCTTTAAGTCTTCAGGAAGTGTTTAGAGGCTTATTCACATTAGTTAAAACAGGCCCCCCCCACCTTCCCCAAGGCAACAGAAAACATAACCATTAGCTCTCTTCCTGTTTTCCTTCCTCATTTCATGCTTGCTTCGGCTGCTAAACTGAATTTTTGTTACTTAGAATATTATAAAGTGTGGATGCTTTCTATAATGCTATTGGTCTAAGTGTGATTAAATTTCATTAAGGTGTATAAGCCTCTAATTATTACATAACTGGCACGTCTGACTTTTGCTATCATTTGAGGATTCTACTGTATATAAGTTTCATCTAACATTGGCATTAATAACCACAGGTATATTCCAACTAATTGTTACTTCTTGTAATTGCCAGACTACTTCAAGAGTTCTCGTAAGTTTTAGATTTTCAGAGACCCATCTTCAATACTTTGAACTCATTCTGGTAAACTTCCTTCTACCTATGTGCAGGTCCCTGTACTCCAGCCAACACAGGCTCAGTAACTGGAAATGAATTGGCTAAAATGGTAGCACCATTGGGTTTCTTAATGGAGCTTTAGGAGTTCTTTATGGAAAAAAGCACAGAACTAAATTCCTCAAAAAACAAACAAACAAAACCACACACACAAAAAAACAAAACTCCCATGTCTTGATCTTAATGATTGTGAGCAAGGATGGTAAAAAGCTCTGCTGGCTGACCCCTAAGACCTTGAATGGTAAGCTACAATACAGATATCACAGTCCCTTACAGATTGTTCGAAAACTCGTTGGATCATAATTAACATTGTTAGAACTCTCATACATTACATCTGATCCTAAAACAATACTATGTGATAGGTAGTATTGCCCAAGTTACAGTGATGAGGTTGAGGTTTAAAGGTTACATGACTTGTTTAGGGTCATAATACTGAATCTGAACCCAGATCTGCCTTGAATATATTATTCTTCCCAAGTTACCACACATTGAAGAAGACAGTGTTCATCCTTTTCCTACACCCACTGCTTAGAAATTTTGTCGTGGGCTGGGCGCAGTAGCTTCACACCTGTATCCCAGCACTTTGAGAGGCCGAGGTGGGCAGATCACATGGTCAGAAGTTTGAGACCAGCCTGGCCAATATGTTGAAACTTTGACTCTACTAAAAATACAAAAATTAGCTGGACGTGGTGGCATGCGCCTGTGGTCCCAGCTACTTGGGAGGCTGAACCAGAAGAATCGCTTGAACCCGGGAGGCAGAGGTTGCAGTGAGCTGAGATCATGCCGCTGTGCTCCAGCCTGGGCAACACAGCGAGTCTCTGTCTTCCAAAAGAAAAAAAAAATCTGTCACTTATTTAAAAAGTTAACTATATTTTAAAAGCCCCAGGCTTTTCATATGCTGCATTTTTTGGTGTTGTATATCAGATACTGTTCTGCTTGTAAAGACAATACAGTTTTCCATATTTTACAAAAGAAGAAATGGGAGAAAGGGGTTTAAGTAACTTGCCCTAGTCACACAGTAAGGAGAAGCCTGCTACCCAAACTTCTGGCTTGAGTACTCAACCACTTACTTTCTGTGCTTTATTTCCCTTTACGTGGCAGCACCATTCTGCAGAAAACTTCCAAGCAGTTTTTTTCACTTAAAAATTAAAACCCTGTTTACTGCCACCTCTTGACTCTTTGCCATGTGTTGGGCTGTACATTTGCTTCTAATAAAGATAATTGGTCTGTTCTTTTTCTCTTTGAATCGGGTCTTGCTCTTTTGCCAGGCTGGAGTACAGTGGCATCGCAGTCATGGCTCACGACAGCCTCAAACTCCTATGCTGAAGCCATCTTCCTCCCTCAGTCTCTCAGGCAGCTGAGACTATGGGTGTGTATCACCATGCCCAGCTGGGGTGCAGTGGTGCGGTCTCGCTCACTGCAACCTGCATCTCCCAGGTTCAAGCGATTCTCCTACGTCAGCCTCCTGAGTAGCTGGGACTAAAGGCACATGTCCCCAGGCCCGACTAATTTTTTTGTATTTTTACTAGAGATGGGATTTCACCATGCTGGCCAGGTTGGTCTCGAACTCCTGACCTCAGGTGATCCACTAGCCTCAGCCTCCCAGAGTGCTGGGATTACAGGTGTGAACCATTGCACCTGGCCCACCATACACCATTATCTTCTCATATCCACATTTCCAAGTGGGTCCGGGCTTAGTTCCCCAAAGTTAGACCAGATGGATGGTCTTATTAACTCTGCCCATCCTCTAGCAGAATATGCAGAAAAGCTGAAGTAGATTTACATATGTAGGATAATTGATAGAAAAGTAAATACTTCATCTTCCCAATTTGTAGGAAAAATTAAATTGATATTGTTATCTTCTATTCTTACCTGGTATCTCTTCCTACTCATACCAGAATACTAGAAGACAACCTCTAATTTGAAACAAAATATCTTAATTACTTGGAAGTTTTACATCAAATTTTTAAATTAAAATTCCTATAATTGCTTCAGAAGAATATTACTGGTTCCTCTTGAGGAATCTGTACCATCTTCAAGGAATGGTGGGGAGCTAGGTTAAGGAGAAAGCCATCGCCATTACTTTTTTTTTTTTTTTTTTTTTTTTTTTTGAGACAGAGTCTTGCTCTGTCACCCAGGCTGGAATGCAGTGGCGTGATCTAGGCTCACTGCAACCTCCGCCTCCTAGGTTCAAGTGATTGTTCTGCCTCCGCCTCCCGAGTAGCTGGGACTACAGGCATGTGCCACCACGCCTGGCTAATTTTTTGTATTTTTAGTAGAGACGGGGTTTCACCGTGTTAGCCAGGATGGTCCCAATCTCCTGACCTGGTGATCTGCCCACCTTGGCCTCCCAAAGTGCTAGGATTACAGGTGTGAGCCACCGCGCCTGGCAGCCATTGCCATTACTTTAAAACCTTTCCCAACTTGTGCCCAGGTATCAATGGCAATGCCCTGATGTCCTCAGTAAATTTGTTAAAGTATCTTTTTTTTTTTTTTTTTTTTTTGAGACGGAGTCTTGCTCTGTCACCCAGGCTGGAGTGCAGTGGTGCGATAATCCGCTCACTGCAAGCTCCACCTCCTGGGTTCACGCCATGCTCCTGCCTCAGCCTCCCAAGTAGCTGGGACTACATGCGCCTGCCACCACACCTGGCTAATTTTTTTGTTTTTTGGTTTTTTTTTTTAGTAGAGACGGGGTTTCACCATGTTCGCCAGGATGGTCTCAATCTCCTGACCTCGTGATCCGCCCGCCTCGGCCTCCCAAAGAGCTGGGATTACAGGCGTGAGTCACCGCGCCTGACCCTGTTAAAGTATTTTCTAAGCTTCTTTGAAAACGGAATCTCTTTGTGGTTGCTGCTGATAAAACTCCTTTGACCTGACGATTGCTCTAAGTCCTAATTGCCATATTTATATTCCCATAGTAAGAGTGTTTGGAGATAGTGTTTGAGCTTTTTTGCTGGTGTTAAAAATGCATAATGAAAGATGGCAGAGAGAGGCATATTATATCCAATTCATGAGTTGTTTGTGTTAACAGAAAGCTTATTTTAATCACTTAACATTGTTGATTTGTCTAATCACAGTAGCGCTATTGATTAGGAGCCTGACCTTTAGATGGTTGACTTGTGAGTGTATTCAATATGGTGAAATATGGTGTTGATATATGGCTGCAGATTTTAGAGGTGTCATTAGCAAAGGTATAGGAGTAAAATAGGGGTTATAGTATTCCTTACTCAAATTCTGTATGTGCTAGAGCTGGCTGGAGTCTGTGGCATGCTCATTGGTGTAAGTCGGTAAGGACTATGCTTTTTGCTCCACATCTCTGTTGTGGGAAAGCTAGTCTCTTGAGCATTCTTGATCAGAATGGACTGGAATAATTTAACTTTCGTACTTTCCCAGGCTATTAGTATTATCTAATGAGTGGCTTAAAGATACCAGAAACACTGACTGAGGTCTCCACCTGCTTCTGGCTGAATGAATGGGAGCTTCTAGCCATTGAATAAGAGGCAGTAGCCAATGTTTCTTATTCTGAATGGTCCAGGTTGACTTTTATAAGAGAAACACTCAGCCTTTTAATTGCTGAAGGTCTGACCCATAGACTAAGATTGCACATTCTTAGTCTAGGTTACACTTGAACTAGACTGCACCCACTGACGATATATTCAGTTCAGGTGTTAACTCACTTGGATTAGCATCTGGCCTGTCCTATCTGAATATAGGTTGAGACGTGTATTGGAATCTCTGACTAGTCAGAATACGTTCTTAGTTATATTCTCAATACTGAGGAATTTTTACTTGTAGAAACTGAAGGCTCAGAAGAGGATGATAAAGAAAATGATAAGACCGAAGAAATGCCAAATGATTCAGTCCTTGAAAACAAGGTATGTTGTTAGCCACTCAGTACTGTTGTCAGCCTTTTTCTGTTTTTGGGAGACTGGAGCTCACTCTTGTTGCCTAGGCTGGATTGCAGTGGGGTGATCATGATCATGGCTCACTGCAGCCTAGACCCGGGCTTAAGTGATCGCCTCACCTCAGCCTCTCAAGTAGCTGGGACTACAGGCTTGTGCCAACATGCCCAGCTAGTTTGCAGGACTGTAGCTTACCTAGTTTAGGCACGATTATTATTTTTTTAAGAGATAGAATCTCTGTCTCTGCCCAGGCCGGAGTGCACTGGCATGATCAGGGCTCACTGTATCTTTAGCCTCCTGGGTTCAAGGAATCCTTCTGCCTCATCTTCTCAGATAGCTAGGTCTCCAGATGTCTGCCACCATGTCTGGCTAATTTGTTCTCTAATTTTATTTTGTTTAGACGGCTGTCTTGCTGTGCTGCCCAGGCTGGTCTCAAACCTGGCTTCAAGTTATTCTCCTGCCTCAGCCTCCCAAAGTGTTGGGATTATAGGCATAACCCACCATGCCCAGCCCTAGGCATGATTATTATAGATAACTGTCTCTTGATTATGGATTAGGGACCCTTTATTCATGCCTAGGATGGGTGGATATATTTGATCCTGGGGTTCTTGTGTGTTAGTATGTGAGCCAACATTTCACTGTTAAAATATCAGTGACATGGTCATGACTTAAGACAGTATGTGGACCCATTCTCTAGATTTTAGGGAGAAAGTCCAAATTTTGAATCGTATATCAACTTTTTTTAAGCTACGCTAAGTTATACATTTAGATTTGTATTTGAAAAAGATGCCTATCTTTTTATTATTTGGTTATACTTTAGTCTCTTCAAGAAAATGAGGAGGAGGAGATTGGGAACCTAGAGCTTGCCTGGGATATGCTGGATTTAGCAAAGATCATTTTTAAAAGGTAAAACTCTTGGTGCTTCTAGGCTTGGGTTGGGAGTTTGGTGGTTAAATAGAAACCAGTTAGGGTTAGACAGGTACTGTTAAGGTTTTTGATCAATTTTCCTTCTTTTAGGCAAGAAACAAAAGAAGCACAGCTTTATGCTGCCCAGGCACATCTTAAACTCGGAGAAGTTAGTGTTGAATCTGGTAATGCATTTTCCATTTTATACTCTCCTACTCTCTTCAGCTCCCTCGTTCTTCCTCTAATAGATTCTCTGGAAC